>NC_000011.10:75601150-75904180 GCF_000001405.40 Homo sapiens
CTCCATTGCCCAACGCTTGCCCTTTCTCTGACTCTGAGTGTGTCTCACCTTCTCGCACTCTCTTAGGTTACTCTAGGTGTCTTCATATGTGTGCTTTCCTGTGTCTTTTTCTCTCTGTGCCGCTATTTCTACCTCTCTACTTCTCGCCTGTCTTTCTTACCACCTCTCTCAATCCCCGTTTTGTCTCTCTCCCTTAACTCATCAAAAGAGAGCTTAATAATATGCTTTTATGTATTTGTTTTATTTCTTGAGCAGCTTTTGTGTTTTCTGCCTCATACAAAAGTAGACAGGTGGGTGGGATGTTTTCTATTCATCTGGAAAACAAATACATACGGCTTTTCATTTATACCACCCTTGAATGATTTCTACCCCTGCCTCCCCCAAAACTCAGCAATCAGGTCCAGCAATAAAAGTCCACCCTAGGGCTCCTAGCTTAGAGCAAGAGAGGATCTGTAGTGTTGCCTGACGCATAAGCAAGCAAGAGAAGCATGACAAGGGAGCATGCAGGGTGTAGGTACGCTTTGGGCATATGGAAATGGAGATCCCAGTTAGCAACCGCCCACTCACGTGCACCAGGCCTCTCCACCACCGAGCTCTGTCACTCTCCAGCCTGTGCCATGACCCTCCCAAGGGAGCTACCCCCCCAGAACTGAAGTTCACCTGGTGTTTGATGGCCCCCCTCCGACCTTTGCTTGGGCAGACCCCTCTATCTAGCATGCCTTGGCCACCCCCGGCTCTGTTCACCTGGTCAACACCTACCCATTGCTGAAGTCCTCCCTGATCCATGGAACCAGCTAGAATGGCCTCCTCCTTCGTGCCCCACTGTGATCAGAGGCGGGGTCTCAGTCATCCTGGTTTCCCTAGTGCCCAGCACAGTGCCTGGCACATAATAGGTATTCAATCAACATATGTTGGAAAAATGAAGAGTATAAAATCTTTTGTCTTCCACTTTACCAGAAGGATAACAAAGTGGGCAAACTTGGTCCTAGCTTTCAGGTTCCCACCCAGCCCCCCAGTTTTCCATTTCTAGACTTGCTCCCTGCAGTGGCCTTGCCCTTACATATCCACACCCCAGCTGCTTTCCAGGGCTCCCTCTGCCACAGAGCCTTCCGCAACTCCCCAGCCCTAGTTGGAAGAAGCCTGTCCTTCATCTGAGTTCCCAACTACCTGATCTGTTGTTGCTTGGTGGCCTGTCTGGTGGCTGTTTCAGCACCCCCACATAAGGCACACACACGACTGTCACCCCCACAACCCACAGTGAGCCAGCCCCCTATGGGTGGAACATCCACAGTGACCATAGATTAACTGAGCAAGTGAAGGCATCTCTGCCATCCCTTGGGAGGAGAAAAAGCCAGAAATGACAGTCCTGCCAGTCGACAGGAAGGAGGCAGAGAGTCAGAGCCCAGCCTCCCAGTGTGGCAAGGTGGTGCTCGGTGCAGGCGGTCGCTCTTCCCGGCAACATTGGATCAAAATGTTACACTACCTTTTTGGCCAGTGCGTCTCCCGGTCCATCTTCGCTTTCCCAAAACTTAGCTCTGACTGCTTGCCAATAGTATCTGAGAGGCAATCTAAAAGAGTCAAGCTGCATTATGGAGAGCCCCAGGAAGACTGCAGGGCACAGCTCATCTTGCAGAGAATGGCTCAAATGCAAAAGGTTCATTCCTTCACCTACTCAGGTGGGCCTCACCAAGGAAATAAGATCAAGAAAGTGGTGTTCGTCTTTAGCATTTATTTATAATTGGAAAAACTGTTTGTTTGTTTGTTTTTCTGAGCAAGCACAGACCACAAGCACGTCACAATCAATTGGCTATACATGAATATTTTTGTCATTCTCTTACAGCAGGAATGAAATAGCACCAAGAGAGGTGTGCGCTACATGTTACATAGACAATCTGTGGTATGCAACAAAACCCAGGCCACAAAATCGTAATTAGACACTTCCTGTCTGCCTCAGAGAGGCAAAGAAAGCTATGTGGACCGAATGGGAGCACAGACAGGACAGATTGCTGAGGGAAGCCAATGCGCAGCTCTTGGGGCTGCTTTTGCAGGCAGGGAAACAGCGGGAAAGCTTCAGTCCCAGCTCCCTCGCCAGGGAAGGACGGAGAACCACAGGGAAATGTACAGAGGCCAGTGGGACGAGCTTTGGAAGCTTGGTCACCTTCAGGAAGGCAACACCCAAACACTGCTTGTGGAACCAAAATCAGTTTCATTCAGTACGTTTGGGATATAGAATGAGACTGGCTGAGTTTTATTTGTAAACAGTAGAAATCAAAGGAAGTCTCTTGCCAGTAAAGTGACACATTCAAGAGTCAAAGTGAACTACAAACAGGGTTTTCTCAGTGGGTGTGTTAAGCAGAAGGGGATACTGACAGGTTGAAAAAGACATGCTACAGGTCCTCTAAAGCCTTGGGTGAGGGTAGGAAGTTGGTCCCTGGGGCAGTGAGTGGGGGCGGGGGGTGGGGAAGCCTGTGGGACCCTTATGTCAAACTGCGATTTGGGCAACACCAACTTGACTTGGTCATAGGGATCAAGTCATGTGCACCCTCTGGTTGTGTGGCTGTGGAGACAGATTTCTTTATACTGCCCACCACGCCTAGCACAGTGCCTGGCACACGGGCTTCTAGCAAGGGAATGCTAAATAAATGATCCCCTGTGCATTGTAAACTCTGATTTATTTGATCTGCAAAAATAAATGATTATTCTATGGAGAAATCCAAATTGTGGCTAGCATCAACATGTCTGACTAATGCCAAATCTTGAGAGACTGAACATACATTGGCAAATCCTCTGGATACAATTAAGATCATGTTGCTAGAGCTTTCTGCTAAATGTTAAGATTAGCTGGCAAAGAGTTGGAATCAGTGCCAGGATCCACTCTAGTCATTTCCTGATAGCTTTCAAAATCTGTGACTCATAAACACGGAGACCCACCAGCATTTTCTACCTTCCTTCATACTTCTCCTTCCTCACAGTTTTAAACCCTGAGATAGAAAGGAAGGTCGCAGTGGGCCTGATCAACAACTTCGTTTCTGATATTCCTGTTCTGTTAATAATTATGGCTCATGTAGCACACGCCGAATTAATTTACAAAAGACTTCTCACTCAGCCCCAAGGTGACAACCAAAATGATGTAAGCAGAGACTTTGCTGCCTGAATGGTCGGAGTAAGAGAGAGTTCGTGGAGGCTCCACTTCCTCCAAACCAGAAGGACCTAAAGGGACTTTGAGGTAAGGAACTGTGAGACCCTCACTCTTCACCCCTTTCATTGTAAAAGAAGAGCAAGCCTGCGCCGGGGCTTGACACCGGACGGCAGCCCAGTGTGTCAGAATGCCGGGGACAAGAGGATTTTAAGGACAGGAGATACAGAGTGTGCTGAGCAATATACACGTCATATTGGCAAATATTATTTTTCTGGTAACTATTTTGAGTTCCCTCACAAGCACTGGGGTTTTTTTTTTCACAACAACTCCCTGACTAATTCCTACAACACAACTCTAGCACAGCGAAGGTGGCACTTGCCACCCTTGGGGGCTTTGGCCACACACACACACGACACGGAATATACTGAGAGCTGCTTTTATATATTAATGAGGTCAAAGCTGCTTGCTAATTAGTTAGCAGGGCAGTCTCCTAGTCTGCAGCTAAGTCACAGACATTCTCCCTGACCTGAGGCCTGGCACCGCTGCCCTCTCTGAGGAGCAGACCAGAGCGGTTCAGGAAGGGAGAGTAAACATCGCCACACTTGCCACTACATCTACGCCCCCTTGGGTCTCAGAAATGGAAAGTCAAATTCCAAACACACTATCCCTACACCTTGAACTTTCTTCCTCAGACATCTCCAACCGGTCGCTCTGCGAAACCAGCAGCATTGGACAGGTGGTCGGCCGAGGAGAATCAGAGGAAAACAGCCTCCTCATTTCTGTGATCTTCCTATGACAGCTGGAATGTACCTAAAACACCTAACCTTCTTCACCAGCCCTGATCTAGTTTTAGTTATCAGTGGCGTATCTATGACTCGGTATACAATTTAAAGCCCACTGATAGGAAGCTAAACACAGGCACACATTTCTAATGGACGATTCTATGAAAAGACCACTTAACAGACACAACTCCCTTTTATTGACATTAAGGCCAAGGTTGTTTCTTTTTTTGTTATTTTTGTTTAATATTTCTTCAAATTTTGTCAATTGCTGAAGCCCAGGCTGAGCTTCTGTGGCACATGACGATTCTCTGAATTTTTGAAAAGAACACATGTACCTAAAGTTCAAAATCGACCAGTGACACAGATCTTGGGGATCTGGGAGGAGGAGACCCCACAGACACTTCCAAGCACTGCCGGGAGATTCGTTTCGCCTCTCAGACCTGCCTGCCTTGCTCATCAGCATGCAGTCAGAGTGCCAGGGGAGGGCACAGCCAGCGGCAACGCTTCCTGGTGCTCCAGGGGCTGCCCTCAGGAGGAGGCCTGCCACTCAGTCTGTGAAGCAGGATTCTTCCATCAAAAGAAGCCAAACCAAAGAGCTCCTGGAACACTCAGGACCAAGGCAGATGAGAAGCCTCTAATTAATTTTGTGGCCTTTTTTGGTTTGTTGGTTTAAAAAAAAAAAGTTGGGGGGAGGGAGAGAGAGAGAAGAGTAAAAGGAAAGTGCAGGGAAATTTACTCTTTCGCCTCAGCCAGTTTATTGTTCATCTCTTTGCTTTGCTCCTTGTCGTCTGGCTTGGTGGTACTCGGGCCCTCCGCGCTCTTTTTCTTGGCAGCCTGGCCTGACACCGCCTGCTTGTCTTTGGCCTTCCTCGTGGGCTTATGGCTCGCTGAGGTCTTTTTTGGTTTGGAACTCTGAACACTAGGTTTTTCCACCTGTACGGAGAGACAGACCGCAAATACAGAAACACAAAAAGGTGGGGCGTGGGAAGGAATTTAGAGAGAAAAGATATGGTTAATTAAGGAATGACGGTAATGACAGAGGTTGGCTCAGGTGGAGCACAGTGCATAAGGTGTTCCCAAGGACATTAGGGCATTCGGCATCTCCCGTCTGAACTCCCTGTTCCGTCACTTTGGCAGCACCCACTGGCCACGTGGTCTCCCTTGTCCTGCCAGCCTTCCACCGACCACCCCAGGCAGTGGGCCATACCACTGTTGGGCAATATTTGAGCCCCTCCCTGTAGGAAGTTAACACCTCATCACGTTGCTCAACTCACCCACAGGCATAGGATTTTGCTTTAGTCAATGAAATGTGAGCAGTGACTTGGGTCACCTTCAGGCGGAAAATTTGAGAGTCAGCCTGTGCTGCCCAGTGCTCTCTTTTCCTCTGCCACAGAGACAGGCTGCTCTGCCACCCAAGACCCAGATGGAGAGGCAACGAGGGTTAGAGTGGCAGCCAACCCACAATGGATATTAATGAGAAATAAACCTTTGTTGATGTAAGATGCAGATGTTCTGGGGCGGTGGGTCGCTGCAGCACCCGCTGGCTTCCCCTGTTCTGTCTCTAGGCTGGCTCACCCATATGGAGAAGCATCCTCGCTGAGATGCTTTGGGCAGGGGGGCATCTCCAGTCTCAGCTAGGCTTTCCACTGCCAGCACTCTGCTCCTCCTCTCTGCCTGGCTCCTCCACCATTTTCCCCAGAGCAGCAGTTCTAAGCTCACTCCACTCTCCCCAACCTCCCTCCTCTAGCTCTGTCCCCTTCATCTGGAGAAGATGGCCTTGCCTGCTCTTTCTCAGGAAACTTCGGAGTCACTGAAAGTGACCCCTCAATAGGCCACCCCCCTCATCTATCTCTAGATTTAGTTTCCCTCATTTTCCCTCCTTCCTTCTCTACGTCCTCTTTTGTCCAATGCTAACCCCATGCCCCGGGTGCCACACCATCTCTGGATGGACAGAGCTGATGCTGGGCCTTGCAGGCTGGATCATTCACTCACTGAGGTGCAGCGGCTTTCAGTCACTCCTGACCTGTAAGGAAAGGAACCAATCGTCCTGGTTTGCCTGGAACTGAGAGGTTTCCTGGAACACAGAACTTTCAGTGCTAAAATGGAAGAATCCCAGGCAAACTGGGTCGGTTAGTTACCTTACCCATAAACTGGTCCTGGGCCAAATAGGAAACTCCACTGAAGTGCAAGACTTTAGGACAAAAGCAGAGAAAAGGATAATTAGGTTCCAGAGTTATTTAAGTTCTCAGGCATTTTCTGCTATTATAGAGAGGACAGTGGATATTTGTACAATTCCATGGGGCCTGACATCAGAAGATGCTAGATTGCATGGCTTATATGATTCCTGCTTCACCAGCTATATCTCCAACATGCTTCTCCTGATCACGAACTCCTATGTAAGGTGGAGGAATGTTACCTTAGGAAAATCCTTGAGTCCACTTTCACAAACTGTTCATTTTGGTAACAAATGCTGGGAACATATATTATAGCTGATGTGACAGGTGTGTTGTGACAGACCGAGAAGTCATAGTGGATGGTGTTTAGCCCGAGAAGATGAGAGAGGGCAGGTGCTTTTCAGGGACTAGGGAGGGAAGAAAGGGTCCAGTGATTGGAGCCAAGGATGAGGCAAGGCAGGGTCTGGTGGGAGGGGAGCCGGGCATGGGGGCCTACAATACTGGGCCAGCCCTTCTGGGGCCCAAGCACATCTATTTTAAGACAAGGGGATTTAGGGCTCAGGTGAGGTTTTCTGCCATTGTTTATCTGGATTTCTCAAAATCAGAAGCTAATTCCCTGGAAATCTGCCAGCCTTTAAGCTGTCTTTATTTTAGGTGATGTTCCTCTTTAATATTCCCTTTGAGTTTAACAAAGGTTCCTATTGAAGATGGCCCTGGGTCTCAGTGTGCTTTAGAGGAAGCAGGGATTTTAAAGGTGCCCGTGGAGGCTGGGCCAGATTTGACAGCAGCCCACCCCATGCTCTGCTGCAGTTAACCCTTATGGTCCAGGCTGTGCTGATGGGTTCCCACAAGGTCTGTCTCACCTTTGGGGGTTCCTTGAAGGGTTCGCTGTAGAGGCTGCGTATTCTTCTGCGATCAATGACCTTATTGTCAGCTGTTGTTGGCTTGCTGGCCTCTCCTTTGAACTGAGCACTGTAGCTGGTCTCATGAACCATCTTATCATCTGGGGGCTTGTACTGGGGCTTGGCCTTTATTGGTTTCACAGGCTTGATGTCCGTCCATGCCCTGAATTCATTCCTGTTAGTCAAAGAAAGCATATGTGATATGAAGCATCATCTGCCTGGAAGCAGAGCTCCTGACACAGGGCTGCAAACACAGCAAGCTCTCCATCAGTGCTTGCAGCATTGACTGAAGTGTGGCTGGAGGGTTAGCCTCACTCTTTCATAAGGAAGAGTGCAAGTCTCCCTTCTTGCAAAGTTGACCCAGGTTGGGTTGTGGCAATAGCAGTTGTGCCTTGGAGAAAGAGATCAGGTTCCCAGCTCCACACTGTGTGACCATGGGCAGGCAATTCTAATCTTCAGGGCTCTTTTTCCCAATCTTGAAAATGAGACTGAAAAAACCCAACCCATTCAGTCATTCATGAAGTCAAAAAATATTGAGTGCCTGCTATGTGCAAAGTTGAAGAGTTGTGAAATTAAATGAGACAATGTATTAGGCACACTGTCTGATATATTGTGGCATATCAATGAATGCCAGTTCCCTTCCCCCCTTTTTCATAATGAAGAACTTTTGTTGCCCAGATTCCTTGAGGATAATTCCCCCATTTGAATAGCAGAGGGCTTGCTTCTTGGAGGGCCAGAACTTTAACAATCTTAATCACTTTAGATGAACATCCTCGTGAAATGTCTAAATATTTGCAGATCGTTAGTAAGCAACACAGACTGAACATAATTTGGAGATCACAACTACGACTTGTGTTGGGCTGTGTGTGTGTAGGAGCATCTTCGTGTGCTTTGGTGTAAATGGCTATTGGTCCTTATCCTAAATGATCCTCATCTGCTGCTTTTTTGAGTCAATGTGTCAGTTTTCTTGTTCTCTGCAATCCATCTCGTGGTTTCTAATCAGCTGTTTATGATCTGTTATAGGGCTGGAGAGTAGATGGCTGACAATGTTCAAAACAGAGTTAAAAAATGTAGCTGTTGACACAGGCCACGAGGGTCTATTCTGTTTGTTAAGTGCACGAGAGTCAATGCATGAACTCTGTGGCTTCTGGGGTCTTTATTGGGTCTGTTCTCCTTTGGGGGCACAAAAAGCTGCACTGTGGGAAAGGAGGAGTTAGGGCATGAATATCTGTGGAGTTAGGTTCTTCCAAGTCCCACTGTCTCCCTCACTGATGACTCCCTCCTTCGGGGCTCAGAGAGGAGTGCCAGGAACAAGGAGGCCGCAGGAGGCAGGAGAAAGAGCTTGGACTGCGACGGAGACACGCAGGCTCTCGTGCTAGCACTGCCTTATGCTGGCAGGCCTTTCCCTGCTCTGAGCATTCGTTTTCTCATTTGTAAAATGAAAGAATTAGGCCAAACAAGGTCCTTATAATGTCCTTCTAGCTCTGAGGCTGTCTTAGTTGATAAAGCTGATTTGGTAACACTGAGCCACTTGCCGGTTATTTGACCTCCTGTTCTCCGTATTTCTTTAGGGGAACTGGCTCATATGTGAAGAGAGACTACTGGCTTTTAAGAGACCCTTCCCTGAGCTTCAGACTCTCCTTTCCAGTGCAGCCTGGGTCCCCACCTAGATGCCCCATTGTTATGGTTCGAATGTTTGTCCCCTCTAAAACTCACGTTGAAACTTCATCCCCAGTGTGGCAGCATTGAAAGGTGGGGCCTGTAAAAGGTGACTGGGTAATGAGGGCTCTGCCCTCATGAATGATTTAACCAATTCCTGGATTAGTGTATTAATAGGCAATTGATTGATGAGTTGCCATGGGAGTGGGACTGGTGGCTTTTATAAGAAGAGGAAGAGAGACCTCAACTAGCATACTTGGCCCCCTCGCCATGTGACACCCTGTGCTGCCTCAGGACTCTGCAGGGTCCCCACCAACAAAAAGGCCCTCACCAGATACGTCTCCTTGGCCTTGGACTTCCCAGCCTCCAGAACTGTAAGGAATATATTTTATTTCTTATAAATTACCCAGTTTCAGATATTCTGTTATAGGCAACAGAAAATGGAAAAAGACACCTACCAACAACTCAGACTCAATGTCCCTAGAACCAAATCGTCTTGTTTTCCCTGCCAAAAATTATTTTCTCCTCCTGGACTCCCTCATCATTCATTTTCACCCATTCATTCAGTCATTCATTCATTCACGAAATATGTACTGAGTGCTTATGGTCTGCCTAACAGGATGCTGGGTGCTATGGAACCCAAGTGAGTAGGAAAAGGCCCTGTGGGGACCAACCTGCAGGCAGTGTGGGTGGCTGGGCTCACATTTAGTGGGGAAGGGCATAAGAGGCTAGACAGGCCATGGAGGCCATGCCAGCCATGTTAAGGGGACAGTCTCCACTGTAGCTAAGGGTTGCCAAATGATTTCAAGCCAAGGATGAGTGTGGCCAGGTTAGTTTTGGAAAGAGAATTTTGAGAGCAGTGTGAATGGTGGACAGAAGGGAATAGTGGAGGCAAGAGGCCAGGCAGGAGACTGCTGTTAGGAAGTAGGGGAAGCAGGGGGCGGAGAAGAGGGTGCTGGGTCAAGAGGGAGAATGGGCAGGACTTGGAAACTCATGAGGTGAGGTCAAGGGGGCATCTGGGGAGACTCCAGGACTCTGGCTGGGGGGCGGTAGTCCCCCACTGAGACGTGGAAATTGGGAAGAAAATAGGCTTTGGAAAGAGGTTGAAGCTCTCCTGATTCTGTTCACGGCATCCCACACACCCCAGCAACAAGGCTGTTCTTGGATCCCTTCCTCACCCCTCCTCCTCACTTCTCCACTTTCTTTAGGTTCAATCCTCCTTCCTGACCTGACTTCTGAACCATTTTGGCCCTACACACAGGCCTAGGGCTGGCCCAGGGAACATTTGGGGCTGTGGCCACCGTTACCTGCCAGAGGCTACAGTCCCTCCCTCCTTCCCTCTATCCTTCAGAGTCGAAGCCTTGCCTGTTAGATGGGCTCCTGGTATTTGGGCCTGGGCCTCCAGGACCCAATCAGTGACAACCTGGCTCCCAGACACATGATGGCAGAAACTTGGATTCTCTGTCGCACCCCTGCCCACTTTCAGAACTAGCACTGAGATAGGTGTACCCTATTCCTAAGTGCTGTTTCTGGGTCACCTCTTGCAGACCAACCTCTGCAGCCTCCTGCATCCCTGCAGTGGCCCCTGTGGGCTGGGGAGCGTCTCACCTGTGAGCACTAACAGTGGGACATGTCCCTGTGGGAAAGTTTGGTAACTCCTGATCTTGAACAACTCTGGTACATCATCTTCACATGAGACCTTGTTAATGAGCTGCAGGATAGGTTCACTGTAATTATGACAGATGGTTAGGTTTAAGCCCAAATTCCATTTCTTAGAAACTTCGTCAAGGTGTGAAAATGAGCCAAATAATAAAAAATGAAAAAATAAAAAATAAAAGAAAAAGAACTTTCTTTGAACTCTCCATAAAACCTTCTCTAATCACATACAACAACTAATATTACGTCATAGAAAGAAAATTAGCTACCATTCATTAGTTGCCTTTTATAAGCTGGAGGATTTTGTTTTATTTTGTATATTCTCTATAGTTCTTAAAACAACTTTGAGAACAGGTACTATTATGCCCCTTTTATAAAGGAGGTAACCAAGGCTCAGAGAGGTTAAGTGGCTTGCATAAGGCAATGCAACCAGCAAATAGCAGAGTTGGGGTCTGAGCTCAGGTCAGTCAGGCTCCACAGCCCACAGCCTTCCCACTACACTTCGGCAATGTGCCAGAGCTGCAGTGTGCTCGGCCTGCCCTCACTGGAGGTGCCTGTGCAGGGCCTGGCCTGCTGCCTGCAATGCTGTAGAGGACTTACATGACACAGACCGGGCTAGATGGCACCTAAGCTCCTCCAGCCCTGAGATGCTAGACTGAGAGCAGTATGGGCCACACTCTTGCCCTGTCATGCCCAGTGCCTCTTGACAGAAATTCATGGTCCCCTGTAACATGGTCTCCCCTTCCTGTGCAACTACATTTTTTCTTGATCATTCATTCATTCATTCATCCATTCACTCATCCATTCATTTGGCATCTGCCACACAATAGCCAAGGGCATGGAATGTACCCCACAGGGATGTGTAAGCCATGGATGAGGTGTCTAGAGTTCAGGTATTTAGACCTGACCATGTCTGATCCTAAGAAAAGACAAGATGAATCAAATGGGACAGGGATCAGAGGGCAAGAGGGAAAGGAATGCTTAACTCTGAAGGGGAGTGAGGACTGGGGAAAGGGTTATTGAAGGATGTCAACAGAAAAGCGGATGAAGGGAATTCAGGCACCAGTCTGAGTCTGTATGGCAGGTTCAGAGAGAGCAGGTGAACTGATCAGGGTGGCTGCTCAGGGTGCAGGCTGGGGTCTTGGAGGCTGTGCAAGGTGCCCAGGCTGGATAGGAGCTGGGGCCAGGTGACACAGAGCCTGCATGCCATGTTTGGAAGCATGTGCTGTGCCTGGGAAGATGCTGAAAGTTTCTGAGCGAAGCAGCACTGTTTCTCCATTGATGGTGCTCTCCTCCTATCAGTCTGCCCCAATACTAGCTATTCTTTAAGGCCCAGCTCAGGGTTCTCCTCTTCCAGGAACCTCTCCTGGGTTACTCAACCCAAAATTTCCCATCTCTCAGCTCCTGGCCCATTTACTTTACTGGCCATCTTTGTGGTTAGCAGGCAGTTTCATGCCATTCTTCAATTCTTTCATGAGTCCATTCTGTCTCTCTTAAAGGATAAGATAAGACAAAATTTATGACAGAATCCTACTCTTGAGTCCAGTCTCATTTGCATGGCTGCAAAGGGGCATCCTATGTCAGGCTGCAGGTTAGGGTCAAGCTAGGCTAGGACTCCAATCCCTGCCTGTCTCCCACACCCTGTGCTGCCACCCAGGGCCACACTCCATATCTTCTTTACATTCTTCACAGGATTTAAAGGCTTGACATTCAGTGGGCAGTTAACGGAAGTAGCTATTGTTAGATTTATTTCTGGTCAGCTGATGTCACCTCCTCCTGAGCCCTTCCTTCCCTGCCCTACATGGGGCACACACTTGCTTCTCGGTGGCATAGGAATGCCTGACTCCAAAGCTCACACCTGGGGATGGATGTGTAACCCAAGCTTGTCTTCGTTTCCTTCAAGCTCATGGTCACTTTGGCTCCTGGAAGTAATCACAAGAAAGCCCTTCCCTTCAGTCAGCCTGGGTGTACACCACAGTGAGGCCCGGGGCACATTGGGAGGGTCCCATATCCGTGAGTTTCTACTCCTGACATCCCAGAGATGCTCCTCATGCCACAGCTTCTCTTGTATTGTGATGTGTAGAAATCACAGGGACAGGGTGCTCTCTAACTGCATCACCAAAGGCCCGCTGTCCCCTCCACAACAGAGCCTCTGGTGGACCCTGTTATTTGAGCCTTGATGCATGACCTATCTCATACACAATCCTGCAGGGGCAGAAAGAGAGTCTGGGGCTATGATATCCCCCGGTGGGTGGGTGAACTGCAGATGAATGGGCTCAATCAATATATTCAGATCTGGGTTTAAATGACTCTTTGATGGCTTACTTGTGCTAGGAAAATTTATGGAGAGAAGGCTGGGCCAGCCTTCAACCCCCTACTAAGGGATGGCAGAGCCAGGCCCAGTTTGAGCCATCTCATGGAGACTTAGTGGGCAAGACTTTTCTGGGCTGCTCCTCCAGAACCTTTGAACAGCCATATAGTCACATTCACAGCAGCTGCCAAAGCAGGACTTTGGGATCTTGCTGATCAGGCAAAGTTTTCAGAGGAGTCAACAAACACTCTACCTTCAACTCCTCCTTTCTGGTCTCTCTGTTCCTTCTCTGACCTGTACCTCTCTGTAGCATGCACTGTGCTATATTTTACCTCAAGCTACCTGTGTAGATGACTTTCTTCCCTTCCAGACTGTGCCATCCCTGAGAGTAAAGGCTGTCCTTTTGCATCCATGTAAGTCTCATCATGTCTACGACAGGGATGTGGAATGCAGCTCCCACCTCCCTGCGGCTGCTCCAGCCAGGGACGGGGTGTAAAGTTGCTATGCAACATCTCATGGCATCCATATAACTTCCTACAATATGCCCACAAGTTCTTTGATACTTCTACCTTACGTAGAGCTTAATTCCTTCCTCTTCAGTGTGGTTGGACTTGAGGACTCACTTCTAACAAACAGAAGATGGTGGGAGTGGTGGTGCATGACTTCTGAGAGTGGCTTATTAAAGGCTTTGTAGCCTCCTCCTTGTACTCTCTCTGGGATTACTCTCTCTGGGGCAGCAAGCTGCCATGTCATAAGGACATTCAAGTAGCCCTTGTGGAGAGGCCCATGTCGGGAGGAACTGAGGCTTCCTCCCAAAAGCCATGGGGGTGAAAAGGCCTAGAAGACCCAAACCACCCTTCACATGATTTCCTGAGAGACCCTGAGCTCGAACCATCCAGCTAAGCCATTCCTGGATTACTGACCCTCAGAAACTTTATGAGATCAAAAATATTTATTGCCATTTACATGGCTAAGTTTTGGAGTAATTTGTTACAAGCAACAAATTCTAATACAAACCCCAATCAGAAAATTTTCTCTTCTCATCAAAAAGGGTTTAAAATACTTGTGTCATCTCAGCAAGACAGAAAATACTGGTGTAAGCAGAGCACAGAAGTTCAAGTTTCCAGCAGAGCTGCAGCATGACCTTAATGGAGAGAAGTCATACTCTGTTGTAAGAAACAGGGTGAATGGTCTGCAGCCTTCTTTAGAAGGTAGCAAAACCTCCAGTGCAGCAAAGCTGATAAAGATGCACCTGCCTTGGATCCAGGTCATAAGCAGAAAAAAGAAACACAGGCCATCACAGAAGAAAATGATGTCTCAGAGCACACAGCACATGCAAGCCTTTCGGAAGTGCAGACAGAGGTTAACAGGGTGAGAGAAAACATGGAACCTGGGCCAGATGATGATGATGAGTTACTAGAAAGAGAACTGGCTCTGGAGTGAGATACATCCATCCTAGCTCTAACCCATGGGCCAGGTCTTGCCTGCTCTGAACACTGGTGAACTCATTTGTAAAGGATTTACATACGGCCTACTCATAGAATTGATGTGGGGGTTAAATAAGAAAGAATGTAAAGCAGTTTCTTTAGTTGAAGAGGACCTGGACATTCATATCAGAAGAATTACAAAGCCCATGGTAGACACGTGCATAATAAATGTATTTGACTTTCATTACAGAGTCGTTTATTCAAGAAAAATTATTGCATTTCTTCTGTGCTCCAGACACGGAGCTAGAAATGCAGTATGTACAGAGAGATGAAGATCTTCCCTCCACAGACCTTGTTGTCAGGTGGGGAGAGATCAACAATTACACAGATAATCAAATATCTGTGATAGCTATTGTTATACTTCTGAATGCTGAAGTCAACATTCTGGTGCCCAGAGTGGGCAAAATTTGGGCAGCAGCTTCCAGCGCCAGGCTTCTTTCTGAGCGCATTTCAAGTTAGACTTGGACAAAGTAGCATTCAATGAATGCCTGATTAATTGAATCTCCAATACTGAGTACCCACTATAAACAGATGTTCCTTTTTTAAGACCTTGTTCCACTTAAGCACAGTTGCTTGCAGTCATTCAACGGGAGATACTGAAAGAGCAATTATAGAGGGAGAGCCTGAAGACAGCCTGTCACTGATGAGGCCAGGCCCCAGAAGAGGGAGGGAGGGAGCCAACAGGAGTGCGCGGGGCGGCAGGGGGCGGGGGGTGGGGTTTGGCCCTGGAAAGTGTTGTAAAAGAACAGAGGGGAGGCTGTGCTTTCATTGCTAATTTGAAAAACGCTGACATTTACAAGAAACAAGGAAATAGAATTATATAAGGAACAAGTTTTACTGCTGTGAAGAACATCTGCATATGTTAATTGGTACAAATCGTTTCTTGATAAGAGCAGAGACTTAGGATAATGGATTGCTGCCAACTATGATCATACAAAAATTCAATTTTTCTGTTCATAAGGGAAGAGGAATTTATTTATTATGTATCTAAGTATTTATTATTTATTATGTGTCTAAATCCTGGGAAAATAAAATTCTTTTCCCATCTTCTTTATAAAATTTTTTTGACATTCCTCGACTGCTTTACAAAGGAAGAAGACAGTGCTTTTAAGTCTTAAGGGTCTAAAGTCTTCCTACAGATTTTCGTAGGTGATTTATGTTGCCATGGAAACATGTTAAGTCTCCGTTCAAAAATCTTGTCTACATTTGTTATTGTAAAATGTTTCTGAAGAAGGGAAACCATCTCCTTCGTGCACTCTGATGGAGGCAGTCACTGAATGCTGTCGGTTGCCAAGCTATTGTCAGGAGGTGGTTAATGGAAGTAGGATCTATAGATTAAAAAGAAAGAACAACCTGGGGCCTAGAGGGTTGCAAGTGGCATAGAGAGCTTCTGTCTCCTTTTAGAAGGTAGTGGAAGATTGCTTTCTCCTGGCCAGAAATGACTGGGCCGAGAGAGGAGCTTGAAGATCTATGTATGTGTACATGCTTGTGCGCAGCTCTCAGTTTCTTTTGTGTGAGAGGGAGAAAAAAGTATTGCATAGAGAATGCCAGTATTCTAATTATTTAGGATCATTTTTCTCCTCCGTTAATATCCAGTAAGTACATGTATACCACGGATGATGATTTTATAAAATGAGGAAAGCACATACTTGGACGAAAAATGGTCAAGTATATAAAGAAAAGTTTGAAGCTAATGTGAGTAGATAATTAATAGAAAAGAATGCTCCCTCTCTCTTACATAGAAAGATTTGTATGGGTAACATCTGGCAATGATAGGTGTCAAGGTTTGGGCCCCTGTACTAGGTAAATGGCTCATTCTGCATATAGCTGCTATCTAAGTCTAGTTATGGGTGGCCTACAGCTTAGAGGCCCTTGTGCATCTGGGAAACAATGTCTCATTCAAAGAAAGTCCACAGGCACAATGTGTATAAAACCATGAGGATGGATAGTTAAAAATGAAAACTGCTCAAACTAGGCTGGGCACCGTGGCTCAAGCCTATGATCCCAGCACCCTGGGAGGCCAAGGCCGGCAGATCTCTTGAGGCCAGGAGTTCGAGACCAGCCTGGCCAACATGGTAAAACCCCCTCTCTACCAAAATACAAAAATTAGCCAGGTGTGGTGGCGGGTGCTTGTAATCCCAGCTACTCAGGAGGCTGAGGCAGGAGAATGGCTTGAACCTGGGAGGCGGAGGTTACAGTGAGCCAAGATCATGCCTCTGTGCTGCAGTCTGGGCAACAGAGCAAGACTGTCTCCAAAAAAAAAAAAAAAAAAAAAAAAAAACCCAAAAACTCAAACTAGGAGTCAGTTTGATTCTACACAAATTAATTTCAATTGCAGTATTTATTAGAAACTGTAGGAAGAAAAATGGTGCAAAATAAGAAAACTTACGGTTGGCCGAGGTGGAGGATAAGAGTGGGGGAGTGTGAGAGTTAAGACAAGTACACTTACAAATATACCTCAAGTAGAAAGAAATAAGAGATAGATGAGAAGTGATAGGTTGTAAGAAAACTTCCCCATAACCATTTCCCCGTCACTGTCAGGGTTTACCAGTCCTAGGAATGCTGGGGTGGTTGTGCCACAAGGCCATAGAGTTCTCAGTTGAGATTGAGGAGAGAAGGCTACGCTCTTTTGGTTAGCTGGGTCCCCAACGATCTGTGTCTGTCCTTGCAGAAAGATGGTTCCCTAGACTGGAAATGGAAATGTTGAAGGCAGAAAAGCCCTGAAAGGTGGGAGGGAGTGTTGCTCCTTCGGGGGTAACCTAGAGTTCTGACAGTATACTCTGTAAAAACTGCGAAGGACACAGTACGGTACATCTAGTGAAGTACTCCATAAACCTAAGTTTCTGCTTTTTTTTTTTTTTTTTTTGAAAAAAGTGCTTAATGTGTTTTAAACAAAGCTGGCACTAAAAATAACATCATTTTATGACTTCTTGAGAACCATGCTAATTTACTCTTTAAAATATTTTATAAGGGAATACTGGGAACAACTCGATGTCAATAAATTTGACAATATGCATGAAGTAGGCAAATTCTTAGAAAGATGAAAATTATAAAATTGACTCTTGGCTGGGCGTGGTGGCTCACGCCTGTAATCCCAGCACTTTGGGAGGCTGAGGTGGGAGGATCACTTGAGATCAGGAGTTTGAGACCAGCCTGACCAACATGGTGAAACCCCATCTCTACTAAAAATACAAAAATTAGCCAGGCATGGTGGTGGGCGCCTGTAATCCCAGGTACTTGGGAGGCTGAGGCAGGAGAGTTGCTTGAAGCTGGGAAGTAGAGTTGCAGTGAGCCAAGATCATGCCATTGCACTCCAGCCTGGGCAACAAAGTGAGACTTAAAAAAAAAAAAATTGACTCTTATCCCTGAGTGCAGGGGGAGTCCCTCTCACCTGCTTCCTCAGATGACTCTGGAAGCTTCCCCACACCACCGGGTACTGAGAGAAAGCTCCCTGACAGTCGAGACCGGCAGACCTCCATCTGGTCCCTGCCCTGGCCAGAGGCCCCCCTAAATTGACCTCCTGTCGATGCCCTGGTAGAGCCGACAGGTGCTCTGGGAGTCCTGTGCTTCCTGATCCAATAGTGCCAAACCCTTTGTCTCCCCCAGAAGCACAGCATATCCCTGGGACCCCTCGGCCACTGCCCGATTCGTGAGCCTTCTCTGTTTCTGGGGCCTCCCCCACCACAGCTCTGACTCCTGCCCCACAAAGGACTAGGCCGGCTGAGGGGGAGTGGGTGGGAGGGAAGATACAGACATGGGGAGGGGAGGCTGCTCTGGAAAAGTCTTTAAGGCTTTTGGAGGTCCAGGCCTGGGGCCAAGCAGGAAAGTGTGTGTGAGTGTGTGCATGAGGCGTGTGTGCAAGGAGTATGTGTGAGTGTGTGAGTGAGGCATGCATGTTAGTGTGTGTCTTTCCTAGGACACACCATACCCTGTGTATGTATGGATGTTTTTGTAAAAAAGAGAAAAATCTGAAAAAATGTTTTATTTGCTTTAAAAAAAATTGACTCAAGAAGAAATAGAAAACCTGAATAAACCTATATCAGGTACAGAAATTGAATTCACAATTTTAAATCTTTTTTTAAAATCTGTACATATCTTTTTTATTTGTTATTTATTTATTTTTTAACTTTTAAGTTCAAGGGTACATGTACAGTTTGTCACAGGGGTTTGTTGTACAGATTATTTCATCACCCACGTATTAAGTCTAGTACTCACTGGTTATTTTTCCTGATCCTCTCCCTCTTCCCACCTTCCACCTTCTGATAGGCCCCAGTGTGTGCTGTACCCCTCTATGTGTTCATGTGTTCTCATTATTTAGCTTCCACTTATAAGTGAGAACATGCAGTATTTGGTTTTCTGTTTGTGAGTTAGTTTGCTAAGGATAATGGCCTCCAGCTCCATCCATGTCCCTGCAAAGGACATAAAAAAAGAAATATGTATCACATTTTCTTTATCCAGTCAATCATTGATGGGCATTTAGGTTGGTTCCATGTCTTTGCTATTGTGAATAGTGCTGCGGTGAACATATACAGGCATGCGTCTTTATAACAGAATGATTTATATTCCTTTGGGTATATATCCAGTAATGGGATTGCTGGGTTGAATGGTATTTCTGTCTTTAGGTCTCTAAGGAATTGTCTTCCACAATGGTTGAGCTAATTCACATTCCCACCAACAGTGTATGGGCATTCCTTTTTCTCCTCTACCTCACCAGCATCTGTTATTTTTTGACCTTTTAATAACTGCCATTCTGACTGCCATGAGATGGTATCTCATTTTGGTATTGATGTGCATTTCTCTTAGTAATTTAAAATCTTTACACAAAGAAAGTCTGATGCTTGATGGCTTCACTGGTGAATTCTATCAAACATTAAGGAAAAAATGAACATCAATCCTAACAACTTCTTTTAGAAAATAGAGAAAAAGAGGCTGGGCATGGTGGCTCAAGCTTGTAATCCCAGTACTTTGGGAGGCCGAGGTAGGTGGATCGCTTGAGCCCAGGAGTTTGAGACCAGCCCGGCCAACATGGTGAAATCCCATCTCTATGAAAATATATATAAATTAGCTGGGTGTTGTGGCTCATGCCTGTAGTCACAGCTACTTGGGAGGCTAAAGTGGGAGGATGGCTTAAGCCCAGGAGGTGGAGTTTGCAGTGAGCAGAGATGGTGCCACTGCACTCCAGCCTGTGTGACAGAGCAAGATTCTGACTGACTCAAAAGAGAGAAAAAAAAAAAAAAAGAAAGAAAGAAAAAAGAAAATAGAAGAAAAGAGAATGCTTCTCAACTCATTTTAAGAGGACAGCATTTCCCTGATGCCCTGATACCAAGCCAGTCAAAGACACTGCAAGAAAAGAAAACTACAGGCTAATATTCCTCATGAATACAGATGTGGAAACTCTTAAAAAAATATTTGCAAATCAAATCCAGCAACATAAAAAGATTTAAACACCAGGACAAAGTAAAGTTTATCCCAGGAGTACAAGCTCAGTTTAACATTCCAAATCAATTAGGATAATACATCATACAGTAACAGAATAAAGAACAAAAACCATATGATCATCTCAATATTCTTAGAAAAAGCATGTGACAGACCGGGCACGGTGGCTCACGCCTGTAATCCCGGCACTCTGGGAGGCTGAGGCGGGTGGATCATGAGGTCAGGAGATAGAGACCATCCTGGCTAACACGGTGAAACCCCGTCTCTACTAAAAAATACAAAAAATTAGCCGGGCGTGGTGGTGGGTGCCTGTAGTCCCAGCTACTTGGGAGGCTGAGGCAGGAGAATGGCGTGAACCCAGGAGGCGGAGCTTGCAGTGAGCCAAGGTTGTGCCACTGCACTCCAGCCTGGGTGACAGAGTGAGACTCCATCTCAAAAAAAAAAAAAGAAAAAGCATGTGACAAAATCTAACACCCTTTCATGATAAAAAGAAATATTGCTGGGAGTGGTGGCTCACTCTTGTAATTCCAGCATGTTGGAAGGCCAAGGCAGGCAGATCAGTTGAGGCCAGGAGTTCAAGACCAACCTTGCCAACATAATGAAACCCTATCTTTACTTAAAAAAAAAGAAAGAAAGAAAGAAAAAGAAACATCATCAATCTAGCAATAGAGGGGAACTCCCTCAACTTACTAGAGGATATCTACAAAAACCCTACAACAAACATAATACTCAATGGTAAAAGACCAAATGCTTTCCCCCTAAGATCAGGAACAAAGTAAGGATGCCCACTTTCAACACTTCTATTCAACATTCTGTGACAGTCATAGTCAGTATAATAAAACAAGAAAAGAAGTTAAAGGCATACAGATTAGAAAAGAAGACACAAAGCTGTCATTATTTGCATATAACATAACCTTGCATTTAGAAAATACTCAGGAATTGGCCGGGTAATCCATAATAAAACAAGAAAAGAAGTTAAAGGCATACAGATTAGAAAAGAAGACACAAACTGTCATTATTTGCATATAACATAATCTTGCATTTAGAAAATACTCAGGAATTGACCGAGTAATCCCTGCACT
The DNA here is from genome assembly GCF_000001405.40 of Homo sapiens. Lineage (NCBI taxonomy): Eukaryota > Metazoa > Chordata > Mammalia > Primates > Hominidae > Homo > Homo sapiens. The sequence goes on from NC_000011.10 coordinate 75,621,779, forward strand.
TTGGAAGGCCAAGGTGGGTGGATCACTTGAGGTCAGGAGTTCGAGACCAGCCTGGCCAACACGGGGAAACCTCGTCTCTACTAAAAATACAAAAATTAGCCAGGTGTTGTGGTGGGTGCCTGTAATCCCAGCTACTCAGGAGGCTGAGGCAGGAGAATCGCTTGAACCCGGGAAGTGGAGGTTGTAGTGATCTGAGATCATGCCACTGCACTCCAGCATGGGCCACAGAGCAAGACTCCATCTCAAAAAAACCAAAAAAACAAAACAACAACAACAAAAAAACCCAATAAAGGCTACTAGAAAAAATGAGTGAGTTTAGCAAGATTGCTGGATGCTAGATCAATACATAAAAATTAATTGTACATCTACATACTAGTAACAGACAATGGGAATATAAAATTTTAAAAGTTCATTCACAATAATATCAAGCAGAATACAATAGGAATAAGTTTTTTTTGATTTTTAATTTATTTTTTAATTTAAAGAGACAAGGTCTCACTCTGTCAGCCAGGCTGGAGTGCAGGGGTGTGATCATGGCTCATTGCAGCCTCAAACTCCTGGGCTCAAGCAATCCTCCCACCTTGGCCTCCCAAAGTTCTGAGATTACATGTATGAGCCACTGCACTCAGCCAGTAATAAATGTAAAAAAAGAAGTGCAATGGCTGTACACTGAAAACTACATAATGCTGCTGAGAGAGATTGAAGAAATATTATAAATAAAGAGATACACCATATTCATATACTGCAAGAGTCAACATTGTTAAGATGGCAACTCTCTAGAAATTGATCTATAAATTCGAAGCAACTAATATCAAAATCCCAGCAGGACTCTTTGTAGAAAATGACAAGCTGATCTTAAAATTTATAGGGAAATGCAAAAGATCTAGAATTGCCAAAACAATTTTGAATAGGAGAAACAAAGTATGAGGATTTACACTACCTGATTTCAAAACTTATGAAGCTACTGTAATCAGTCAGTGTGTTACTCACATAAGGATAGACATATAGATCTATGAACGGAATAGAGTGTTCAGAAATAGATCTTTGCATACAGAAGTGTGCTAAAGCTGGCTCACACTGGCTTACAGAAATAATTGTTAAATTTTCAGGAATTTAATGAACCGATTGTTAAATTATTGGTAGCTTGAAAGCATCCATGTGACAGTATTCATATCAGGAAATTGGCTAACACTGTAAATAGGACAAATAAGGCCCTTTTTTTTTCCAGATAGTGGGAAAAAGTTATTAAACATTTATCATCATACCATTGGCTCACATATATGGTCAATTTATTTTTGACAAAAAGATGGAAATAGCTTAAATGTCCATCAACTAATGAATAGACAAAATGAGTGTATCCATATAATGGAATACTACTTAGCAACAAAAAGAAATGAACCAATATGGATGACTCTTAAAAAGCATGCTAAATGAAAGAAGGCTAACAGAATATACCACATATTGTATGATTCCAACTATATGAAAATTCTAGAAAAGGCAAACTGTAGAAACAGAAAGATCAGTGGTTGCCGAGGCTTGTGAGTGAGAGGGAGGATGCTAAAACTGTCTTTCAGAGACGGCTGCACCAATGTATAATTTTACTAAATCTCATGAAAATATACACTTAAAAGGGGTGCATTTTATGTTATGTGAATGATACCTCAATAAAGCTGTTTAAAAATCCAGCTGGAACATCTCCTTTCCTGACACCCCTCCCTTTGCAAGGAGGTGATCCCTGCCTCCTCTGATGCTCACCTTCTTTGTCTGACTTATACTGTGATCTTTGTTATTTGTTTCCAAGCTCATCTGTGGGGCCTAGGAGAGCAGAGGTGGCATCTGACCCATCTCTGCGTCCCTGGTGCCTGGTTTGGAGGCTGGCATGTTTCAGCATGCACTCAAGTCAGTGTTACTGAACCAACGAATAAACACCTTTGTCTTACGTTTTTTTTGAGATGGAGTCTCGCTCTGTCGCCCAGGCTGGAGTGCAGTGGCGCTATCTCGGCTCACTGCAACTTCTGCCTCCCGGGTTCAAGCAATTCATCCATGATGAAAGTGGCATGAAATACCACTTCTATTGCATTTTGTGCTGCTTTTGATTCTTGTTGCTACTGATTCCCTGGAAGTGATGCTGATGAAGCCCGGCTGCCCACACTGAGACCCTTGGCTGCCCACACTGTCTCACCTGCGGTGGCCAGAGCTCTGGGGTGCATCAGGGATGTGCAGCCAGGCCAGCAGCGGGTGGGCAGTCTGGTGAGTGAATCATGGACTTCATTTACCCAGGCCCAACTAACCTTCTCTGGCTTCGATATCTCTCTTTCTTTTCACATTGTAATTTTACTTTCGGCAAGCTTTTCAGCAACCTGCTAACTCTAGGAGAAGTAATAGACATGCTCAGAGGTGTCAGTGTCTGAGAAAATGTGAGACTTGTTTTTCAGGCCATGAAATCCAGAGAGGCTTCCTCAGAAATGGGATGTGGAATTTCATCATGAAGCTGTAGCACAAAACTTGCCTGGGCTGGGACCCAGGGTGACAGTGATGTGCTGTGGCCAGCACCTCAGAGGCCAATTGCTCAGGGTGGCTGCACCACTTCCTTAATTCCTCTCTATGCCAGAGGGGTGGGCGGCACTTACATGCACTCACTCTCTCACCATCAGCACAGCCCAGTAAGGCTGGAGGCCCCCTGGCTCCCAGAGAGGTTCAAGGTCTTCCCTGAAGTGTCATGGCCAGTCAGGGCCTGACTGGAACCCAGGCCCATCCAACTCCGTATCTCAAGCTCCACGAGCTGCCCTGTAGATGCCTGAAGCATGTTCATTAGCCTGTGTCTGCATGAACTATCCCTGCCTTGAATTTTCTGCTTCTCTTTTCTACCCGAGATGCAACTTAAATATAGGCCAAAAAAGGGAGTAGATAGAAAAAGGCTAAGGGCACAAGTCAGCATAATGCATAGACCCATCAGGAGAATAGTCATGTTCTTTCGAAAGGCATGATCACCTTCACAGCACGTCCCTACCTGGCTCCAGGCTCATATTCCAATGGACAACAAGTGCCTACTGAACACACTTTGCACACAGCAGGTGCTCAGCCTACATAGTAAGCATTGTTTCATGCCGCTGGGCCTCTGCTGGCGATTCTGTTCAACACGCATTGAGGATGCATCCTAGAGTAACAAAAAGATGTGAACTGGCCTCTAACAATGTTCAGCTGAGTGGGGCAGTAAGCCTCACTCAACACAAAGAAAACAAAAGTACACACCAGAGCCTGGGGAGAGCAGGTGCTCTGGGAGTTCAAGGGCCTCGCCGAGGAATCTCAGGGCAGTTTTAGAAGAGTAGGGATTTTCAGGCAGGGAAGGAGAGGCACTGACATTTCTGCAATCCTTCCCTCCCAGCATTCATAAGAAGATCATCCCCACAAACTCATTAGCACAGCCACAGCGCTTGGAGTCATCTTTAGAGGCATTTTCCAGGCAGCCTGGGATGGCAGGTCCAAGCCCATCATGTCATGTGCATTCAGCTGAGCAAACAAAGCCCTTGAAAACACCTAGTCTTTGGGGGAAGCAATTAATATTTCAAAGGAAGCCTCCTTCGCATCAGCACCCTGCATTCTTTATCTGTCAGCTATGCAGGTGGTCAGGCTGGCATCCTGAGACTGAGGGGGAGAGAAGAGAAGAGGATGTTGGGGCCTACAGTGTGCACCAGATGCTGCACAAACATGCCCTCAATCCCCACACAGTGCCACCAGGCAGGGACCTCCCCTCATTCTAATGAGAAAACCAAAGCCCAGAGAGGTGAGCGATTTGCTCAAGGGCACACAGCTAACAAACAGGAGGACCAGAACTCAAATTCAAGAGTGAACCATTAACTTCAGATCTGACACTTTCCTACTGTTCTACAGCAATCAGTTTCTGTACAGAAAACAAAAAACAAACAAACAAAAAGAATCCCACAACTTTTTTCTCTTACTTAAATATCAAAATAAAATTTGGTACCAATCACATGCACAAATTACAGTACCAGAAGGGAGGCACACTTCTGCCATGGTTGAAAATAGGCTTGGCCTGATTAAAAGACCTCTGTTAATTCCTCATCTGGAGGATCAAGGCCAGACTCCCCAGCCAGACCACGGGTCCAGTCCAGCACAGCCCACTTCTGTAGGCCCATTGCCTCCCACTCTCGTCCTCTGAGTAGCTTATCTACATCCCTGGTCTTTGCTTATATTGCTCTCTTTCTAGAATGCTCTCCCAGGCCCCATGCTCTTTGCTTGACCTCACACGTATCACCTCTGTGAGCCATCACTGACCCCTAAGACAGGATGAAAACTCTCACTCCAGCTTCCACACGGCATCCCAGTCTGCTGCAGTCATCTCTTGACAAGCATATATCCTCTCTGAACTGGATGCCCTAGAGGACAGGAGCGTATCTGAGCCTAGCCCAGCACAGAGCAGGCACTGAGAAAAGGCTTGCTGAGTGAATATGACTGCATAAGAATCATGGAGTAGCAGAGCTGGACAGACATCTGAACACTTTCATTTTATAGCTAAGAATTATATGAAGGCCAGTAGAGGCAAAGAAGGTGGAGCGGTAAGGAGGGACCACACACTGGAGCTCAGGCTTGACCCTGGAAGCAGCAGGAGCCACTCAAGACCTAAGAGCAGAGGAGTGACGTGATGATGTGGCCCGGGAGGTATTTTGTTTTGGTGACTCAGACCACTTTGGGGCAATAAGAGGCTGGGATAGGGAGAGACTGGAGGCTGCAGATTCAAGTATGTTTTATTTAATAATAATCTAAATTACAAACTTAGTGTCACTTCTGCTAATAAATTATTTAAGGCATTTATTGAGTGCCTGCAGCAATTATAATATCGGTACCCTTTACTGAGGGCCCACTGTGTATCAGGTGCTTTGCATTCATTACTTAATTTAAATCTCAGAGCCACCTTTTGAGTTAGGCACTATTACTTTCTGTTTTATGGATGAGGAAACTAAGCTCAGAGAGGTGAGGTTACTCATCTAGGGCCTCAGAGAGACTACGATCCAGGCCCTGGGAAGAAAAGACAAGGAGCCCACAATCTAGTGAAGGGCAGAAGAGGAAAATAAATGATTTGAGTCATTTGATATCAGAGGTGCTATAACCCATAGAAACAGAGGGAGGTGAGGAGGCCCAGAGTGGGCCCTGTAACCACTGGCAGGAGGCGATGAGTGAAATCTAATTGTGACGGGTGGCAGAAAAAAATGCATTACAAATTGAAAACAGGCCTACTGTCCTATTACTTATGTTTTCTCTTTTTGGAGCAGAGCCAAACTGTGTATAACCTAGGAAATGGCTGAAAGCAGAGAGGAAATATGCAGAGCATCCCTCTGTGAGATTCAAAAATCATCTTCATGCTTGTAATCATTCAACACAGACACTCCGCACCTGACTTCCCAACAATGGGATTAGCCCGTCTTTCTGCCCCAGGGAACTCTGTGCCATTTGGAGAGACCTAGGGGTCCTGGAAGAGAGATGCTGATGGTCCAGCAGCAGCTGGCCTCACACAGGCCTACAACTTAATTAGGTTCCTGGGAGGGCAGTGTGCAGAGATAAACCAGTTAGTAAGGGGCACCAGAGTGCTGGGTGTGGAAGTGTCAGCATCAAAGACACGCCTAAACGGCCTCTGCTCTGCACATGTGGCTGTGCTTGCACGTACGTCCATGTCTGTATGTGTCTTTGTGTGTGTGTGCTCTGGCCAAACAGTAGGAGGAGGGAGGGTTGGAAACAAAAGGACCTGAAAACAAGGGGACCGTCACAGTGAGAAACTGATTTGCTTTCAGACTAATGATGGTAATGGTGATGATCGTGAAGGTAGATGACAGAGAAGCTTCTTGGTTCCAGAAACTGTATGAGGCACACTTTTTCACTACCTCATTCAATCGTCATGGAGATCCTATGGAGTAGACACTGTTATTATCATCCTCGTTTTACAGATGAGGAAACAGGAGCTCAGGGGGTTCCGTGTCTTGACCTTGGACAGCAATAAGTAGAGATGTTAGAATTAAACAAAAATACTACAATTAGGAGCCATGTCCCAGAACTGAAATGGAACATTCAGCTGAGGCACTGAGACAATACCAAAGCAGGCACAAGGTCACAATGCAGGATCCTCAAAGGAAAGGCTGAGAATGGTGGAGGGAGAGGACGTTGGCAAGAGCTCTGTGTGCTGTGACGGGGCTACTTCTCCCTTCGACTGAAATCAAGAGAGAGGCTCAAGGACACCCGGATCTCAGGGGCTGTGCTGGAGCCATAGCTGACTCATCTGAGAGACAAGGCCCAGGAGACAGCTGGCTAGCTGGTCTTGGAGCAGAGGGAGAGAGAAATGGTTGTGTTGGGGGTGGCCTGTACTCTGTTTGCTGGAGCAAAGAATGCACGGTGCTGTTTTCCTGGAGCAGATGGGGTCAAGAGGGCCAGCTGAAGTGGCAAACAGATCCCACCAGAAAGAAGCTGGAGGGACTGCAGGATGCTGGGGGTGAGGAAGGAGTATGGGAGCAGCCAGAGAGATTCACATTTATCAAGGGACTGTGGTATGAGATTCAAAGTGATGGGTGGGGGCCTCCAAAGAACCCAGCAAAGCACCCGCAAGACAAAGATCCCAGCTTAAACACCTGCTGGGGGACATCAGTCACCATGGCCACACGGGTCCAAGCGAGAGCTTGCCTCCTCCCCGCCCTTGCTCCCCGAATACCAACCCTGGAAAGGTGAGGAGCTGGGGGAGGGGAGGACAGGGCAGTAGAAGCCCACTGTAGGCATCTCCTCTGCAGCAGGCCAGAGCGGCAGGAGGGAGAAAAACATTCACTTTAAATAGACTGACTACTTTGACTATTACATAGGACTGAACATTTAAATTACTGGAGGACTTTTATTTCCTGACATTTGCCAAGTTACAAGACTTCCCTAAATATTGTACAAGTTATGAGACCCATCCAAAATTTTGTGAAAGGGGAGGGGAAGAACTTGACCTGGAGAATAAATTTAAAGGGATAGTGGGAGGCAAAAATAAAATCACCTTGCAATTATGTCTGATGAGCTGCATTTGTTGAACGTAAAAGTTACATTTACAATGAATGAAAACTTACTGTGTGCCAGAAGCTTTAATAATAGATTTGCTTGATCTAATTTAATCTCAAATTAACCCTGCAAGATAGAAGTTACTACTCCTATTTTACATGTTGGAACACAGAGGCTCTGTGAGGTAAAGAGATCTGCCCAAAGTCACAGAGCTGGCAAGTGGCAGTGCTGGGACTCAGGCTCACAAAGACGAAAAGCCTGCGTCTTTCATTTTTTTATTTTTATTTTTTGAGACAAAGTCTTGCTCTTTACTCAGGCTGGAGTGCAGTGGTGCGATCTCGGCTCACTGCAAATTCCGCCTCCTGAGTTCAAGTGATTTTCCTGCCTTAGCCTCCGAAGTAGCTGGGATTACATGCATGTGCCACAATGCCTGGCTAATTTTTGTATTTTTAGTAGAGATGGGGTTTCACCATGTTGGTCAGGCTGGTCTCCAACTCCTGGTCTCAAGTGATCCTCCTAACTCGGCCTCCCAAAGTGCTGGGATTACAGGCATGAGCCACCACCCCCTGCCAAGCCTGGGTCTTTCTATCGTGTCTCTGCTTGGGACTTCTGCAGGTCAACTTGTGCCAATAAAAGTGGTGCTCAGGGTGGGAGCTTTTCTGGCATCCTGCATATGAAGTACATTTTTTTCCCTGAATTAATTCTGTCCTCATGCATTCAATAAAGCTTTCACTATAAAGGGCAAAAGACTTTGCTCAAAAGACTGACTTTATATTCTTATATTCTTTTATTTTGAGGTCAAAGGGATTGGAAAAAGTTTATTCCACAGCTGCTATCACTTGCTTGTTTGTCAAAGGGTTAATATAAACTGCAGTGTCATAACCAAATAATTAGATCTAGGTCTGAATGCAAGTTTGTAAACAGGGCTATAGATATACTGACAGGGATGGTGGTATTTGGAGGGAGCTGTTACTGAAGGACAGTGAGGGCATTGCCGGGAGGGGAGTGGGCTGAGGGGAATGAAGAGGAGAAGAGAAAATAAGAAGGCAGTGAGAGGAAGTCTTGTTGACAGAGGAACAAAAGTCTCGGTTCTTGTTCATCAGCTACACACTGAATTCTCATGTCTTCTAATATCCACCACAATAAGTAACTACAGCAAAGACAAGGCTAGGACCTACCTTAGAGAAGAATGCTTGATAAAACACACTACTGGATTTCAAATCTGTGTTCATATGAGTGATGCGAGTGTGTGTGCATGTGCTGCTGTAACTATCATCACCACCACCTTCACACCATTGTCTTCATCGTGGTCTTCCGAACTTTCCGACTCTACCCTCTCCCAGAAATCCACCCAGCCCAGTTAGAGAACCAGCATGGGACTCCTGGGCTTAAACTCCTCCCATCTTCACTGGTGAACTCTTGTGTCTTTGTCTGGTTTTGGTGTCAGGGTAATATTGACCTTATAGAATGAGCTATGAAGTGTTCTCTCTTTTTCTATTTTTTGGAAGAGTTTGTGAAAATTGGTATTAATTTTTCTTTGCATGTTTGGCAGGAATCACCAGCTTAATTGTTTTTGTAAACCATTGCACCTAGTTCACAGTTGATATTCATTAAAGGTTCTGCATTGAAATGAATCTGTTTCTATAATGTTGTATCTTACCTGATATAATTTAATGATGAATATTTAACTTAAAATTTTAAAAGAGGCTTCTATCTGATATATCATAGAATACTACAAAAGTCCAGACTGAAGTCCAAATTTCAGACTATTTATACCAGATCTTGAATTTTATAGGTGTGACCTACTAGTCACTCCTAAAAATAGATTCCTTCAAATTTCTCTGGGTACCAGGTAATATTCATTCAACTAAGCCCTGAACTGAGTTCCAGCTTCCTATCTGTATCTCCCTAAACTCATTACTAATTAAAGGAAGCCATAGCTACATTTTAAATACAAAATGCTTAACTTACAAAGGCTCGTTAAAAGGTAATGATTCAAGTGTTTTGTTAATAACAAGGACTTATTACCTTTTAAGAACAATTGTCCAAATGTATCATAGAATTTGTTAATAATGAAAATTCCACTGTTCTTACCCTTGTGGTGAAGCCCTGGAATCTGTATTTTAACAAGTTCCTTGGGTGATTCTAATGCAGTTGGTCAGAGGAGCATACTTTGAAAAACACCACTTTAAAGTTATCATGACTTTGTGGATAAAGGTGATGAATAAAGTAAATTGTGTCTATAATAAAGTGCCGGGCACACCACTTGGCTCAAGGTGGCATGCTGTGGGTGCCAATGTGACTGGTTTAAGAAGCATAATTCAAATTACCTTAAAGAGGGTTACAGCTGGGTAAAAACTTAATTGTTGATAGGACTGCAGGCATATCTAGGTATTTTTGGTCACTCTCCCACAGTCTCCACTCATTCTCAGCAATAACAAAGCATGGACTATGAGAAAGGGCTTATGTTTGGAATCCCAATTATGCTGTGTATCAGTTGTGTAACTTCAAGAACTACCCTCCCTAAGCCTCAGCTTCCTCATCTGTAAACAGGGATAATGTCATCTACCTTGCTGTGGTGGTGTGCAGATTTAATGAAATACAGTAGACTTTTTTTTTCTTAATTGCCCTTTGCCCTTTGCCCAACCCTCTCCCACTCCCCTCCTCCAGATGGGCTCATGTAACACAGGGCCAGCAGGAGACGGTACAAATGCACTTGCACAGCTACAGTGATGGATGGCTGTCAAGTGGCTGTCTCAGCTAAGGAAACTCAAACATGAAAAGGGAAGAAAAGGAAGCAGATTCAAAGGCTGGTGATGAGATGATCAAGTGCTTGCTTCAGAACACAAATCTCAACATGAGACCAGTGAAATTCAATTGAAGCAGAGCACACTTATATCCTCGGGTGCTTTGATATATTTAGGAGGAAATGAGGGAATATCAAGGTCAGGTCTAAAAGGAGATCAATGAAAAGTGATAATTTCTGCTGTCGCAGGAGATAGGCACTGGGTGTACAAATATTTCACGTAGATGGAATGATCCAATTTCATCCAGCAAATACCACCTGTGAACACATTTCTGGTATATTTTGCTGAATGGACACCAAGTTTGTGAGTAAGTGAATTTCTAGCAATGGTGAAATTATCTCTGCGAGCCCCATACAGACATTCCTTACTTTAAATCCATCAATTTAATCAACGGAGAGTGTAAAATTATAGGAGTCTCTTTTGATTCCTTTCATATTCATTTCCTACTATGGCTTTGGGATTCAAATGATTAGCTCTGTGACATTAGAGGCAAGTTACTTTACCTCACCGAGCCTTCTTGCTTAATCCTCACTTCAACCCTATTAGCTCTATTCTATTTCCAGGAACATGGGGGTAGAGGGTGCCTTACCGAAGGTCACCCAGCTAGTAAGAAGTAGACCAAGCCCAGGGCAGGCTTCCTCTGTGTTCCATTCCAACTCTGGGGACTTGCCCAGGGACAGCAAATTAGGGGGCCAAGATCACTTTTTCAGATGTTATTCTGGGTCTTTCCATGTTCAGCCATCAGAGTTTATAATCCACCAAAGGGAAGATTCAATGTCTGTATAAGGTCTCTCACAAACAGACAGGCATGGTGAAGTGGACTGCATGAACTACTTTGTATGCCTTCCTGATGCTTGGTTGTAAGTTAATACATCCATCTTCCTCTTTCCTTTCTCACAGAATAAATACCCTTCAGTTACCACCACTTTTGTTTTGCGTGATTCTATAATCTACTGGCTTCTAACTGTTCACTGTTCAAAGAAGATAGATACAAGGACCTAAGGGTAAGGGATGTACATAACCTCAGATAAAGGGTAGTATTCTCTGGACTAGGGAATTGTGGGAAGAGCATGATAAGAACAGATTAGAACTAACCACTATTGTTATGACTGCGTAATGTGGAAATTAGAGTCATCTATCCATCCAGCCAGCCAGCCAGTAATTCATAGAACCCTAGAATTTTAGAACTGGCAGACAATCATAGAGATAATTTAATTCAATATGTTAATTTTTACAGATGGAAAAAAATTAGATGGAGAGAGAGGAAATAACTCCATTAAAGTCACATAGCAACTGATGGCAGAGCTGGAACCAGCATTCCAGCTTCTCATTTCCTGGTCCAGTTTTGTTGTTGTTGCTGTTGTTTCTTTTCTTTTTTTCTTTTTTCTTTTTTTTTTTTTGGCATCAGAAGAGACAGTATTTTAAAGGTACTAATAGCATATTGTTATTAAAAACAACAGTAGACAATGTCTCCACAAAACCTAACTGCTTGTAACATATCTTCACTTAAGTATTTCATGTGAGTCACCATGTACAGGGCATTAGAAATTATTCCATTAAGTATATGCTCTGAATTGCTTGGGTTTGCTCATAAATCCCAATCCCACAGGACTTACGAAGGCAAATGATCTTCCCAAAAGGTCCATGTGCCTTTTGTTCTTTAGGCTAATCCTCATATAACTTGAAAATAAATCTCACTCCTCTGACGGATACTCTGGGCAAACTTAGGATTTTTCTGTCAAGTAAGTATTTCATGAGGACATGCTAGTGAGAGATGCTAAAAAATTCACTCATTAATTTGTTTAACATATATTAACTTAGGTGCTGTGGGAAGACATTGGGATACAACAGAGGACAGAGGATACAAAGTCCCTGCCCTCTTGGAGAGCAGTGACTTACATTCCAATGAAGGGAGAGGGACCATAAGCCAATAAGCTGGTATGTCAGGTGGTGGGAAGTTCCAACAAGAATAATAAAGGTGACAGAGAGTCACATGTGCTGTGTGTGTGTATGTGTGCTTACCTAGGGTCAACAACAGCCTCTCTGATCAAGTGAGAGTTGAACAGAGACCTGGAGGAAGTGAGCCTTGTGGGCTTCTGCAGGGAGAGTGCAAAGACCCTAAGGCCGGAGGATGTGTCTGAGGAATGCTGAAGAGGCCAGTGAGGCTGAATGGGAGCTAACGAGGAGTAGGAGAAGAGATCAGAGAAGGGCGAGCAGAGTGGGGAGGGCCTTGGATAACAGAGAGAGGGATTTGGTTTAATCTTCTGTGCGATGGGGAGCGGCTGGAGGATTTGAGCAGACCTGATGTAGCTCCGAGTGGCACGATTTGACTCTTGGTTTATGTTTACTTCAGCTGCTGCATTCAGAACAGACACTAGCTGGGCAAGGAAGAAGCAGAGAGACCTGTTAGGAGACTCCTTCGATAGTCCAGATAAAAGATTATGACGGGGTGGGCGACAGTAGCTGCGTCCCCATCCCCAGGCTGGGCAGAAGAGACTCTTGAGTAGAGATACTTGCTGAAACTTGCTGAATGAGTGAAGAATCTTACACAGAAAGTATGTAAAGAGCGTTAAGAGCACATAAATGAGAAGATTTATTCTACTTTATGGAAGTGGAAGCATGACAAAAATGTCAAAGAAGACACGAGTCTAATCTTTTTATTCTTTTTTGTTTTTGAGACAAAGTCTCTGTCACCCAGGCTGGAGTGCCAGGGCGTGATCTTGGCTCACTGCAACCTTCGCCTCCTGGGTTCAAGTGATTCTCCTGCCTCAGCCTTCTGAGTAGCTGGGACTGCAGGCATGTGCCACCACATCCAGCTAATTTTTATATTTTTGGTAGAGACAGGGTTTCACCATGTTGGCCAGGCTGGTCTTGACCTCAAGTGATCCACCCACCTCAGCCTCCCAAAGTGCTGAGATTACAAGTGTGAGCCACGGCACCCAGCCAAGTCTAATCTTTATGATACAAATTCACCAAAGATGGGAGACACAGGGCTTTTCATGGCCAAAGGATGGCAAAAGCAAATCCCACAGAGATGGCTCTTATTAGAACTTTCAGAGTACCTTCGCTTGCTTGGAAACGGGCTCTTCAGATGAGAAAGCCTTGGCCTCTTTAGAAAACCATGCACGGGTTAAGAGAGATGCTGACACTTTTCAAAATATTGTGCAGGAAAATTTATTTTTCTATTAATGAGTGTTTAAGGGCTATTAAAACTGTGTTTGTCATCTATAATCTGGCAGCTATAAAGAGATGCCCTTTTATTATTCTTTCATTGAGCTTTCTCACACCAAATTACTAATGAGGTAATTACCAACATTGTAATTATTGTATAATTACTAGGGGAGTGGGAAGGAAAATGTGGAGCAAAATAGGCGGCCAGGATTTTGGTTGTTCTGTCAGAGATTTGATAATAATGATCTCTGTGAAAGTCGGTGAACCGAAAGTTTAAGGCTCATAAAATGGGAGCATTGGCACCCGGGTATTGTAAAGCAATTAGTAGGAGGTGCAGGAGCAGCCTCTGGGTTCCCCTGGGGACTCTGCTCTTCTTGGAGGCAGCCTGCCTGGGATATAAAGGAGCCTCTGAAAGTAAACAGAGCCGGCCTGAAGTCCTCGTTCACACCTCACTTCCTGTGAAATCTTGGGCTTGTGACAGGACAGAACGTGTCTGAGCCTCATTTTATTAAAGTGAAAAGGGAAAAATGTACCTCCTACATCTGCCATGAGGGTTAAACACATCAACACCAAGAGAAAACGAGTGGCATCTGGTGCTTACAAAGTGTTCGTCTCCTTAAGCCCCTTCCATCAGCACCAGGCCAGGCGGCGTCTCGCTGCCAAAAGCCCAATTAGGCAAGGCCAAAAGACTTAGCAATTTTTCAATAATTTTTACTCAAGTTTACTTGAAACTGCTAAAACACTTTCAATTAGTTTGTCAGTTCATATTTTTAAATTTTTGAGGTAAAAATAGAAACTCATGGGGATAAACATGGCGTTTGAAACCACACAGCTGCAACAGCAGCCAAGCTGTGACTCGAGCCTTCTCACAGTCTGAGGACTCGGTTCCTTGGCTTCATTCCTTCGTGAGCCATATCAGAACATCTGTAATGTTAGCCTCCCCATGCAGCTGGCCCAAGCCGACCAGAGCTGCAGGAGGCAGGGCTTTGGGGAGGTATCTTCATTGTGTCTGTGTGTTTAACATCTAGCTCAGAGGATGCTACGCCCGTGTAAGGAGCTGCCAGGCATGAGATACTGAAGCACGAGAAAGGCTACAGTTGTTTTATAATAAGTACACAAAACCTCTTTACCCAAGTGTAATGTTTTACCCTTTAGATCCTAGAATGCACCTAGCATTATTTTCTCCACACTGGTTCCCAACTTTAGTGTTCCTAAGAATCACCTTGGGTGGGAGTGAGGGGTTTGTCAGAATGCAGGGTCCTGGGCCCCACCCCCATAGTCTGCTTCTGGGTCCCAGGAAGCTGCACTTGAAATGACCACTCCAGATGATTCCGATGCAGGTCCACAGATGGTGCACATGAGAGAAACTCTAAGATATTTACTGAATCTGCCCAACAACCTTGGGATATAAACAGAATAAACATGGTTCAGAGGGTTTAAGTAATTTACAGTGGGCAACTTGCCAATGAGTGATGAGAGCTGGGCTCCTTCCCCTCACCTGCCCTTCTGAAAAGCTATTTCTTCTATTAAGCCTATGCCAGAACAAGAATACTTGAAATAATCTCTTCCTCTTAACCAAAGAGTGCTTCTCTTTTGTTACAGCTTTTCATCTTATACAATGCTAGCATGAAGCACCTGCTTTGCCTCTGTATTAAGGGCATCTTTTTTACTCTGATGTTTTGGCATCTGGGGCCTTAGTGATGCTCTGGAAACTGTCCCTCGCTCTTCAGCCCCCACATACACCCCAGGACTAGCCAATTTTTAGAGATAGTAAACAACTTGTCTATGAGGGTACCTTTTATATGCAAACCAACCCAATAACCATTCCCCAACCACCTCCTTTAGCAGGCTCTCACACTTGGACCACTATTTCCCTGCCCTAATCACTCCAGGGCCAGGTACCAGACCACTGTGGACAGCCCCTGTGCCCCAGAGCCCACCAAAACTATTCAAATTAGCCAATCCTAAGCCCACTTAGCCTGCTTGCCCCAGCTTATCCATTACTTCCTGCAAAAATCACAAAGAAGCCTTTCATCCATATTCTCCCTCAATCCTTCTTGCCTCCTGACCCAACTTGGTGCTTCCTTGTGTGGCCCTGCATGGCACAATATTCCTTCTGGGAGCGAAATATCTCTTTCAATGGCAGTTGTCTCCTGATCCGCTGGCCTCACGGTGTATGAGTAATAATGAAGCTTGCATTTGAAAATAGCTTCCCATACTAAACTGGAAGCAACCTGAGGACAAAGCCCTTCTCCCTTTTCAACAGCTATTAATTAGATTAACTTGGTGTTTTGTTCACTGAAGATGTTCCAAAACTATTTGTTAAGTGAATTTAAAGAGTCAGGAAGCTTAAGCAAAGCCTTCTATTAGTGATTTTGCTCATCTTTGGGGTTAGAATTTTAAATCAATTTTCAAGCTGCTGCCAAACTGATGTTTTTCTCAAGCAAAAATGTAAAAGTTAATGGCAGACCATATATATGGAGCGGTTGAATTATTCACAGGCTCCTTTCAATCATGCAAGAAAAGCATTTACTGACTCTAAGTTGAAAAAGATACAGTCCCTGCTTTCTAGTTTGCTGTGAAAACAGTATTGACTCATAAATAAACATTTAAAAGGGCAGAAACACATCTAATGAAATAAACCCAGCTATTTATAGGGTCTTGAATGGGCTAATTTTGTAGTATTTCTGGGTGATGGGGTGTGAAATATGTGATCAGGCAAAATGAAAAGGTGGAGCTGGAGGCTGCTTGGTGAGAGAGAAGAGAGCACTAGAGCAGGAGTCCAAAAAGACTTGGATCCAATTCTCTACTCTGAACCCCACCGTGGATTTGCCACTGAATAAATCACAAACCCTGCTGTCAGCCTCAGATGTCACATCTCTAAAATGGGAGGGCAGGACAGATTACTTATAAAACTCCTTCTGGTCAAGAAACTATAAGTGGATCAAAATTATTGCCTTGAAATGGAGCTGTTTCTTAAGGAAGGAAGAAGGAAAGATAGGAAGAAAGGGAGAGAGGGAGGGAGGGAGGGAGGGAAGTAGGAAGGAGGGAGGGAAGGAAGGAAGGAGGGAGGGAAGGAAGGAAGGAAGGACTGAGGGAGGGAGGGAGGGAAGGAGGGAGGGAAAGAAGGAAAGAAGGAAGGATGGACAAAATGACATTCACTGTAATGTTTTGAATTAACAGGGGTGAAAAACTGAAAACAAGTGAAATGTCCAATAATAGGGGAATGGTTAAATAAGATGTGCTACATCTACATGCTAGGATAGTATGTAATCATTTAAATGATGTAAATAAAGAGTTTCATTGCCTTGGGGAAAATTCAAGAACACCAGGGTGGCTTGACTGGGCCTGGATCTGCCCAGTGCTCTCCTCACAGGCCCCTCAGGCCTGGCTTACAGCAATCCTGGTGGCTGTTACCACTCCCAGGAAGTGTCCTACTCAAGATAATATACAACTAAATGAATTGATTAGAAACAGAACTCATCTAGACAATGGATGAATCTGAGAAACATTCTGCTTGAAATGGTATCTTGATCTCCCTGGCAGGTAATGCCCATTTTCCCCTGAAACATGGTTGGTCACTAAGGACTCCGCACTGCCCTTGGGGTGCTCCTGCCAACTTCCCCAGCTGTCACCTCTAGTGCTCTTGGAGTAACAGGAATAATGAGGCCTCTGGTTGTTGTACCACTAAATGGGGAGAAACGATCCACTTACATGTTTCTCACTCTATTAATGTCACGCTCCAGGGTCAATACAGCATTTTACATCTGAATGCTCTTTTCAAAAATATCTGAAACAAAACAATGAGATACCACCACACACCAGTCAGAATGGTTATTTACTGAAGAGTCAAAAAATAACAGATGCTGGCAAAGATGCAGAGAAAAGGGAACACTTATATATTGTTGCTGGAAATGTAAATTAGTACAATCTCTATGGAAAACAGTATGGAGATTTCTCAAATAACTAAAAATAGAACTATCACGCAATCCAGCAATCCCACTACTGGGTATCTACCCCAAAAGAAAAGAAACCATGATATAAAAAAGACAGCTGCTGCTGTTTATCACAGCTCTGTTCACAATAGCAAAGATATAGAATCAATCTGTGTCCATCAACAGATGAGCGGATAAAGAAAATATGGTATATACACTACGGAATACTATTCAGCCACAAAAGACAATGAAATCATGTCTTTTGCAGTAACACAGATAGAACTGGAAGCCATTATCTTAAATGAAATAACTCAAACAGAAAGTCAAATACCACATGTTCTCACTTGTAAGTGGGAGCTAAATAATGTGTACACATGGACACAGAGAGTGGAATAACAACTTTGGAAATTCAGAAGGGTGGCAGGGTGGGAGGCGGGTAAAGGATGAAGAATTACTTAATGGCTACAATATACGCTATTTGGGTGATGGGTACACTAAAAGCCTAGACTTCACCACTACCTAATATATCCATGTAACCAAGCCACACTTGTACCCCCTAAATCTATAAAAACAAAAGTTAAAAAATATATATCTAAGCAAAACAATCCCACATCCCTTTCTTCCTGTTGGAAGTGTTTTTTTCTTTATGCAGAAGGCTTTATCAAAGCTGCTGAATACAAACACAAAAAAACCCCAACTTGAAAACTGGTGAAATGAGTAAAACGGATGCCGCTGGTTGAGATGTACAATAGCATTCACTTAGGAATATCCATTGTGGGCCAACTTGTCATTTTGGCCTCAAGCACTAATTTTTGACCAGGCTGATGCGGGGTGCAAACACAGGAGACATCTCACTCTAAATTCTGTACTTTCTTTTCAAAGCTAAACCCGACTGAAAGGAACTTTTTGTAAAGAAGAATCCAGAATTGGAAGTGCATGATTTCAACCCTATAAAAATATGTATAGAAAGACAGATGACCCAACATTACAATTAAAGCATCTGCTTAGGAGTGGAGGGAGAAAACAAGGGAGGGAGGTGGTTTGTGTGCAGGAGAGAGAGACAGACACACACACAGAGAGATTACTGTTCAGATTGTCTAAAGTGATCCTCCTGGGCACAGCTGTGCAGTCACTGTTGTCTAGAGGCTTCCTCTGGGTGCCCAAGCGCTAGCTTGGCTGTGCCCATGCCCCACCATGGCTCTCACAGCTGACTGCCTCCCACTCCATTGAACACACACGAGTCTGTCACTTTCAGTTCCACTTAATTTCCACTCTCCCCTCTGGCTGGCGGCCACAGAGTCCTCTTGGCAACCTCCACACTGGTAACCATGGATACCCTCCACTCCCAGACAGGCGGCTCCTAGAGCAGATGGTTGTCAGCACTGGGGGTGGGGAACAGGCTGAAGGGACAATCTGAGTTATCCAGTCCCTTGCATACACCCCTCCCCAACCAACCCCCACCCCCCCACACACACACTCACACACATACACACACACTCTCTCACACGTCTTTCCCTAGATCATGCTTAATTCTGGCCTTGACAAGGAACTCATGATGTTTCAAATATCACAAATACTGCAAGAACAATTGCTACCATTGGTGCAGCACCTACTGTCTGCCAGACAATGACCTATATGCTTTGCATACAAAGGGAAGGGAATAGTTTACTAGGAGGGCTTAAGGAGTTTCATTTTTCTGACCCAATTCAAACATGACTGTTTGGGGCCAAGTCTTTTAGTGTGGACTGCTGACATGCATAATAACAATCTCAGAAGCATATTGAAATTCCAGGTTCCTGGGCCCAACCTTAGAAATTCCAATTTAAATGGGAGAAAATTTTTGCAATCTACTCATCTGACAAAGGGCTAATATCCAGAATCTACAATGAACTCAAACAAATTTACAAGAAAAAAACAAACAACCACATCAAAAAGTGGGCGAAGGATATGAACAGACGCTTCTCAAAAGAAGACATTCATGCAGTCAAAAGACACATGAAAAAATGCTCATCATCACTGGCCATCAGAGAAATGCAAATCAAAACCGCAATGAGATACCATCTCACACCAGTTAGAATGGCGATCATTAAAAAGTCAGGAAACAACAGATGCTGGAGAGGATGTGGAGAAATAGGAACACTTTTACACTGTTGGTGGGACTGTAAACTAGTTCAACCATTGTGGAAGTCAGTGTGGCGATTCCTCAGGGATCTAGAACTAGAAATACCAT
Organism: Homo sapiens; assembly: GCF_000001405.40. Classification (NCBI taxonomy): domain Eukaryota; kingdom Metazoa; phylum Chordata; class Mammalia; order Primates; family Hominidae; genus Homo; species Homo sapiens. The sequence continues at coordinate 75,640,960 of NC_000011.10, forward strand.
TTGACCCAGCCATCCCATTACTGGGTATATACCCAAAGGATTATAAAACATGCTGCTATAAAGACACATGCACACGTATGTTTATTGCAGCACTATTCACAATAGCAAAGACTTGGAACCAACCCAAATGTCCAGCAATGATAGACTGGATTAAGAAAATGTGGCACATATACACCATGGAACACTATGCAGCCATAAAAAATGATGAGTTCATGTCCTTTGTAGGGACATGGATGAAGCTGGAAACCATCATTCTCAGCAAACTATTGCAAAGACAAAAAACTGAACACTGCATGTTCTCACTCATAGGTGGGAATTGAACAATGAGAACACATGGACTCAGGAAGGGGAACATCACACACCAGGGCCTGTTGTGGGGTGGGGGGAGGGGGAGGGATAGCATTAGGAGATATACCTAATATTAAATGACGAGTTAATGGGTGCAGCACACCAACTCGACACATGTATACATATGTAACAAACCTGCATGTTGTGCACATGTACCCTAAAACTTAAAGTATAATAAAAAAAAAAAGAAATTCCAATTTAGAAGGTCTGGGGTAGAACCCAGGAGCCTGAGTGGGGCCCAGGATCTGCACTGTAAACAACCACTTCGTGTGATTCCAATGTAAGTGGTCTGGACCACCTGAGAGAAAGCCTGCTCTGGCTCAGGGATTCTCAGACTTTAAAATGCTGATGAGGGTCTGGCTAAAATGCAGTCTGATCCAGTATTTCCAGGGCAGGACTTGGGGATTCTGCATTTCTGTTAAGCTTCCAGGTGAAGCTAATGCTGTAACCCTGGGAGGTATCTTTCCTCGTTCTGTTCATTTCCTCTGCCTGAGATGCCACGCTCTACTTCATCTAGCAGAATTCTACTCAACCCCCAGAGTCCCACTCAAATGTTAGTATTTCAGGAAGCTTCCTCTGGTCTGCAAGTCTATTTTAGAGGTCAGTAGTGTCCTGAAGCCAGTTCACAATGGCTGAAGAGAGCCACAGCTAAATTTTCTGGAATTTTATGAGCCAGTTATTAAGCACAACCATTATACAAAATTTATATAAATATACAATTAAATAAATTACACTAAAATTAAAGTAACAAAAGCTCAAAACTCATCATTTCCTAATTCTTTTAGCACATTTACTATTAGCTACGCTTTTGAGGTGATGTCCATCTACTGTAGCCTTAGGGTAGAAATGCTACACAATGATGTGCTTCTGCGCAGCTCTTCCCAACTCTGTGGTCTTCAGTGTCATGTTGGCTGACTGAAATTTGCCATAGTGGGCATATTGACACCCTGGAAATCAGCAAATGTTACAAATCAGCACTAAGTCTATCACTCTGTTGACTGAGTAGATTTAAGAAAGTAATGGAGTAAATGTTAATAATGCAGATTAGGCTTAAAAATGGGTTGTATCTGTAGTTGTTACATTGTAAATAGCATAAAAAATTGAGGAACTACATTTCCAAGATTCAAAACTATTATCTGATTGAACAAAGATACCCACAACATTGACTAACTAGTTCTGGTATATGTCTTTATACAACTTCATTGTTTCTCTCTTACCTTCTCCTTAATACAAACAAAAATATCAGCCAACATACACACCAGGCTCTCTGGTCTTGGCACAGAAGCAAGACAATGAAGAGAACATCCCATTCATCATTGTTTGGAAACCTTGCCATAAGACACACATTGTGCTTCTGTGGTGGCACTTAGGCCTTCCACTTTCAGAAGGTGACCTGTGGCAAATGTTGCTACCCTACCAGCCACAACAGAAAGTATAGCTGGAATGCCAAGGCTAAAAGCTGAAATACTACTGCAACTAGTCGAATGAGACACCTAAAAATTGTCACCGCAGACCTAGGCATGGATTCTATAAAGGAACAACACACCTAAATCCAAGAGGGCAGCTGTTGCAGCATCCAGTTCATCTCAAGCATTTCAATGATTAGTCAGCACAATAAATGTTCTGGTTAAAAAAAATTCATGTCAGAATACACTTGTTTGTCAATAATGTGAGTGACTTCCTTGCTAAATCAAATAGTAATCAAGCCTGTATTCATAGTCTATTTTGTGATACTATTATTGGCAGTAGAAATATAAAAACTGATGGTAGACTTTGCAGGAAATAGAAAGACATAATGTAGTAATAGGTATTTGGAATTTACTGTAAAGAATACTGTGTATTTTATTATTATTTGTAAATTGCGTGTTCACATCCACTATGTTACTAAAATTTATTATTATGTATGTGTTTTATATATATATATATAAATATATAAATTTTTTTTCTTGCAGAGCTGGTTATTCACATTTGCCAGCACACTACTGCAGATGTCCCTCCTTTGTGTTTTATAGCAACCCAATCTTGCCTTGTTTTGTATGCTTATGAGCCTATACTATAAATCCTTGATTTACATATTTGTTTCTTCATCCAGAATGAAGGCTCCTTGACAGCAGGGATCCTGGATTTTCTAGCTTTACAACCCCAAAGATTAGTAAGGTGCTTGGCAAAGAGGAAAACCTTTGTAAATGTAGAAGACAAACCTCACTTCAACTGTGAAGTCTTTTCTGACACTCACAATTGATAGAACTAGCCACTACTGCACATCCACAGCAGTTTCCACACATCTCACAACTCCATCCTGGCAGTCCCAGAAATGGAACTCAGAAAAGGCTCTTGACTGTATATTGAACACAGTGATAAGAATAAATGCTAGCATTTCCTGAGCACATGTTATGTTGCCAGGCACTTTTCTATGTGCTTTACACACATTAACTCATTTAATCCCCACCCCTATGAGGTAGGTGCTGTTATGATACTTCTCACTTTACAGATGAGGAAGGTGAGGCTCAGAGAAGGTAAAGAGCTCCCCCAAGTTATTAAGGAGGAGAGCTGGGATTAGAACCCAGGTAGTCCAGCTCTAGCCCTCAATGAGTGAATGGATGAATAGATGGATGATTTGAAAAGCAGCCCGTCTCTTAGGCAGTTTCTGATTCTATATATACCAATTTGCATTTCAACATCTTAGAAAACAATTCTATTCTTAGAGGTGCATGGTTACAAACTTATTTTTCATTTTTTGAGGTCTTTCTCAAGGCTTGGGACAGGGCAGAATTCTCCCAATCTGCTCGGGAGTGCTAAACATTGGTTCCAGGGCCCCTCTTCTCCAGTTTTCTACTGATGGATTTGGCAAATACTCTTCCCAGGGCCTGATTTTGCAATAGTGTATAAATCACTACCATAAAGGGCACATGATCTAGGGAGGGGAAGACATAGGCTTCAGAGTACCAATTCAGGAAAATTAAGCCTTTAGTTATTAGCTGTGTGATACTGGGTAAGGTATTCAACCTCTCTGAATCTATCTATCTGACAGAGTTGTGACGACTAGATATAATGTACACAAAGCTGTTACCATTATTTTTACTACCACAACTACTGCTGCTAATAGTTAATATTTATGGTATTAATTTTGTTATGTGTCAGGTACTAATCCAAGCAGTTTATATAGTAATTCACTTAATCCTAAAAATAATTTTTCATGGTAAATGCCATTATTATCTTTATTATCTCTTAATACCAGAGGTATTAAGTCACAGAGCCTGGATTCAATCCAGATGTGCCTGATACCAAAGTTTACCAGTACACAGTATTTATTCATCCACTACAATAGACTATGACAAAAACTTTGCAATATTGTACTGGTATTCCTAGACAGTGATATAAGACAAAATTGAAGAAATAAGAGGAAGAAAGATTGTAAAGGCAGAGACAATATTGTCATCATTTGCAGATAATACAATGATTTATATAGAAAATCTAAGAAAGAAAATTTGGTTGACTGAGTTAAGCTCCCCTCTCCCCCACAAAATGCATAGAAATGCTACATAAAATATAGTAAAATATAATAAGTCTTTTTTATATTCATAGATGAGCTCCAAAGAAAGAGAATCTTCAGATGCAGGAAACCCTGAATCAGAGCAGTAAAGGCAGCTAAAAGCTGAAATACCTCTGGAACTGGTCGAATGAGACACCTAAAAATTGTACGCCACAGACCTAGGCATGGATTCCATACAGGAACAACACCTAAACCCAAGAGGGCAGCTGTTGCAGCATCCAGTTCATCTCAAGGATTTCAATGAAGGCACCTCTGAGTCAGAGCAGTAAACGTGAGAAGTGACTGCACTGCTGCCGAGAGGACACTTTGGACCCCAGTATCAGCTCTAACGGCAAGGCAAGGAGAAGAGACCTGGCCCTCTGTAGAATGGGGAGTGGGAACTGAAACTCATGCATGAAGCAGGGCCACAAAGGTTGCCCCACGGTGTAATGGAGTCACTGGCCCAGGGAAGTCTAAGGATGTCCCTTTCTGTTTAGGGTTCTGGGTGGGGGTGGGATGGAGTCGGGGAACCTGCCACTATCCATCAAAACCCTAAGTGAGAGTCATGCATGGGTGTGGAATCCCTATTTGCAGCACCCACAGAGTACAGAATTTCCAAGCTGAGGAATTAAGGTAAAAATGAACCCCAGACCAGTGAAACCCTGAAATATTTCTCAGGAATGAAAGCACAATTGCTCCAGAGGGCCATTTTCACAATCCACAATAAAAACTTAAAACCATATGAGGAAATGATCTGCCATGAGGATTAACATCCAAAGAACTTGAGAAAACATCTAACTTAGACTACAAAATAAATGTGTTTAAAAAGCTTAAAGACTTAAACAAAAAAGAAAACATAGTGAAACAATAGGACATGATGAAGAATACACATATTTGAAAAATCAAACAGAACTTCTAGAAATGAAGTATCATAGAAATTACAATTTTACTGAATGAGGTACATATCCTATTTGAGAAAATTAGTGAAAGACTGAGAAAATTTCCCAGAATGAAGCACAAATAGATAAGATATATGAAAAATAAGGAGTGGTTTAAAGACGAGGAGGATATATTGAGAAGAAATAAAATATGTGTAATACAAGTTCTAGGGGAAAGAATAGAGAAATAAAGAGAGGCATTATTCAGGGATACTAGATGAGAAATTCATGGAATGGAAAAAGTTACATGTCTTCAAATTCAGGAAAATAACTAGTCTCAAGCATGATCCATAAAAGCAAGTCCATACTTAGATGCATAATAGTGAACTGCAAAACAGCAAACACAGAGAGAAATCTTAAAACAAAGAGGAAAGATTCCATAGGAAGGAAGGACAATTACAGTGATAGCAGACTTCTCACAGGCAACAGCAGAGGCCAGCATACCATAGAATGGTATCTTCAAAGTGCTAAGAAAACATTATTGTCTTTCTAGAATTCTTCTCTCAGTGATACTATCTCTAAAGCAGGAGAGTGAGATAAAGATCCTTCAGGCAAAGGCCATATTTTCAGCAGAAAAGAGTGGGATTCAAGAAGCAACGGCTGGCTGGGCTTGGTGGTTCACGCCTGTAATCCCAGCACTTTGGGAGGCCGAGGCAGGCGGGTCACTTGAGCCCAGGAGTTCAAGACCAGCCTGAGCAACATGGTGAAAACCCATCTCTATTAAAAAAAAAAAAAAAAAAAAAAAAGGCAAGAGCAGTAGCTAATGCCTGTAATCTCAGCACTCTGGGAGGCCGAGGTGGGCGGATCACCTGAGGTTGGGAGTTCGAGGCCAGCCTGACATGGAGAAATCCCATCTCTACTAAAAACACAAAATTAGCTGGGTGTGGTGGCACACGCCTGTAATCCCAGCTAATCGGGAGGCTGAGGCAGGAGAATCACTTGAACCCAGGAAGTGGAGGTTGAGGTGAGCCGAGATGGCACCACTGCACTCCAGCGTGCGCAACAAGAGCAAAACTCCATCTCAAAAAAAAGAAGCAATGGTGAGTAAAATATTAGTAGATATGGGGGCAAATCTAAATAAGCATTGGGTATAAAAATTGTATTACTAATTATTTCTAAATTGAGGATTTATAAAGCAAAGATGAGGTAAAATATAAGACAAGAAAAACATGGAAATTGGGAGCAGTAGAGCTTGATTAATTTGAAACTTTTTTTTTTTTTGAGACAGAGTCTTGCTCTGTCACCCAGGCTGGAGTGCAGTGACATGATCTCAGCTCACTGCACCCTCCGCCTCCCAGGTTCAAGTGATTCTTCTGCCTCAGCCTCCCAAGTAGCTGGGATTACAGGCATGTACCACCAGGCCCAGCTAATTTTTGTATTTTTAGTAGAGACGATTTTTTTTTACCATGTTGGCCAGGCTGGACTCAAACTCCTGACCTCAAAGTGATCCCCGCCTTGGCCTCCCAAAGTGTTAGGATTACAGGCATGAGCCACTGTGCCCGGCTGAAACTTACTTTTTAATTCTTAAATAAAAATAAGAATAGCTACTAAAAAAAAAACCCACCTGATCAAAAAAAAAAAAAAAAAAAACCCACAAAAATGAATGTGTAACTTCCACGTAGAAGGGAATACAGAAAAATGTTCAATAGAAGACAGAAATGCATCGAAAAGGAGTAAAGAAAAAGAATCAAAGGAGAAAATATTAGAATTAATAAAAGAATTAGCAAGTTCAAAGGTAAAAGACATAACAACGCTGTTCCTACATACCGCAACAACCAAGTAGAAATGATAACAGAAAAAAACTCATTCATAATAGCAACAAAATCTAGAAAACGTATAGGAAAAATCCCAAGGAAAAGAGACCTTTTTGAAGAATATAAAAGAAGACTTGAGGAAAGGGAATGACATCTTGTTTATGCATAGAAAGACGCAGTATTATAGAGATGTTAATCCTCAGATTAATCTATAAATTTAACCTGAGGCCAATCGAAATCCCAACAGTATTTTTTTGCAGTACTTGAGAACTGAGTCCAACATAAATACGAAAGGATAAATGTCTGAGAAAGGCCAAGACAATTCTGAAAAAGAACAACCAAAAGAGATCTGTCCTGTTAAAAATCAAAGCGTATTACAAAGCTATGACAAATAAGTGTGGCATTTTTTTTAGAAAAAGACAAACAGACCAATCCAACAAAATACAGAGCCCAGAAACAGATCCAGAAACAAATGAGGGAACTTGCTATATAATAGTGGGAACTTTTTTAATCAAGGAAAAAAGAATTACCTGTCAGACAAATAACGGATTTGGGATACTTGACTTCCCACATACAAGAAACACAGGAAATTGTACTCTATCTCACACTATACACAAAATTGAACTCCAGATGTATTACACATCTAGATGTGAAAAACAAAATTTAAAACTATTAGAAGAGGTTGGGTGCAGTGGCTCAAGCTTGTAATCCCAACACTTTGGGAGGCCAAGGCAGGTGGATAGCTTGAGCCCAGGAGTTCAAGACCAGCCTGAGCAACATAGTGAGACCTCGTCTCTACCAAAAATAATTTTAAAAACTAGCCAGGTGGAGTGGTGCATGCCTGTGGTCCCAGCTACTCAGGAGGCTGAGGCGGGAGGATTGCTTGACCCTGGAAGGTCGAAACACAAATGAGCTGTGATTGAGCCACTGTACTCCAGCCTGGGCAACAGAGTGAGACCCTGTCTAAAAACAAACAAACAAACAAACAAACAAACAGAAAATTATTGGAAGAAAATAGTGCCTTTATAACTTTGGGATAGTGAAGCATTTCTTACATTAGCAATAAAAAATAAATGATAAAGGCAAGGACTAAGTCCACTGAATACACTAAAATGAAAAATTTCTGCATGACGAAAGATACTATAAACAAAGGTAAAAGACAAACCACAGAAAAAAGATTAGTAATCAGAATCAATGCAGGCAAGTAAGAAAAAGATAACACCTGAATAGGACAATGGGAAAGGGTAGGAATATGCAATTCACAGAAGAAGAAATGCAAATTGTGTATAAACACATGGAAAGTTTCTTAATTTGACTCAAAATCAGGGAAATATGAAGTAAACAAAACATTTCCATATTATGAAGTTGGCAAAAATTTTTAAGTCTGACATTATAAGACAAAGGGGGTACTTTTATATACTATTAGTTGAAGTATAAATGGGTCCAGCCAGTAAAAAGAACATTTTTTCAACATTTAATAAAATACAAAATGTGCATAACCCAACACCCAACAATTTCTCTTCTAACCCTTTAATATATTCACAGCTAGACATGTATAAGGATATTCACTGCAACATTGCTTGTGATAGTAAAAATGTACAAAAACCTAAACATAAATAGGGAAATAAATAATATGTGATATTGTCATATGATGGCAGATTTATACAGCCATTAAAAAGAACGATCTGTATATGTATGGGTATTTACGTATATGTGTGTGTTTGCATTTTCTCAAGATATGTGATGTTGGGTGAAAAAAACAAAGTGACAGAATGATACACAGTGTAGGATGCCATGTCAGAAAGCACACATAAATGCAAGGCCTTACACAGCTCATGGATGAAGAGGTATACATGAAAGTATACCTCTTTATAACAGTGATGACTGCCCAGGGGGCAAGGGAAGAAGCAGAATGGGTCTGGGCCTAGTGGGGGGGAAAAATAACAACTTTACCTGAAAAAATATTTTTTAATACAATAAAAGACTAGAAGAAAATATGATTTATTTATTTATTTATTTATTTTTGAGATGGAGTCTTGCTCTGTTGCCCAGGCTGGAGTGCAGTGGTGCAATCTCGGCTCACTGCAACCTCTGCCGCCCACGTTCAAGCGATTCTCCTGCCTCAGCCTCCCAAGTAGCTGGGATTACAGTCACGCGCACCACCACACACAGCTAATTTTTGTGTTTTTAGTAGAGACAGGGTTTCAGCATCTTGGCCAGGCTGGTCTTGAACTCCTGCCCTCGTGATCCACCCATCTAGGCCTCCCAAAGTGCTGGGATTACAGGTGTGAGCCACCGCACCCAGCCTCAAATATAATAAAACGTTAATTTTTAAAATTATGGATAGTGAAAATATGTGTGTTTTACCCTTCTTAGTGATGTATTTTTGTTAAGTTCTCCAAAAAAACCCAGAAAATGCTTTGAGGATTTATTGGAGCAGGCACCATCAGACACTTAAGCGGGAATGAGAGCAGTATCGAATGGATGGAATTGATTCTTTGGCCATGAGCTCCCTCCCTCTTCAATGTCATCGGATTTTCAGATCCGTCGTGCTCCTTCCTGTGTTCCCCACTCCAACGTGAGACCATGCTTTGACATCACGCACCCAGGCCTTTACAGGGATCTCTGAGTGTGGCACCGTAGTGCTGGGAAGGACTCCCCAAAAAATTGGGCCAACCCCTAGTAACAGATGAGGACAATGAAGCAGGAAGGAGAGACTTGTCTAGGGTCACATAGGAGGCAAAGCTGGCCTCAAGGTTCATCTTTAACCTTAGGCTCTGCTCCAACACCACTTCCTCAGATGACAGATCCAACTCCTCACCTAGGTTAGCCTGTCAGCTCCCATTAAATGCTCTGTTAGCACCTTGTACTTTCCCTGCCAAGCATTTATCACAGCTAAATTTAATAATTAGTTATTGAAATGCACGCTTGACACCTTATCTGTCATTACACTGCTCATTCCATGATGAATTTTGTCTTGTTCATGGCTGTAATCCAAGAACATAGTTCAGAGTCTGTTCCCTGAGTGACTGCTCTCTTGGTGTCTAGACTGGTGTGCATTCAGATTCCATGCTCACCTCTGAGTATTAATATTTAGGAATTATAACTGCAAGGACCTAAGAGTTTACACATGTTCGTATCCTATATCCTATGGCATGTATCATACTGCCCTATTTTCTGAAGGAGGAAATTGAGGCTCAGAGACTTGAAATAACTTTACCAAGGTCACAGAAATAGTAAATGGAAAGGCTGGAATTTAAGCTGAGGTTTTCTGATCCCAAGCCATTTGATCGGTCCATTGCACCATGGCTACCAGATGAGTAGCTGTGATTACTAATTTCTCTTGTGTTCCTTACCTTTTCTTCAGAACACTTCTCCCTTCCATCACACACTCCTAGCCCTAAAGACCTTCCTTATTTAAGAGCATTCATGCTTCTGCTGCTCTGTCCTCTCCTCCTCACCCATCAGCACCACAATCCCCATCATTATCATCATCTTCATCATCACATTTCTCCCTACTATTGAAGTAGGAGCTGACACAGAGTAAATCAGCATGTCCCAATCCCTGGGGATATGACCCCAATCTGGGGATATGACTTCATAGTCATATCCCCAGAGCCTAGCTCAGAGTCTTGTTTGTAGGAAGAGCTCAACAAATATGAATTGAATGAACAAGTGACTAAAGTAATGCATTCTACCAAGGGCTTGCAAAGAATCTCATTCTCACAAATGCAGTCTGGACTGGGACTACTATGCTGTGCTAAAAGGCTCCCCACAGAATGGTGTTATAGTAGATTTTTAGAATCACCAAGCCTCTCTCCAATTCACAGCCTGCCTTTGGCCCACTCTGGAGGAATGCTGGACCAGGGCTTCGGTGAGGCGTCATAACAGTCCCTCATGGTAGAGCTCTCTTCTGTGCTATTTTTGGGTGCTAGATCCTGGCATGTTGATGATCTCACTGTATACCTTTTAATACCATTTATCCCTCGTCCATTTTTTAAAAAATTCCATGTTGTAGCCCCGAAGGGAACCCCACACAAAAATGGTCATAGTAGCCAGAGACTAATAGTATTTCACAATGGTGACTCCTGTACCTTGCGTTCTTGGTTGCTATGAGAGATTGGCTGGTTATCCATTATATATAAAGACAAAGAGACTCTTACATGTACATCAGCTTCCCATTGCTATTCAGTTGTAAGGAAACAAGAGAATGACTATGTCACTTTCGAAGAATGAGTGATGTGCTTAATAAGGCACAGCCGAACCAAGTATTCTTATGCACTCTGTTCAGGGGGTTACTTGCTACTTAAATACAGAGTCTGAAACTTGGTAACACAGTATTCTGTCCTCAATAACCTAGATCAGAAATTGGCAAACTATTGCCTACCAGCCAGATACAGCCCTCTGCCTGTTTTTCAGCTGTGAGCTAAGAAAGGTTTTTGTAGATGAATGTTTGCAATCAACCTGATGAAAGGGAACACCAACTTTGAACCCCAATTCAGCAAATATTATTACCCAAAAAAATTATTCTCATTAGCAGAGCTGTATTATAAAAGATTCTATTCAATAATTATTATTATATTTTGAATTTTAGCAATAAAATTTTGGTGGAAATTTGTTTTCTCTCTTGTTATATAAGTACCTACTTAATAACCTTAATTTTGCATCTTAGCCTGCAAAGCCTACAATATTTACTATCTGTCCCTCTATAGGAAGTTTGCCCACCACTGGTCTAGACTAAGGCTATAAAGCTTGTCTCCCACCATGTCACTTCTTATACTTGGAACACTTGTTATATGGGAATATCTGTGGTTCTCCATAGGCATGTCTAGCTCTCCATGCCCCAGCTGTCCCTTCTGTTGGGACCTGCCACCTCCCTTGCTGCCTGCCTGATTGTTTTGCCTGCTGATATCAGACTAATCTTTCTAGGTCCAGCTCAGATGCCATCCTCATTTCTGAAGTCTTCTCTGACTTTTCAAGTTAGAATTGATAAGTTCCTCTGCTCAAAAAGCATGTGACATCTGGGCCATGCATGGTGGCTCATGACTGTAATCCCAGCACTTTAAGAGGCCGAGGTGGGTGGATCACCTGAGGTCAGGATATCGAGACCATCCTGGCCAACATGGTGAAACCCCATCTCTACTAAAAATACAAAAAATTAGCCAGGCATGGTGGCACGTGCCTGTAATCCCAGCTACTAGGGAGGGTGAGGCAGGAGGATCGCTTGAATCCAGGAGGCGGAGGTTGCAGTGAGCTGAGATCATGCCACTGCACTCTAGCCTGGGCGATTGAGACTCCATCTCAGAAAAAAAAAAAAAAAGAAGAAAAAAGAAAAATACTGTGAATCCATCTTTAGAAACCTTGACAATGCTGTCTTCTCAAGTCATCAGGCTTGGGGCACAGTTCTGTTTATGGACAGGAACACTCCGACTGCCATCCCTACTCCTTTTCCTCCTCTTACTTCTCTCCCACCCATATTACATCCATGATGCCTCATTTTTTTCTCTCCCTGTACCCTCTAAACAGAATCTCAGCATCTGAATTGCATATTTAATCCGGTGGCTCACTCAATCCACAAGGGAGAATGTGGTCATCAGGAAGCTCTGAGAAGAACGGCAATGGACCAATTCACTCGCCGAGAGTCATTCTTCCAACACTGGTTGAACTCTCTTCTGTGCCAGGCCCAAGAAAGGGATAAAAGGACAAGGCCCAGGCTCTGTCTGCAAGGAAAGCAAGCTGAATGGACTTTCTTGTACATCCCTGAAAAATCATGTGAAATATACCAAATCCTCGGGAGGAGTCCTTGGGGCCCCTGGGCTTTTTGAGGAGATGCAGGCATAATGCTGTCAGAGTGGCACAGATACTTGGCTAGCAAGTCATCACAATCCAAGAAGGAAAATTCGACCTCGAGTTTGTACACAATTAACCCATTCTCTGACCTGTGGCACTTAGATGCCACCCAAATCCAGACTTTGGCAAAAATTAGATAACATCAAAGCACAGAAACATTTCTGAATTCATTTTCAGAGCAAATTTAAACTTGCTAAAAATCATTCTTTTCTAATTGCTTTTATTACAGTTCTAATTTTATGATTCTTATTTTACTCATGCAATAAAATAAATAATTTTTGTGTATGCAAAGTGGCAAAAGCCAGGCCTCTCCAAATAATTCATATTTGCACAGGTAGATTAGAACATGGTGACTCAGAGATGCTTGCTGGACTAAAAAAATACACATAGAAAATCTTTGACCTGAGCATTTAATGGTTCTTTACCCAGAAATTCAGAATGTGTGCAATGAGAAGGGCAAAGGACCTCTGTATATTAGCCAAGTAGTACTCAACCCACCAGGGACAATGATGATGAGGATAGTTGCCATTTATTGAGTGCTTACTACGGGCGAGGCACTGTGCTGAGCACTGTATGTACACATCTTTCATTCATTTGTTCAATTAATTCATATCTATTAAGCATCTATTAAACACCATGCACTAAGCTAGGTGCTGGAGGTACAATAGTAAATAAGATAGGTAAGATAGTAACAGACTTAATGGAATGTTAAGTCTTTCAACAACTTGTAAGGTAGATATTAGTGATTCTGTTTTACCACTAAGGAAACAAAATCAGAAAAGAGTGATTAAGTAACTTGCTCTAAATCATATAGTTAATACATGGTAAGCAGGACTTGAAACCAAGTCCCAAATAAAGCCAGACATCAGAGGAAAGCAGGAATTACAAGAATGTATTGTACTTTTAAGTGCCCTTCTGAATTTTTATCTCATTGATAAAAACCTCTAGGAAGGAATTTATAGTTCCTAATCTTTTTCCTTCCCAGTGGAACTAACTCCTAAGCTTTTGACACACCGTACAGGTACACCCCTTCAGGAAGTGGTTCATGACTCAGGCCAGAAACCCCCTTTCCTCTACAACTCCTCAATAGCCTGTGCACATTTCTATTCTTGCACTTACCACTATGACTATACTTTCGAAAAATATGCCTTCCTCCCACTAGACCAGGAGCTCCTTTAGGACAGTTGCTAGGTGTAATTTATCTCTCTACCCTAGCGTAGTGATTCATCTGAGATGCAATAAATGTTTCCTGAATGAGTAAATGAAAAACTTTCATTGGTAACATACTCTACTTCATTATTTCAGTGATAATAATAAAAGTAGCCAGCACTTACTATGATGAGTATGCACTGTGGACAAACATTATCTCCCCCCAACTTCATCATGACTCTGTGAAGTCACAACTGTGTAGTTACCCCCATTTTATTGATGAGAAAAATAAAGACTTTCCCAAGGTCACACAGACTTTAAGTTAAGATGCATGATTCAAACCCAGCTTTGATGGACACTAAATTCTTCACAGGACACAAGGGCACCTCCCAGGACTCATAAAACCATTCCTTCCAACAATCTTCTGATAGTGTTAACTAGCCACTGTTGCGCCCCTAGAGAACTCTGGCTCCCAATTTTTACTCTCACCAGGGCCCGCCTGGTACTTTTAGATACACTACTTACATCCATATTATCTCCCTCAAAAGACAGCAATCTCCTGCAAACAGGGGTCATGTGCTCTTCACCTTGAATCTTCATAGCCTATAGTCCCAGCCTTGGCATGCTCTTAAGATGTTACATTGAACTCTGAGTAAAAATAATATTAGGCCCACTGCATTATTATTATGGAATTAGGATCAAATAAATCCAACCTAATTCCCTGCTTTTATAGTATAAGCCTCTTTCTCAATGGACTAAAAGCCCTGAAGGATAGAAAGGATTTAGAAAGAAGATGGGAGGAGGGCAGGGGGGAAAACTGTGAGCAAAATCCAGCAGTAGTTTGAATGTGGGGCTTGTGAGACCCAGTTTAGGCTGTGATTCGGTCAGAGCACCTGCTGAGGTCCATATGATTTTAACGTGCAGCCAGGGCTGAGAATACCCAAGAAAAGGCATCGAGTGTGTGCAGGGAGCAGTGGGCAAGAAGGCTAGAAGCATCAGATTGGTCAGATAATGGAAGGCACTGACTGCACACCCAGATGCCTGGGCCTTGCCCTGGAGGAGAAGGGAATCTGTTGAGAGTTTAGGAAAAGAAGTGAGACCACCCACCCCTCCTCCACTGTAGAAACAAGATTAGTGGAGGGAGATGGTATGGGCTTAGCAGAGTTGGGGCCAGAAAGACAGCATAAAGGTTGAAGTTGGCAGCAGCCCTCCCAAGAATGGCATGTTGGACTAGGGGAACATGAGGGGACTTGGCAGGGGCCTGCTGGAGCTGCACAAGCAAGACACAGCTGTGGCTGGAATGAGGAGAATTAGATTCCTGAGCCAGCTCAGCCACTAACTGTTTCTATAACCTCAGTCCCCATACCTCTCTGACTCTATTCTGCATCTTTAAAGATAGAGATGTTTACCTTAAAAGGTCATTATGAAGTCTACAGAAAAAGATATGTTAAAGCAGTTGGCACAGAGTAAACACTCAGCAGATGAGCCTGAAACTCAATTATGTCTCTGTTCTTTCTAATATTCTGCTCTTTTGCATTCTGCCTTGATCTACCTTTTGCCTAATTATTATGGTTTAATACGGAACAATCCTTAAGGGCTAGGAGGCTTGCAAAAATGCACTATGCACTCTAGGATATGCCACAATGTAGGCCAGTGTTTCAAAGACACTGCACAAAATGGACAGTGACCACAAGGGGACAGCTCAGTGGAGGACGCATTGTTTCAGGGATGCACTTGCAGTGGGTTTTGTGGCTTGAGGTTTGGGCACAATTTTCCCACTAAAAGAGGTTACACCAGGCCTAATCCTGCAAAAGCCTCTTCATTCAGTTTGAAAACAAATACCCACTGACAGTGGACTATGCTAAGATAAGGGAAGGATAGCAAAGATAATAACGATGTGTATTATGTAATACACAGCACGGGTAGTTCCTGTGTGTAATGTACAAGGCCAGCAGCACCAGAGGTTGGAGGTTGAGACCACAGTGAGGCCTATGCTCCTGCTCTCTTTTGGACAGGAGAGGCAAGCACAGACACCAAGAGCTCATCCTTTGCTGACTCCTCCCTCACATACCAGAGATATCGATGCTTGCTGGGCGTTGACCTCAGCATTCTTTTCTTCTCACCCTCTCTCTTCCCTACCCACCCTAATACCTATGGGTTTGATTCTCACCAACAGGCTGATGTTGTCCTGATCTTCTTTTCTGTTCTACCCTTTCTCCTGAGCTTCAAGCTCTATCTCCATTTAGTTCTTTTGTATTTTGTTTCTTATTTTTTGTTGAGGTATAACACACAGAGAATAACGTCCATAAGTCTCAATTGTTTGTGTGTATAAACCCATGTCACCACCACTCAGATCAAGATATAGAACATTTCCAACACCTCAGAAGTTTCTCCTGTGCTCCTTCTCAGCCAATTACCCACCTAAATCCCAGAGATTACCATTATTCCAACAACTGTCACCATCAATTACTTTGCCTGTTTTTGAACTTCGTATAAATGGAATCATTCAGTAAATATACTTGTATCTGGGATCAATTTTCTCATCCACTAGGAAGCTTTTGGCAATGTGTGGAGACACTATTTTTTTTTTTTTTTTTTTGAGACGGAGTCTCGCTCTGTCGCCAGGCTGGAGTGCAGTGGCACGATCTTGGTTCACTGCAAGCTTCACCTCCCAGGTTCACACCATTCTCCTGCCTCAGCCTCCTGAGTAGCTGGGACTACAGGCGCCCACCACCACGCCCAGCTAATTTTTTATATTTTTAGTAGAGACGGGGGTTTCACCGTGTTAGCCAGGATGGTCTCGATTTCCTGACCTCGTGATCCGCCCGCCTTGGTGTCCCAAAGTGCTGGGATTACAGGCGTGAGCCACCATGCCCAGCCTTTGGAGACACTTTTGATTGCCACAACTCAGGGTAGGGAGGGCTGGGAAATATTACTGGTGTGTAGTGCATCGAGGCCAGGGATGCTGCTAGACATCCTGCAATGCACAGGACAGGCCCACAACAAAGAATTATCTGGCCAATAATTGATAAACCCTGTGTATCAATCTCCTATAGCTACTGCAACAAATTACCACAAACAGAATGGCTTAAAGCAACACAGATTTATCATCTCACAGTTCTGTCATTCAGAAGTCCAAAATGGGTCTCACTGGAAGCTCTAGGGGAGAATACTTTCTTTGCCTTTGCCAGCTTCTAGAGGCGGCTTACATTCCTTGGGACGTGTCCTTCCATCTTCAAAGCCAACAACCGCCAGTCAAGTCTTGGTCACACTGCATCACCCTAATATTGACACTTCTGTCTTTCTCTTTCACTTATAAGGACTCTTGTGATTACACTGAACCCAAGTGAATCCAGGCTATACTCCCCATTCCAAGGCCCATAACTTAATGACACCTGTAAAATCCCCTTTGCCATGTAAGATAACATATTCACAAATTCCTAGAATTAGGATTTGGACATCTTTGCAGGGGGGATTATTCTGCCTTCCATACCCTGCTATATAATATTCTGCTGTATGAATATACCACAATTTATGTATCCTACTGTTGATGGACATTTGGGCTGTTTTAGTTCTTAGCTATTAATAATGCTGCTATAAACATTCTTATATAAGTCTTCTGCATTCATTTCTGTTAGGTAGATACTCAAGAATGGAATTTCTGGGTCATGGTAAATGTATGTTTAGCTTGAATAGATAATGCTAAAGAGTTTTATAATGTGGTTGTACCAATTTACACCCTTAGCAGCAGTATGAGTTTCCATTTTCATTCTGTACCGAACATCTCCATGTAGACCTTCCAAAGACACCCCAAACTCAACTTACCCAAAACTGTGCTATCTAGCTCAGTGTATACCATTTCTCCACCCCCCCCGCCCCAGACAGCCAAAACATGAACCCTAGAAACATCCTAGGCTCTTCCCTCTCCCTTTCTGCCTACTTTCATTTAGCCACTATAATTTTATTCTTATCAGCACTTGCTTACATTCTATTCTTGCTGGAGATCAGCATCTCTCACCTAGACTGTAGTTTCTTCCCTGGACTCTGTTCCCAGTCTAATCTCTCCAGTCCATTCTTCCCACTGCTGTCAAAGTCACCTTTTCTAAAATCTAAAACTGAATCCTGATTCTCCTGTTGCTTATAAGACAAAGGAGCTAGCCCCAGCCTACCTCCCTCTTCTGTCCCTTGCCATTCTATCCTTATGCAATGATACTTCCAAGTTCTGCCCACACAGAACTCTTTATAATTTCTCTTCTTGTACTTTTACTCAAATTGATCCATTCTCCCATTTACCGCCAACTCATCTTTCAAGACTCAGGCTACTAGTCACCCTCTCTACTGAATTTTCCCAACAACCCTCAAATCAGGCAGACTTAACCCCTCTCTTCTCTGTGCTCCACCATGCCCTGCACAGATATTTTATCAGGGCACCTGTAACTTTTCAGCACACTTGTCTCTGTCCAATAACCATAAGACTCCTGAGAGCAGGGACCACTTTGTCATCCAGGGACTTGGTCCAGGACCTGACATAGTAGATACAAATAAACATTTACTGAATGGAAACTGAATGAAGAAAGTACATATTAATATGACATGCAGGAAGTGCTGAGTGTAGAGAAAGACAAGCGTAGACAAAGTCTGTGATTTTAACAGTCTTAAAACCTAAAGGGGCTGAGCGCGGTGGCTCATGCCTGTAATCCCAGCACTTTGGGAGGCTGAAGCAGGGGGATCACCCGAGGTCAGGAGTTCGAGACCAGCCTGACCAACATGGTGAAACCCCGTCTCTACTAAAAATACAAAAATTACCCAGGCGTGGTGGTGCGTGCCTGTAGTCCCAGCTACTCGGAAGGCTGAGGCAGGAGAATCGCGTGAACCCGGGAGGCAGAGGTTGCAGTGAGCCAAGATGGTGCCACTGTACTCCAGCCTGGGCGATAGAGGAAGGGGAATCATAAGCTCTAACAGGGAAGTAACAGCATGGTTCCTGAAGAGTGACTGCAAAGATTTCAGGGAGAAAATGTATCTAAGGTTTCTAGCCTTCTGCCAGGCACATGCTAGGCACTAAATTAGCTACTATTAGTATTATTATTTCTCATGGTGAAACTAGAAGTTTTTAGTTTGCTGGTTCAGGCCCATGTTGAAGTTATCTTCATTCAGCAGAGAATGAGAAGCTCACCTATTTACATTAATACAGTTGACACAATTCATAAAGCCAAAGCAGCATTGTAGAGATAGCTCCTTAATCTTAATGAACATTTGTTGATTTATTTTAGTTTTATATTTGGGACATTGAATGATTCTTAGTGATTGTTGATTTAGAACTATCACTGGCTTGACATTTTTTTGAAGTTCATATATGCATTAGATACAATCCTTCCCTATGAGAGCAACAAAGAATTAATCGTATATATCTTACCTTCTTTGTGGGTTAGTCTTGGTCAGCATTGTATTTCTGAGAGTTAATTGCACAAAGTTAACCAATGATCTAACAAAATGCCTCAGTAAAAATGTCCAAACAGACATAAAACACTGCTGAGTTCATATGAGGTTTCCATGACAAGTTTCTCTCCTGGCTTTCTTCCCTCCTCACATCACTCCTCCTTCAACTTTTTCATGGATATCCCTTCTGCTGTCAGTACTCCAAATATGTGTATCCCCCATGGCTCCATTTTCTGTTGGTTAATTTTCTCTACTCCTTTTCCAAGGGTAATTTTGCCTCTTCCTATGACTTTCACAGGAAGTGAAACATCCACAAGATGATTGTTTCCAAATCTATATTTACAGCCCAGGCCTCTCCCTAAACTTTCAGATCCATTTACTCAACCGACCCTCAAACACCTCTTGTTAGATATCCCATAGACAACCCAAATTCTATATATTGAAAAGTACCTCAACTTTCACTTCTGACTTTTTTCCCCCTCTATTTTCCCTGTTCCAGTGACTAGCATCACTACCAGTTACCAAAACCAGAAACACAAGGGTCATCCTGGGCCATATCCTCTTCTTTGCATCTCAATTGGTCATTTAGATCTGTTGTTTTGTACCCGTATTATGTTATAAATCTCCAATCTCACAACCATGGTTAAGGCTTTGTCATTTTCTCCAAATTATCTCAATAGCCTCCTTATTGGCCTTCCCTTCTCTAATCTTCCCAGGTCAGCCAGCCAGTGGGAACTTTATAAAATTTGAATCAAACTATGTTGTCCCTCTGCTTAGATTTTTTCAGTGACTCATTATTGTCTATAGAAGCAAATCCAAACTTCTTAGCCAGGAATACAAGGCTGTTGATAAGCTGACCTATGCCTACCTCTCAGAGCACAAAAAGAAAGCGAATAATAAAAATAAGAGTAAAATTTACTGAAAAAAGAGATGCTCAACAAAATAAAAAATTTATTCTTTGGAAAGACTAAAAAACAAAACAAATCTGAACAAGACTAATCCTGAAAAAAAAAAGCGAGAAGGTACAAATAAATATTAGGTATGAAAAAGGAGACATAACTACAGGTAAGTAGAGATTATTTTTAAATCCACAAGATAATGCTATGATCAATTTTATGTCAATAAATTATAAAATTAGAAGAAATGTACATTTTTCCAGAAAAAAATAAATTATCAACACTGGCTCAAGAAGAAATATAACACCTGAATAAGTGAATCAGTATTAAAGACATCAAATTGACAGTTTAAAAAAAATCCATGAAAAAGACAACAGGTCCAGCAAGTTTTACAGGAGAATTTTATCAGATATTTGAGGAGGAGCCCTTCTTATATAAACTTTTTCAAATAACTAAAAAGGAGGGGAATCTACCCATTTAATTTTATAGGTATAACCTTGATTCCAACAGTACATAAGACTAATATAAAAAAGGAAAAATTATAGGCCAATCTTACTTATGAATATATACGCAAGCATTTCAGATAAAAAATAGCAAACCAAATTCAGCATAATAAAATATATTTTTATCTAAACAAGATTTATCCCAGAAATGCAAAGATGGTTCAATATGAGAAAAAAAATCTATTAACAGATTAAAAAAGAAAAATCACAGATCATCTCAGCTGATGCTGAGCCTTCAATAAGAGAAAAAGCATTCAATAAGATTCAACAGCCAAACTAATTTTTAGAAACCCCTAGCAAACTAAGATAAATAGAAATTTCTTAACCTTATCTTATAAAAACATAAAGCAAACCTCATACTTAATGATAAAACTTTAGAAACTTTCCCACATCCCAAGGCAAGGATGTTTGTTATCACCTACTATTTGAAACCATACCAGATGTCCTAACCAACAGAGCAACACACACAAAAAAACAAGATATATAAATCTTGGAAAGGAAGATAATAAATTGTTATTTGCTAAAAACATACATTATCTCCACAGACAATCCAGGAAAGTCTACAAACAAAACTAATTAGAGAGTGTGATAAGTTTCCTGAATACAAGATTAACATACAAAACTTAATGCATATGGGCAATAATAAATTAGAAAAGGTAATGAACTCTTCATGATAGGAACAATAATTAAAAGCTAGCTCAGAATAAAATAAAATAAGATAATATAGTATTAGCTCAGACTGATGGAATAGAACAGAGAACCCAGATATAATATCTAAAGATATGTGACCCTTATGTGATAGAGGAGATATCATAAGTTAGTGGGGAAAAGCAAAGCTTTAGAAAACAGTGTAAGGATAAATGACTTTCCATATACGGAAAAATTCAATACTTACCTCACTCCATTCATAAAGATAAAATCTAGTTAGATTATTAACAATTTAAATACAGAAATAAAACTTTAAAACTGTATATATGTGTATATATATGAGTATATATGTGTATGTGATTTTGTGGAGAAAATTACAAAATATAAGTGAAGAACATAAAAGACTTAAATAAATGGCAACCTTTGCCATGTTTGCATGTGGGAAAACTCAATAGCTTAAAGATGGCAAACCTCACCAAGTAATTTTTTCCCAAGTAAAGCTTGCATTCATCTGCATTAAAATTATCTAGAGTGCTTGCTAAAAATTAGATACTTAGGCTCCATTTTAAGCCCATTGAATTAGAATGTATGAGGATGTGGCCCAGGAATCTGCATTTCAGAAAGCTCTCCAGGTGATTCTTTTGTGTACTAAATTTTGAGAATGATGCCTTATAAAAGTAGATCATAACGTGAGTTGCACATTAGAATCACTTGAAGTAGTTTTTAAAAACTTGGTTGCCCAGGCTACACCCCAGACCAATGAAATCAGATTTTCTAGGCAAGGCACCTATGCATCAGTCTTTTGAAAGTTCTCCACTGATTCCAATGTGTAGCCAAGGTTGAGGACTGCTGCCCTAGGTGAAGGTCCATGTAGAGTCAGGTCTGTAAAGTTTGCTGCCCTTCTCCGTTTGAACATTTACTTCTAGTGCTAACCTGGTAGGATTTGTACTTTTTTTTTTTTTTTTTGAGATGGACTCTCACTCTGTCACCCAGGCTGGAGGACAGTGGCATGATCTTGGCTCACTGCAACCTCCGCCTCCCAGGTTCAAGAAATTCTCCTGCCTCAGCCTCCTGAGTAGCTGGGATTACAGGCGCACCCCACCACGCCCGGCTAATTTTTTGTATTTTTAGTACAATTTTTTGTATTTTTAGAAACGGGGTTTCACCATGTTGGTCAGGCTTGTCTCAAACTCCTGACCTCGTGATCTGCCCGCCTCAGCCTCCTGATGTGCTGGGATTACAGGCGTGAGCCACCGCGCTTGACCAGGATTTGGACTTTAACTTGATTGAGGAAGACACAATTTTCTTACATTAAAATTATGACTCATTTATTTGGTATTCCCAGCTCCTTGTCTGGTACATGGCAGGGGCTTGGTGATCATTTTCTGAAAAAAATTCAACTAAATGAAATTGACTCTATCAATATGTAGAAAAATAAAATTTTCAACAAGCCCTAAAAAGTCCATTAGATTCAACAAATCTATATGGCACCTAGGCTGTGAGAGGTACAGAGTGAACAAAATACAGCCTTCTCTTCAGGTGTTCATGACGTGGTGGGGGAGACAGACATGGACAAGAGTATTTTACAATCAAGCAGACAATGATAAGGGTTCAGAAAGTAAAAAGGGAATAGAAGAACAATTGATTCAGAATGGCTGGCTCTAGGAAGGCATCGCTGTAGACTCAGTATCCAAGATTGGCCTCGAGGCATTGCTGGGATTGACCCAAAAGGAAATTAGGGAAATGGGCAGTTAGGGAATGGGGCAGTTCTGCACAGCATAAACTAAGTCAGATGGGTCTTCCTGTAACCTTCATACAAGGCTGGAGGGCAGACATTAAAGGCTCCTTTTCTTTCTAACTTCCTTGTTACTGCTCTTATTTTTCAAGTATTTCACCCTGGTTTATTAATTCTACCTCCTGGTGCCTCAGCTGGTTTCTTCTAGGAAAAGTTTCTCATTAGCATTTCTATAGGGAGCAGCTGCTACCCTATCTACCCCTATTATCTGATGGCCAGGGCAATGGGGTTGACTGGGAGAGGAATTTTAATCCCCTCCTTATGACTCATCTATTTTCTAATTGAGAACGTCAGGTCTAAAGTCACAAATGGCTTCCCAGTGAAACCCATCCTTAACATTAAAAATGGTAATAAAGACATGCTTCTCAGTTTTACAATATCATCTATGTAAAATGAATGTATTAAAAATTAATCAAACTCATGTTTGTGAATAATCCCAAAGCTATCCTGGATACTACTTGAATGCAAAAATCTCAGGCTGATATGAATGGATTGGGAATTAGATGAGCTATTGAATAGGGAAGGTTTCTCAAAACCATAATGTCAAAGGGTATCTAATGTTATTTATGACTGTAAATTGTAAAGTAAAACAATGAGCATGTATATGATTCTGAATTTTGAATGTATATTTTACATGATGGACTGTGTGTCCCTTTCTGTTTAAGCAGACTGTTCACATTGATGTCATGTGGCAGGTGTCATTTGTAAAGTCCATGAGACGAACCAGTCACCATGGTGTGAATACACCATAATTTATGTAGAATGGCAGAAGAAAAGGGTTTGTAAATCAAATTATCATTGAAGTGGAGCACAGCTTGGCTTCTAAGCCTTCTAAGGCAACATAAGGCCCATCTTATGTCAGTGGACATGGTACTTACTTAAATTCAGAAGATATCCTAGAAACATAGCAAGGAAAAGAATGTGAGACAATAGGGAAGGAAAATCAATGTTCTAGATAAGCTTATAATTGCCAACCATTTTTTCTTTACAGTGTATTTAATGTATTGAATAGCTTATTTCTTTATATCTACTTTCAATCAAAGTGAATTTCTCAATTATTTGTTAATTTTTATTCTGGAACAAAAAAAAAACCCGTTAAATTTCACATCAAATTTGTCATGCACTTAAATTGTTCATTGAAGAAATTGATGTTTCTTAGCAATAATCATTCCCTTAATATTTCAAAACCCTTTTGATTATATAGCAAAATAGTACTCCTGGCCCGAAAGCCATAGGTATAATTAAATTTTACAAAAGACCTAAATTTAAAAATTTTTTTGAGGTGTTCAAAGATTTTTTTGACAGGTTAATAGAATTGATAGGTGCTAAAAATAATCATTCTCACCAGCTCCGAGGGCATAGCCTTCCCCCACCAAATCCAGTCATTTCCAGTATGTGTGTAATGTGAAGCATGGCATGTGAAGCACGACATGCTTACTGCACAGCTAAGCTGTTGTTTTGAGGAAAAAGGCTATATGGAACAAGGTACAACCCCAAATCTGGAGTGCGTTATATTCAAAGGATGTGGTCATTCCTTGACTGACAGGCCACTCATCCATAAACAAAGCAAGTCCTGCCAACTTGAAATCATAAACTGAGTAGGATCACCCAAGGAGGCTTAAGAATCTGGAATCTCTCTTGATTGGCATTGACTGCATGGTGGTGAGAAGAGACAGCTCCTGCTAGTGGGTAGTAAGGTTCCACCTGCCACAGGGTGCTAGAATGAGAGTGGGAAGATGAAGAGGCCAAGCCAGTAATCTATGATGTTGGGCCAGACGTGGGCTTCTCAGGGTAGGAAGATCAAGAAATGAAGTAGGGTCTTGAAGCAAGCAAGCCATAGCAGAACTAGAAAACTACATCCTGCCTTTGTTTTTTATGTCTCCTGCTTATTTGTTTCCCCTCTTTTCTTTTGCTCCCCGCTTGGTAGCAGCATAAAAACATAGTGAACATTCTACCATCTCATGGCTATTCAAGGAAAAGGATTTATGTCCTTGTTTGACCAAGAGCTCAAAGGAAGTGCTGTACTCCTGGGTTCCCAGTGTGGTTGTTGTGATAGCAATAAACCAAGAGAGAGATGCCAAGTGGGAGGTGGAATTCAGGAAGATGAGAAATGCAGGGGTAGGAGTTGGGGGACAGATTTTCTCTTAACATGAAGGATGTCTGGATATGCTATTCTTTCCTCAGCCTATGAGAGAGTATTGGTAATGTTCACTGGAGAAGGATATTAGTCTAACCTATATACAGAGTCTTGGCAAAGGACTAACTCTCTAGTCCTCCCCGCCCCCCACACCCTCTTGCAGGAAGGAGGCAGCAGAAAGCTGTGGCATTGATAAAGGACCCCATAAGCTGCATTTTGAACACCTCTAGCTCAATTACTTTCATACAGATCTTCCCCGAGAGACCCCAAATGCAATGTTGCATGTCCAGAGTCAACTGTGTTCTGTTAGCTAATTGATGTTGGTTGAAACATAAGGGGAGAATTGAAAGCTAAGCCTTCAGAAATATATACCGGATGGATGAAGGGCAAGAAAGCAGACTGGAATGGCTGAAGCTGCAGCAGAGGGAAAATTCTAGAAGGAAAGAGAGAGAGAGATTTTCATGCTTGAAAGCATTCATTTGCAAGGAATTGAGTGTGCTGGAGAAAGGGGTTTTTGGTGGCAAGAGAATGAGAGACATCTGGAGAACATGTAGGGAAAGGAGAGAGAAAGAAGATGCCTCAATAGCAGAGAAGGCTGGAGGCACCTAGGAAGTAGGATCATAAGGTATCATGTGGAAGGTAGGAATGGAACCAAGATGTACTAATTACCACTATGTGCTAGGCACGAGCTGTTCTCCTGATTATCTCATTTAATCCTCACAATGTCCGGCACACTGCCTGGCATATAGTAGGCACTCAAAAATATGTTGAATATTTAATATTAACTAAATAAAAATAAAATGTTTAATATTAAATCAATAAAAGTGTGAACAATCCTAAGAGATGTCTATTACCAATTACATCTTACAGATAAGAACATGAGGCCCAGAAAGGTTAGGAAACTTGCCCAATATGTCACAGCTAGGGAGAGGTGGAAGGACAATGACTTCAAAGTTCCAGCGGTGGAAGGTGGGGGGTAATTTGTAAAGATCCTGTGGGTAATCTAGAAAAAGGTATGGTGCTTGGGTGTTGCCCAGAGACTGAGAAAGGGAGGAAAGAATGAAGGGCCAAGGGAACTGGGCTAGGGAGGAGGGCGAGAGGCCACTTGGAAAGAATTCTTCTTCTGGAAGAATGGGGACCCTGCAAAGGGCAACATCCAGGCTAACGCAGCAGGTGAGTTGGATGGGGGCACGACGGAAGCACAGCCTCTGCTGACATTGCAAAGGGTCTCTGTGGGAAGGCAGGGATCTGAGGTGGGAGGGATGGAGAAAAGGGCTACAGCGGTAAAGTGAAAGAGCCAGGCAGGCTGAGATGGAATATACTAACAGCTTGCGCATGGGACAGGGCAGAAGAGAAGGCTTCGACAGGAGGTGGCCTGGGAGGCGGCTGGGGAGAGGGTGTGGCCTGGGACTGGAGGGAGGCTGCACGCTAGGCCTGCGCTGGGGATCCTGGGCCCCGGGCAGCCCGCGGGGAGGGTCTGCGTGGTGACTCCCCCGCGCTAGCAGCGGCCGCGTCTCACCTGTAGGAGCTGCTCACTGCACTCGCCACCTCCTCGCGGATTTGCCGGTTGAGGGCGTCCGCCGCGGCGCGCCCCCTGCCAGCCTCGGGGCCGGTGGCCTGGACCTGGGCCTGGGCCGCGGGCAGCGGCGTCTGCTCGTGCCCCAGGCCCTCGGCGCGGCGCACAATCCAGGCAGGCCCGGCCTTCCTGCGCGTGTCGCGCTCGTCCGCCCCGGACGCCTTTCCGGCCGCCAGGCCACCCGCTCCGCCGGGGGCCGCCTCCTGCTCCCGGGCCTCAGCGGCGGCCTGCACTGGCCAGCGCTCCTGGCTCTGCGGCCGGCGCTTGGGCGCCCCGAGAATGGGCGCCGACGCCTGGGAGGCCGCAGAGATCTGCACGGGCTTGGGGATCCACGGGTGGTCCCCGCGGCGCGGCAGCGGCCAGGCGCGGAAGTCCTTCTGGTACTGGGTCTCGCGCTCGAAGGGAGCGTCGGAGGGCTGGTATTCGCTGCGCGGCCGGCAGCTGGGCTCGGGCCGCTGCACCTTCCAGGCTCGGTAATCCTGCCGCATCACCGAGTCCGCGGGGCCGGAGGTGGAGCCGGAGCCCAGGCCCGGGCCCGGCCCGCTCCGGCCGGGGCCCGCCGCCGGCTCGCGCTCGCCGGTAGGCCCAGGCGCTGGCCCCGTTGCCCGGGCAACTGCATCCAACTCGCCCTGGGCTGGCTGCGTCTCTATGGCAACCGCGCGCGCCGAGGGGGGCGCGAGCGCCGGCTGCGCCTGCTGCTGCGGCGGCGGTGGCTGCGGCGGGGCGCCCGGGTGCTCGGTGGCCTCCGAGTACTTGGTGAAAACCAGCGGCACAGCGATGTCCGCTTTGTCCAACTGGTTCCAGAAGCGGGCGATGCAGCAGGCCCTCGTGATGCACGGCCACGCCATGATGCTAGCTGAAAAGCCGGCCTCCTCTTTCTTCTTGTGGTTCTAAAGCAAGTCTCTATAATCTTCCTTCAGCCTCCGATCCTGACCGGCCAATGTGGTTCCCACCGTTTTCTACCCCCGATCAGCCGGAGCTAGTTCGCCCTCCTCCCTCAGCGAGCACCCGGGGAGAGCTGTCCTAGGAGAGTCTGTAGAGTCCCTCGATTACCGGTCGCAAACGCCTTTGGGAGCGCAGTCTGCTGCGAGCGCCGAAGGGTGAGACGCACGGCGTTCCCGAGTCCCCGGCGAGGGTGTCTGGGACGCGCCCCTCCCTGCGGCTGCGGCGGCGCACAGACCTCGGTCGAGCGAGGCGACGTGAGGAGAGGTGGCTACAGGCTTAAGCCATGGCGCAGAGGAGGGGCCGGGCGGTGTGGCCGCAGGGTCCGCGGACCGGGCTCGAGTCTCCTTCCTGCCGGCGTCCTAGTGCAGCCGGCCACCTAGCAGGGCTGGGAGGCCATCACCTCCAGCGGAGACCGAGCATTGCTGCCTCCGCCGCTGCCCGCGAGGATGCCGCAGCCGCCGCCGCCACCGCCTCTTCTCCTGGGAAGCGACCCCACCCTTTTCTGCAGCTCTCGGTCTCCGCCGCTGCCCGCGAATGATGCTGCAGCCGCTGCCGCCGCCGCCTCTGCCTCTGCTGCAGGGAAGCGGCCCCACCCTTTTATGCTGCTCAGCAGTGAGAAAAAAATCCAGGAACGATGCTGACTGAAAGAGTGCTGCAGAAAAAAACAAAACAAAACAAAAACACCTGCTGTCGTCAGCTTGCGCTGCTGGGAGCTTGCCTTCCCTCCCCACCACCCTCCGCCCTGGCAGCTCCTCCCTCCTCTACTCCCGGGCAACAGCAGAATCTGGGGACGTAGTGGGTTCAAGTCCCAAGCTCGTGAGGACTTTCTGTCCTTGTGCTTGTCGCTTCATCCCCAGGAGTCGGAGGCTCCTCTTTTGTAAAATAGGGCCAATGGGGGGGGGGGGTGCTATTAAATTTTAAAACATGGAGGAAACTCCTAGTGAAATGTCTGTCCCAGAATAGATGCTTTGAAAAGGGGAGCTGCTGGAATTGGTCAAAACCGGCGGGCTGTGTTTGAGCCCAGTTTGGTTGCCTCCTGGTTCAAGCACTTGCCAGTCTTACGCACAGGCCTTGCTCAGATGTGTCGGAATGGGAGCACCAGGGCTGGTGGTGCCCTGGATGTTCCTTTCCTAGGGAATCTTTGCGAAGGTATGTTTTAGACTCCCCCAAGAACCGCCCAGTCCCTGTTCAGTTCAGGTGCCACACTGGGGCAGAGGTAGAGAAAAGAAAATTCTGGAAAGTGGCTTAATTGTGGAGGTTGGGAGTAGGTAGGACCTGTGCCCTAGGAAACGGCAGTGCCTGGCCTGCAGGGGCCTTCTGGCACGTTCTCACTCCTCGCCGTTGCTCTTCTTCTATCTTCAAAGCAGAAGAGATTTTGAAGTCCGAAAGACCTGGTTTGGCTCTGCTACTCTCTGTGCCACTTGGGCAAGTTGAGTCATCCCTGTGTTTCAGTCTCCTCATCTGTAGAATGGAGGAAATACTACCTGCCTCAAAAATGGTTTTGTGGGCCGGGCGTCGTGGCTCACACTTGTAATCCCAGCACTTTGGTAAGCTGAGGCCGGTGGATCACCTGAGGTTGGGAGTTCAAGACCACCCTGGCCAACATGGTGAAACCCTGTCTCTACTAAAAATACAAAAATTAGCTGGGCATGATGGTGCGTGCCTGTAATCCCAGCTACTCAGGAGGCTGAGGCAGGAGAATCGCTTGAACCTAGGAGGTGGAGGTTGCAGTGAGCCGAGATAGTGCCATTGCACTCCAGCCTGGGTGACAAGAGCAAAACTCCATCTCAAAAAGAAAAAAAAAGTGGTTTTGTGAGGATAGCGAAGGACCCAGGGCAGAAGCTTTGAGTCAAATCTAATCTGCAGAGATTCAAATCCTGGCTTTTGTAGCTCTTAACTGTATGGCAGTGGGCAAATCACTGCAATCTTCTGACCTTCAGTTTCATCTATGAATGGGGGTACCAATACTGAACTTGCAAGGTTGTTCTGAGAATTAAAATGAGATAATGCACTAAAAATGCTTACCACAACATCTGGCATATGGCAATGGCTCAATAAATGGTAGCTATTAGTATCCAAAAGGCCCACCCAGAAGACCCATAAGTGGAGTGTCCTAAGAAGCCACTTGGACACCTTCTCCAGGAGACCTCTTGTTCCTCCAAGTAACTTTTGTTCTGTCTTTGCTATCTCTCCATTTATGTCTCCTGCACTCCTCCACTAGCTACATCCACTGGACTTCAGCTCTTTTCCCCTCCAATATAGGCAGAGTTTTCAGTATCAGTTAAGCTGGGAGCATTGGTGTTTCAGGGAGAGAAAGTCATGTATGTGTTTAGATTATAAATGGGTTGCACAACACAGATTTTCTTTAATCCTAGAATCAAATTGGATGAGAAGACAGCTCTGATTAGTCAATTATCTACTGAACTTCCTCCTACTTAGGACTTTGCCTCTTGGTGATTTGATTTGAGTTCCATAAATAAAATAATGTCTGGTGCTGTTTTCCAGTCGTTAGGAGATATATTTTTATAAAGAACATAATCTGGTCGTACATTTCCTCTTCTCACCCCTGCAGAACTCCCTGGGATTTGGCTGATGCATTTCCAATAATGATTTCCAAAGGTTTAAAAAAGGCTAAAAATTGGAGGGAGGATGTCTATTCTGAGAATCACTGATAGTTTATCCTTCTTTCATTTAACAAGTCTAGTCTCCTGATGCCTACTTTGTGCCTTGAGGACTATAGGACACATATGGATTATAGCTCTGGAGGAGCCCTCACTTGAAAGAATGTGTTATTGGAGAACTGAGAGACAGACACATAAGTAAATAATTATCAAAGAGTATGGTCAACATAACAGAGGTTAACACTGGTGCTGAATGAATGACTAGTAAGAGATGAGAAGGAGTTCTCCCAGCATGAGAAGTGTAAGGAAAATTTTATCGTTAACATCACCTTCCACATTTATTTACTTGGATTTGAAAAATGCATTCAACCTCCCTGGACCATCCAATGACCCTGTGGGACAGACAAGTCTAGTGGTCATCTCTTATATGGCTTATTTAGCAATCATTCGGGTGGTCACAGCACCTCATCATTTGAATTTTGAGGGCCACTCTTCTATTTTCAGGCCATGTGGTTCAGGTGGAGGTAATCCTAACCCACCTACCTTCCAGGGGTGCCCATATGACTCACACCTGTTTGCCAGGGGGATGCATCTTCCTGGTCAAAGTGACTAGTTTAGTGATGGGGGTGTGATCCACATTAGACCAGTTAAAGAAACCCCAGACTTTAGCTGAAACTATCCTAAAGACCCACTCTCCTTTTTTTTTTTTTTCTAGAATTGCTAAAATGGAAGACTATGAAGCTACTGTTAGTGGTCATCTTTGCCATTACTGGTGGGGAGGCTTCCTAAGGTTGAAGCAAACACAGAGAAAATCAGAAGGGGGCACAGGATTCTGATGATATCTACACCCCAGAGCCCATTCTTCTCTTCTTCCCTATAGTAACAAAAGCCCCCAAGTTTTATTTGGGCACTGGGCCACCCAACCAGAAACCACATTTCCCAACCATCCTTGCAGCAAAGAACAACCATCTGCACTTCCATGTCACTTCCTTAAAAGAAGTTGCTTGTGTTCAACTTTGTCTTTCTCCCCATTGGGTAGGATGTGGACATGGTAGAGGTGAGTTATCATTTGGGTAGTTAAGACAGCTCTGAAGGTTTTGGTGTTGTGGTTAAGAACATTCTAGTGCCAAGATTCAACCTTGGGGAAGGAAGGGGAGAGGAACAACACAGCAGAAACCTGTCTTGGATGATCCCATGGAGCAGAGCAGCCTAGCAGCCTTGGGCTACCTGCTTACTGCTAGACTGCATGTGAGAAAGAAATATAGTTCCCTCTTGTTTGAACCACTGTTTGGAGTTCTCTTAGTATTTTAGTCATTTGAGCATGTGGATCTGGCCATGCCTGAACAAATTTGAGGTATATAAAAACAGTAGAGTACCAAAATACTGGGAAATACTATGATGTTAAGATATGAAGGAATAATCAGAGTTAAAATATTCTAAAGTCCCTATTTGTTTGTGAGGAGAGTAGAAATCTTAACTTATTGTATTAGTCTGTTCTTGGACTGCTATAAAGAACTACCTGAGACTGGGTAATTTATGAAAAAAAGAGGTTTAATTGACTCACAGTTATGCATAGCTGGGGAGGCCTCAGGAAACTTACAATCATGGCAGAAGGCAAAGGGGAAGCAAGGCACCTTCCTCACATGGCCAAAGTAGGAGGAAGAGAGAGAAGGGGTAAGTGCTACACACTTTTAAACAACCAGCTCTCATGAGAACTCACTCACTATCATAAGAACAGCAATGGGAAATCCACCCCCATGATCCAATCACCTTCCACCAGGTCCCTCCCCCAACACTGAGAATTACAATTCCACATGAGATTTGGGTGGGGACACAGAGCCAAGCCATATCACGTATTAACCTAAAAAGTTTATGAACCTAAAAATTCACATTTAAAGAAAGAAAGAAAAGGGACTATAGAAAACTTTATTAAGGCCAGAAATAAGTACAGAGAAAACATGGCAAATAGCAAATCCATAATAGGATGTTAGAAATATTTCCAAATATATGAGTGATGGGGTAAATGTAAATGATCAGAATTTTCCTGTTAAAAGACAGAGAATCTCAGATTAGAGAAGAACATAAAACAAAACAAAATATACCTATACATTATTTTCTTAAGAATTTTTAATGATGCTTTTTGAGACAGGGTCTCACTCTATTGCCCAGGCTAGAGTGCAGTGGTGCAATCATAGCTCATTGCAGCCTCAACCTCTGCAGACTCAGGTGATCCTCCCCCCTTAGCCTCCCAAGTGGCTGGGACTACAGGTGCACACCACCATGGCTGGCTAATTTTTGCTTTTTTTTTTGTGCAGAGATGGGGCTTTGCTCTTGTTGCTCAGGCTGGTCTCAAACTCATGGGCTCAAGTGATCTGCCCATCTTGGCCTCCCAAAATGTTGGGATTACAGGTGTGAGTCACCACACCTGGCCAGCTTATTTCTGAGTGTCATATTTAAAATGCAAAGATGGCCGGGCGCGGTGGCTCACGCCTGTAATCCCAGCATTTTGAGAGGCCGAGGTAGGCGGATCACGAGGTCAGGAGTTCAAGATCAGCCTGGGCAACATAGCAAAGCCATGTCTGTCTTTTAACAGGAAAGTTTTGATCATTTACATTTACCCCATCACTAATTTATTTGGAAATATTTCTACCATCCATGGTGAAATCCCGTATCTATTAAAAATACAAAAATTGGCTGGGCATGGTGGTGCACCTTTGTAATCCCAGTTACTCGGGAGGCTGAGGCAGGAGAATCACTTGAACCCGGGAGGCAGAGGTTGCAGTGAGCCGAGATTGCGCCACTGCGCTCCAGCCTGGGCAACAGAGCAAGACTCCGTCTCAAAAACAAAAATGCAATGACACATAAATATTGAAACAAATGATAGAAAAAGATGTAGTAGACAAGGCAGGAGAATACAGTCTGAAGGCAGGAAACCTAAGGCTGATTCATGCTGACTTCCTAGAACTGAAAGGGAAAACCCCACCTCTCCATGCCCAAGTAACAAAAGGACCAGAGGCTACTACTTATGCAACCTCCCGCCATCACCTCTTCTCTGCATTGCAGATGAAAAATGAAAGTACCTCTGATTGGTTCCCTCCTGTAGCCAATCAGACTGGCTGCAGGCCCAGTCTTCATGAGTAACTTTGTAACTTCACTTCAGCCTCTGATTGGTCACCGTCCACAACCAATCAAACTTGCTCTGGGCAACTACTTCATTTACATAGGGTGTGACCAATGGAAACCTTTAGAGGGTATTTAAACTCCAGAAAATTCTGTAACTGGCTCTCTTGAGCTGCTTTCTCTAGCCCACTCCCACTCCGTGGAGTGTACTTTTATTTCTTTTGTTGCTTTGTTCATGCATTTCTTCCAATTCCTTCTTCAAAATGCCAAGAACCTGGACACCCTCCACTGGTAACAGTAGATAAATACTAATGAAAATGAAAAGCTGATGCCGTTTTATTAATAACAGACAAATTTGGTTTTAAAACAAAAAGCACTATTATGGATAAAGGGGATCTTCATATAAAAATAGAAGAAACAATCCCCCAGAAGTATATAATGTGGTTTTCCTCTAACAATATAGCCTCAAAATATAGAAAGCAAAACTTGTAGAATTTTAAGAAGAAATGCAAAAATCCATAATCATCATCATCATAGAGCTTTTTAAAAATACATAAGAGTAACTTACAAATGCAATACATAAAATGTTGTTAGGGATGTAGAAGATTTAAGTAAGTAATAAGCTTGATCTAATGGGCCCCTCATTCAACAATTAGTGAATGTATTATTCTTAAATTTATATGGAATATGTAAAATTTGACCATGGACCTAGGCCACAAAACAAATATGAACAAGAAGCAAGGACACATACATACCACATTTATGATGCCAGTACAATGATGTTAGAAATCAATAACAAAAAATAATCACAAGCCTACACATATTTAGAAATTAAACTAAGAAAAACAAAAAACATATTTATAGATTAATTTATAGCTTAAAATAGATTATAATAGATATTAGAAAATATTTAGAACCAAAAGGAAATGAAAACATTGCATACCAAAGTTTGTAGGATGCAGCTAAATACAGTATTAGTAAGGAAACTTATAATCTAAATACATAAGTTAGAAACTAAGAAAGACTAAAAATACGCTCACGATTAGACTCAAGAAGTTAAAAATCAGTGGCATGCACCTGTAGTCCCAATAACTCAGGAAGTTGAGGCAGGAGGATCACTTGAGCCCAGGAGTTTGAGGCTGTAGCATGCTGTGATTGCACCTGTGAATAGCCACTGCACTGCAGCCTGGGCAACATAGCAAGGCTCCATCTCTAAAAAAGAAAAAAAGAAAAAAAAAACCATAGTACAGAGCAAACTCATAAGAAAATAAAAGGGGAAAAATAAAGAAAACAGCAAGGTGATTAAATATAAAATAACCATGCATTAGCTACTATTAAGAAATCTAAAAGTTGCTTCTTTGAAATAGACAAGTCTCTAACAAGTTCATCCAGAAACAGAGAGAGAGAGAGAGAGAGTATCACACATCAAAAATTTTAGGATTGTAAAGAGGGATAATTGTTGATATGGCAGATTGAAAGAATCATAGATAAATACTAAGAACTACTTTCTTCTGATAAATGTGAAAAACTTTGCATGATAGCCAGCCTCCAAGAAGGCCCACAGTGACCCTAACTTCCCAGTGTTCACAGCCTTGTGTAGTCCTCTGCCCTGAATCAAATCACTTAGAAATATGCATTTAAATTTCCTCCATGTCTTTTCATGGCTTGTTAACTCATTTCTTTTTAGAGCTGGATAATATTTCATTATCTGGATGTACCACAGTTTATTCATTCACCTACTGAAGGATATCTTCGTTGCTTCCAAGGGTTGGTAATTATGAATAAAGCCACTAGAAACATCCGTGTGCAGGTTTCTGTAGGGACATAAGCTTTCAACTCCTTTGGGTAAATACCAAAGAGTACAATTGCTAGATGACACAGTTAGAGCATGCTTAGTTTAGTAAGAAACTGCCCAAATGGCTTCCATAGTAGCTGTACAATTTTGTGCTCCTACCAGCAACAAACGAGAGTTCTCATTGTCCCATGTCCTCTCAGGTTATTTGGTTTTATCGGTGTTTTGGATTTTTCACATTCTAACAGGTGTATAGTAGTATCTCATTGTTTTAATTGGTAAATCTCTAATAGTGTACAATGTTAAACATCTTTTCATATGCTTACTTGCCGTCAGTACATCTTCTTTGGTGAGATGTATGTTCCAGTGTTTTGTCCATTACATTTATTTTTATTTATTTATTTTTTTAAGAGATGGGGTCTTGCTCTGTCACCCAGGCTGGAGTGCATGATCATAGCTCACTGTAGACTCAAGCTTCTGGGCTCAAGTGATTGTCCCACCTCAGCCGCCCAAGTAGCTGGGACTACAGGTGTGAACCACCGTGCCTGGCTTTTGTCCATTTTTTAATTGGGTTGTTCATTTTCTTACTGTTGAGTTTTACAAGTTGTTTGTATATTTTGGATGATAGCTTGCTTGATACCCTTCATCCTAAATCTTTTGCAAATATTTTCTCAGTCTGGTTTGTCTTTTCATTCTCTTCACAGTGTCTTTTGAAGAACAGAAGTATTTAGTTTTAACAAAGTCCCATTCATAAATTCTTTCATAAAAGGGTCATGGCTTTGGTGTTGGATCTAAAAAGTCATTACCATGGCTGTTTGTGGTAACTCATGCCTGTAATCCCATTGCTTTGGGAGGCTGAAGCAGGAGGATCTCTTGAGCGGAGGAGTTTGAGACTAGCCTGGGCAACATAGCAAGACCCCATCTCTCTAAAAAACACAATTTTTTAAACTTAAAATAAATAAATAGTTATCAGCAAACCCAAGACTATATGTTTTCTCCTATGTTATCTTCTGAGAGTTTTATACCTTTGTATTCTACATTTATGTCTATGAGCCATTTCAAGTTAATTTTTGTGAAGGGTGTAAGCTCTGGGTCAAGATTCATTTTTTGGCGTGTAGATTTCCAGTTATTCTAGTCCCATTTGTTGAAAAGACTACCTCTGCTCCATTGTATTGCCTTTGCTTCTTTCTCAAACATCAGTTGACTATACAGATGCTTCTTGACTCATGATGGAGTTAAACCCATTGTAAATTGAAAACATTGTATGTCAAAAATGCATTTATTACATCTAACCTACCAAACATCATAGCTTAGCCTAGCCTACCTTAAACATGCTCAGAACACTTTCATTAGCCTATGGTTGGGCAAAATCATTTTTTAAAAAAAGCCCATTTCATATAATGAAGTCTTGAGTATCTCTTTTAATTTATTGAATAGTGTATTGAAAGTGAAAAACTGAATGTTTGCACAGCAATCCCCCTTGATCTGTGCTTTCGCTTTCTGTGGTTTCAGTTACCAACAGTGTAGTACAATAAGATGTTTTGAGAGAGGGGGAAAAGAGAGAGAGAGAGACCATATTCATATAACTTTTATTATAGTATATTGTTATAATTGTTCTATTTTATTATTAGTTATTGTTGTTTATCTCTTACTGTGCCTAACTTATAAATTAAACTTTATTATAGACCTGTATGTATATGAAAAAACAGAGTATATATAGGGTTTTACTAGCCTTGGTTTCAGGTAACCACTGGAGGTCTTGGAATGTCTTCCCTGCAGATAAAGGGAGACTGCTGTATACTACTAATGCATGTCACTTCTGCATCATCGCAAAATTTAAAAATCATAGATTGAACCATCGTTAGTCAGGGACCCTCTGTATGTATGTGGGTCTATTTCTGGACTCTCTATTCTATTCAATTTATTTCTCTCTTTTTTCACTAATATCACACTCTGTTGATCATTAAGCTTTATAATATGCCTTGAAGTCAAATACCATCAGTCCTCTTGTCATGGGATCCTTTGGGAGTGCTTCGCCAGCTGGAAACCTCTGCGGCCGGAGGCGCCTTCTGCCTAAGTATTACTTGCGCCGCTGGACTCATTCCGCCCACTTGGCCGTCTCAGCTCGAGCTACCGCCTGGATCCCACACCTGCCAAGGGCGAGCCAGGCGTGGAACAGCAAGGGGAGTGTGGGCAAGTGAGTGTGGGGTCTGGTCACTGTGCACATCTGACTGTGGCTGGACCAGATGTATGGCATGCAGCTTCTACAGTGGGCAGCTGCATCTGGACAGGGGGAGCATGGTGGCACCTGGAAGCTTGGAACTGCAGAGCCCCAAAGAGGGTGTCACAGCCCTGGCTTGGGAAGCCCCTATGTCTGGGTTCCCTGAAGGCTGCAGCTCTTCTCTCCTTCTTGTCACCCGCAACGTGGTAAGCCTGGGGGGGGGGGCGGGAGGTTTTACAGCCCTGTTTGTGTTACAGCTCTTTCAGTCCCGCCATCTGGTGGGTCCCAAGTTCTTGTCCTGCGTCCGGAAGAATGAGGCATGTGGACAACTGGAGGGTGAGCAAGGCAGAGAGGGGCTTCATTGAGCAACACAACAGCTCTCAGGAGACCTGCAGTGGGTAGCTCCTCTCTGCAGGCAGATCTTCCCGACAAGTGTCCAGCTCTCAGCAGAGAAGAGACCAACAGTGGGTAGCTCGTTTCCACAGGCAGGTCATCCTGACGAATGGAGGAGACCTGAAGTGGGTAGCTTATTCCCATAGCTGGTAGTCCCGAGGTCTGTCACAGTCTGGCTAAGACTGGGGATTTTTATAGGCTCAGAAGGGAAGAAGTGCATACTGATTGGTCCATGGGTGGCCATGGGCGGCCCAGAAAAAGCACCACAAGTTCTCACTCTGGGAGGTGGACTCCTCCCGGAATTGGCAGCCCAGCTCCCACGCTTCAGGCGTCCATGGCTTGAAGGTGAGGTTTCACGAGGGACCCGCCACTTTCTGCCCAGAAGCCTGTCTGCCTCCTGCTGCCATCAACATGCCCTCCATGGTGCCCAGGCTGTTTGTGCGGAGGGGCACCCGCGGGCCCGCACTGAGCTGCCCTTAGCCCCCTGCCTCCCTCCCATGCTCATTGGCATCCGAAGTCTGGAGGGGGCCAAGGCAGCAGGGGGCTGGCATGTCAGCACTGTCCCAAGCATGCACACACCTAGTTGTTTTGCAATAGCACCTGAGCTCGGCCACAGCTTTGTTCCGCACTGAAGTGGGTGTGCTGGGAGATGGGAGGCCAGAAGGTGAGAGAAGGCACTTCCTTTTGTTTTGTTTGCTTTATTTTGTTTTGTTTTGTTTTGTTTTGTTTTGTTTTGAGACAGAGTCTCCCTCTGTCGCCCAGGCTGGAGTGCAGTGGCGCAATCTCGGCTCACTGCAACCTCCCCCTCCAGGGTTCAAGCGATTCTCCTGCCTCAGCCTCCAGAGTAGCTGGGATTACAGGCGTGCGTCACCACGCCTGGCTAATTTTTTATTTTTGGTAGAGACAGGGTTTCGCCATGTTAGCCAGGCTGATCTCGGACTTCTGACCTCAAGTGATCTGTCTGCCTCACCCTTCCAAAGTGCTGGGATTACAGGCATTACAGGCATGAGCCACCACCCCAGGCCTGGAGAAGGCACTTTCAAAGCCTGCGGGGGCAAGGGGCTTCCTGGGCCCCTGAGAGTGCGGGGATGCTGAGGTCTGGAGCTGTGGCTGGGCGGCTGTGGCTGCACTTGGGAGTGTGAGTTCCTGCCCCACCAACTTGCCAGCCCCGCGGAGTGGGCAACCCCAGCCGCGTCTCCCCCACTGCAGCTGGTGTCTTCACAGCGGTCGCTTCAGACCGGCCGCAGCTGCCATCATTCTGACTTTCTTCTCCTCCTTCAATAGTGTATTGGCTATCTGGTTCTTTTGCCTCTCCATATAAACTTGAGAATCAGTTTGTCAATATCCACAAAATAACCTCCTGGGATTTTTATAGGGATCGCATTGAAGCTTTCGGGCAACTTTTAATGAACCAATCGATGACTGATATACCTAGGGGAAATAGACTATTATTCTAGAAAATAATATATATCTTACTAAAACTGATTTAAGAAGGAGTGGAAAACCTCAATAGCTCAATAAATTGAATCAATAGCTAAAAATCTGCCCACAAAAGAAAACAAAATTAGATAAAATACCTGATCCACTTGACTTTACAGGTGAGTTCCACAAAACGTTCATGGTATGAAAAATCTCTATATTATATAAATTATTCCACCGAACAGAAAAACTTCCCATCTCAGTTTAGGAAGCTGATATAATAGTGGTACCAAAACTAGATAAAGATGATATAAGGAAGAAAATCTATAGGTTAATCATAGATATAAAAATCCTAAATGAAATCTCAGCAAACAGAATTCATAATTATACATAAAATAATAATTTATCAACATTCAGTAGTGTATATACAAAGAATAAGCACTGGTTTAATAACAGAAAATCTATAGGTGTAATTCCACAAACTAACAGATTAAAGAGAAACATCATACAATCATCTCAAATAGACATATTTTGAAAAACATGATAAAAGTTGACACTCATTAATTGATTTATAAAAATCTTCACAACCTAGAACTTCCCTAATATATCAAAGGGTATCTACCAAAAACCTATTGGAAATAGTACGTTTTATGGTGAAAAACTTGAGGCTTTCCCTCTGTTGTTAGGAATGCAACCAGGGGAGAATTTGATCCCAGTCACAAGACTGGGTCCAGGGGATTTGGATTTTTAGTTATGAAACTGTGAGAACTAGTGTCAAATACCTCAGTGCTTTTGCTATGGCTGGGATGACCACAGAAGTAGGCATTATAGCAAAATCGTGAAAAATCTTGGAATCAAAATAATAAATAGAATATAGAATCAGAAAATATTTATTTGGAGTCCTAGAATATCAGAATAATTGAATTATATAGCCCTAGAATCCTAAAATAAATGAATGTTAAAAATCCTAGAATCTGGGAATCAGAATATTTGTCTTAATTTGGGGGGAGTTGATTGTTTTTGCTGACTGTTCTGCACTGCATGTTTGTGTCCCCCTAAAACTCATATGTTGAAACTCTAAACCCCAGTGGGATGGTATTAGGAGGTGGGGCTTTTGGGCGGTAATTGGGTGTAGTGTACATGAGTTCACAAGGGTGGAGCGTCTGTGATGGGAATCGTTTCCTTATAAGAAGAGAAAGAGACCAGAGCTTGCTCTGTCCACCATGTGAGGGTATCATGAAAAGACAGCATACGCAGACCAGAAAATGGGTCCTCATCAGACATCAGATCTGCCAGCACCTTGATTTTGGACTTCCCAGGCTCCCGAAGTGTAATAAGTAAATGTTTGTTGTGTAAGCACTCTATCTATGGTATTCTGGGATAGCAGCCCAAGCTGACTAAGACACAGGCTAACAAATTCCTCCTCTTGAACCAAAATAATAATTATCATAATTTTCATCTTTCCTTGAGACCACCATATGGCAGCATTGTAAAGATACATTTGAAAACAACTATTACATCGCCCGATCTCTTCTCAAGCTAAATATTCCAAATTTTTTCATTTAGTGTAATATCCATATGTGATACTAAAGCAAAATACTTCGAGACTGTATATCTCCTGTTACTCATCAAACATTCACCTACTAGTTTTACTAATTATTGGTGGCTCTTGCCTGAAACAATTATTACTACAGTATTTGCCAAATAGGGATTTTTCTAACTCCATCATTCCTTCTACATTTACTACATGTCATCTTTCTTTGTTTATAGCAGTATGGATTCACAAATTCTTATTTATTTTGATGGGTTTAATCCATTACTCCCATTTTTATTTTTATTTATTTATTTATTTATTTATTTTGAGACGGAGTCTCACTCTGTCACCCAGGCTGGAGTGCACTGACACGATCTCGGCTCACTGCAAGCTCCGCCTCCCGGGTTCACGCCATTCTCCTGCCTCAGCCTTCCAAGTAGCTGGGACTACAGGCACCTGCCACTATGCCTGGCTAATTTTTTTGTATTTTTAGTAGAGATGGGGTTTCACCATGTTAGCCAGGATGGTCTCAATCTCCTGACCTCGTGATCTGCCCACTTCGGCCTCCCAAAGTGCCCATTTTTATTTTTTTATTTTTATTTTTTATTTTAAGATCTGGGGTACACGTGCAGGATGTGCAGGTTTATTACATAGGTAAACGTGTGCCATGGTGGTTTGCTGCACCTATTAACCCATCACCTAGGTATTAAGCCCAGCATGCATTAGCTTTTTTTCCTAATGCTCTCCCCCACCGCCCTCCCTTGACAGGCCCCAGTGTGTGTTGTTCCCTTCCCTGTTGTCCATGTGTTCTCATTGTTCAGCTCCCACTTATAAGTGAGGACATGTGGTGGTTGGTTTTCTGTAACTGTGTTAGTTTGCTGAGGATAATGGCTTTCAGCTTCATCCATGTCCCTGCAAAGGACATGACCTCTTTCCTTTTTATGGCTGCATAGTATTCCATGGTATATATGTACAACATTTTCTTTATCTGGTATTTGGGTTAATTCCATGTCTTTGCTATTGTGAATAGTGCTGCAATGAACATATGTGTGCATGTATCTTTATAATAGAATGATTTATATTCCTTTGGGTATATACCCAGTAATGGGATTGCTGGATCAAATGGTATTTCCAGTTCTAAACCTTTGAGGAATCCCCACACTTTCTTCCACAATAGTTGAACTAATTTATATTCCCACCAACAATGTAAAAGCATTCCTATTCCTCCGCAACTTCACCAGCATCTGTTGTTTCTTGACTTTTTAATAATCGCTATTCTGACTGGCATGAGATGGCATCTCATTGTGGTTTTGATTTGCATTTCTCTAATGATAGTGATGTTAAGCTTTTTTTCATATGTTTGTTGGCCACATGTATGCTTCCTTTGAAAATTGTCTGTTCATGTCCTTTGCTGACTTTTTAATGGGATTTTTTTTTCTTGTAAGTTTGCTTAAGTTCCTTGTAGATTCTGGGTATTAGATCTTTGTCAGATGGATAGATTGCAAAAATTTTCTCCCATTCTGTATGTTGTCCATTCACTCTGATGATAGTTTCTTTTGCTGTGCAAAAGCTCTTTAGTTGAATTAGATCCCATTTGTCAATTTTTGCTTTTGTTGCAATTGCTTTTGGCAATTTCATCATAAAATCTTTGCTCATGCCTATGTCCTGAATAGTCTTGCCTAGATTTTCATCTAGGGTGTTTATAATTTTGGGTTTTACATTTAAGCCTCAATCCATCTTGAGTTAATTTTTGTATAAGGTGTAATGAAGGGGTCCAGTTTCAATTTTCTGCATATGGTCATCCACTTGTTAGAGCACCATTTGTTAAGTAGGGAATCCTTTCCCGTTGCTTGCTTTGGTCAGGTTTGTCAAAGATCAGATGGTTGTAGATATGCAGTTTTATTTCTGAGTTATCTATTCTGTTCCATTGTTCTGTGTGCCTGTTTTTCTACAAGTACCATGCTTTTCTAGTTACTGTAACCTTGTGGTATAGTTTGAAGTCAGGTAGTGTGATGCCTCCAGCTTTGTTCTTTTTGCTTAGGATTGTCCTGGCTATGTGAGCTCTTTTTTGGTTCCTTATGATTTTTTAAATAGATTTTTCTAATTCTGTGAAGAATGTAAATGGTAGTTTAATGGGAATGACATTGAATCTATAAATTGCTCTGGGCAGTATGGTCATTTTTGCGACATTGATTCTTCCTATTCATGAGCATGGAATGATTTTCCATCTGCTTGTGTCCTCTCTGATGTCCTTGAGCAGTGGTTTGTAGTTCTTCTTGAAGAGGTTCTTCACCTCCCTTGTTAGCTGTATTCCTAGGTATTTTATTCTCTTTGTGACAATTGTGAAAGGGAGTTCATTTATGATTTGGCTCTCTGCTTGTCTGTTATTGGTGTATAGGAATGCTTGTGATTTCTGCACATTGATTTTGTATCTTGAGACTTTGTTGAAGTTGGTTATCAGCTTAAGAAGCTTTTGGGCTGAGTCCATGGGGTTTTTTAGATATCGGATCATGTCATCTGCAAACAAAGACAATTTGACTTCCTCTTTTCCTATTTGAATACACTTTATTTTTTTCTCTTGCCTGATTGCCCTGGCCAGAACTTCCAATATTATGTTGAATAAGAGTAGCAAGAGAGGACATCCTTGTCTTGTGCCAGTTTTCAAGGGGAATGCTTCCAGCTTTTGACCATTCAGTATGATATTGGCCGTGGGTTTGTTATAAATGGCTCTTATCATTTTGAGGTATGTTCCTTCAATATCTAGTTTATTGAGACTTTTTAACATGAAGCAGTGTTTAATTTTATCAAAGGCCTTTTCTGTGTTTATTGAGATAAGCATGTAGTTTTTGTCTTTAGTTCTGTTTATGTATTAATTACATTTATTGATTTGCTTATGTTGAAACTACCTTGCATCCAGGGACTTGATCATGATGGATAAGCTTTTCGATGTGCTGCTGGATTTGGTTTGCCAGTATTTTGTTGAGGATTTTTGATCAGTGTTCATCAGGAATATTGGCCTGAAGTTTTCTTCTTCTTCTTTTTTTTTTAATCTCTGCCAGGTTTTGGTATCAGGATGATACTGGCCTCATAAAATGAGTTAGGGAGGAGTCCCTCCATTTCAATTGTTTGAAATTGTTTCAGAGGAAATGGTACCAGCTCCTCTTTGTGCCTCTGGTAGAATTCAGCTGTAAATCCATCTGTTCCTGGTTTTTTTTGATTGATAGGCTATTTATTACTGCCTCAATTTCAGAGCTTGTTATTGATCTGTTCAGGGATTCAGCTTCTTGCTGGTTCAGTCTTGGGAGGGTGTATGTGCCCAGGAATTTATCCATTTTTTCTAGATTTTCCAGTTTATTTGCATAGAAGTGTTTATAGTATTCTCTGATGGTTGTT
This sequence comes from Homo sapiens, assembly GCF_000001405.40. NCBI lineage: Eukaryota > Metazoa > Chordata > Mammalia > Primates > Hominidae > Homo > Homo sapiens. Next base: position 75,684,960 of record NC_000011.10, read on the forward strand.
TTTATTTCTGTGGGGTCAGTGGTGTTATCCCCCTTATCATTTCTGATTGTGTTTATTTGAATCTTCTCTCTTTTCTTCTTTATTAGTCTAGCTAGCGGTCTATTTTATTAATTTTTTTCAAAAAACATCTCCTGGATTCATTGACTTTTTGAACTTTTCATGTCTCTATCTCCTTCAGTTCTGCTCTGAGCTTTGTTATTTCCTGTCTTCTGCTAGCTCTGGGGTTTATCTGCCATTGGTTTTCTAGTTATTTTAGTTATGATGTCAGGGTGTCAATTTGAGATCTTTCTGGTTTTTTGATGTGGGCATTTAGTGCTATAAATTTTCCTCTTAACACTGCTTTAGCTGCATCCCAGAGATTCTGGTATATTGTCTCTTTGTTCTCTTTAGTTTCAAAGAACTTCTTGATTTCTGCCTTAATTTCATTATTTGCCCAGAAGTCATCCAGGAGCAGGTTGTTCAATTTCCATGTAGTTGTGTGGTTTTGAGTGGGTTTCTTAATCTTGAGTTGTAATTTGATTGTGCTGTGATCTGAGAGACTGTTTGTTATGATTTCAGTTTTTTTGCATCTGTTGAGGAGTGTTTTAGTTCTCATTATGTGATCAATTTTAGAGTAAGTGCCATGTGGCACTGAGAAAAATGCATATTCTGTTGTTTTGCAGTGAAGAGTTGTGTAGATATCTATCAGGTCCACTTGGTCCAGAGCTGAGTTCAAGTCCCAAATATCTTTGTTAATTTTCTATCTCAATAATCTGTCTAATACTGACAGTGGAGTATTAATGTCTCCCACTATTATTGTGTCAGGGCCCAAGTCTCTTTGTAGGTCTTTAAGAATTTGTTTTATGAATCTGGGTGCTCCTGTATTGGGTGCATATACATTTAGGATAGTTAGCTCTTATTGAATTGAACCCTTTACCATTATATAATGTCCTTGTTTATCTTTTTTTACCTTTGTTGGCTTAAAGTCTATTTTGTCAGAAACTAGGATTGCAACCCCTGCTTTTTTCTGCTTTCCATTTGCTTGGTAAATTTGTCTCCATCCCTTTATTTTGAGCTTATGTGTGTGTTTGTACTTGAGATGTGTCTCTTGAATACAGCACACTAATGGGTCTTGTCTTTTTATCCAGCTTGCCATTCTGTGTCTTTTAATTGGGGTATTTAGCCCATTTACATTTAAGGTTAATATGGTTATGTGTGAATTTGATCCTGTCATCAAGATGCTGCTTTGTTTATTTTGCAAACTTGTTAATGTAGTTGTTTCATAGTGTCGTTGGTCTGTGTACTTCAGTTTTTGTAGTGGCTGGTAATGATTTTTCCTTTCTATGTTTAGTGGTTAGTGCTTCCTTCAGGAGCTCTTGCAAGGCAGGCCTGGTGACGAAATCTCTCAGCATTTGCTTGTCTGAAAAGGATTTTATTTCTCCTCTGCTTATAAAGCTTAGTTTGGCTGGATATGAAATTCTAGGTTGGAAATTCTTTTCTTTAAGAATGTTGAATACTGGCCCCCAATCTCTTCTGGCTTATAGGGTTTCCGCTGAGAGGTCCTCTGTTAGTCTGATGGGCTTCCCTTGGTAGGTGACCTGGCCTTTCTCTTTGGCTGCCCTTAACATTTTTCCTCATTTTGACCTTGGAGAATCTAATGATTATGTCTTGGGGTTGATCTTCTCATGGAGTATCTAACTGGGGCTCTCTGGATTTCCTAAATTTGAATGTTGGCCTGTCTTGCTAGGTTGGGGAAGTTCTTCTGGATGATTTCCTGAAGTGTGTTTTCCAACTTGATTCCATTCTCCCCATCTCTTTCAGGTACTCCAATCAGTTGTAGGTTTGGTCTTTATACATAGTCTCATAGTTCTTGGAGGTTTTGTTCATTCCTTCTCATTCTTGTTTCTCTAATCTTGTCAACCTGCCTCATTTCAGCATGATAGTCTTCAAGCTCTGATATTCTTTCTTCCACTTGATTGATTTGGTTATTGACACTTGTGTTTGCATCATGAAGTTCTTGTGCTGTATTTTTAAGCTCCATCAGGTCATTTGTGTTCCTTTCTAAACTGGTTATTCTAGTTAACAGCTCCTGTACACTTTTGTCATGGTTCTTAGCTTCTTTGCATTGGGTTAGAACATAATCCTTTACCTCAGTGAAGTTCATTATTACCCACTTTCTGAAGCCTACTTCTGTCAGTTAATCCATCTCAGCTTCAGCCCAGTTCTGTGCCCTTGATGGAGAGGTTTTGCAATCATTTGGAGGAAAAGAGGCATTCTGGCTTTTGAAATTTTCAGCGTTTTTGCATTGGTTTTTCCTCATCTGTGTGAATTTACCTACCTTTTCTCTTTGAGGCTGTTTACCTTTGGATGGGTTTTTTGTAGGGCCTTTTTTGTTGATGTTGGTGTTGTTGCTTTCTATTTGTTTTTCTTCTAACAGTCAGGCCCCTCTTCTGCAGGTCTGCAGCAGTTTGCTGGGGGTCCACTCCGGACCCTGTTTGCATTGGTATCCCCAGTGGAGGCTGCAGAACAGCAAAGATTGCTGCCTGCTCCCTCCTCCAGAAGCTTCATGCAAGAGAGGTACTGATCTGATGCCAGTCAGAACTCTCCTGTATGAGGTGTCTGGCCACCCCTGTTGGGAGGTCTCACCCAGTCAGGAGGCATGGGATCAGGGTCCCGCTTAAGGAAGCAGTCTGGCTGCCCCTTAGCAGAGCTGGTGCACTGTGCTGGGGGAATCCCCCTCATCTGGATTGCCTGGACTCTTCAGAGCCAGCAGGCAAGAAAGATTAAGTCCACTGAACCTGAGACCATGGCCACCTGTCCTCCCAGATGCTCTGTTCCAAGGAGATGAGAGTTCTGTCTGTACACCCCTGGCTAGAGTTGCTGGAATCCTGCAGGGAGGCCCTGGCTAGTTAGGAGGATAGGTCCAGGTCCTACCTAAAGAAGCAGTCTGGCCACGATCTGCCACAGCTGCTGTGCTGCACTGTGGAGAATACTGCTCAGTCCAAACTGCCCAGCCTCCCTAACACTGGCCGGGGAAAACCACTGACTAGAGCTGCAGTAATGGTGATCGCCCCTACCCCTGGGAACTGGTCGTCTTAGGCAGACTCCAGGCTGTTGTGGTGGCCTGAGAGGATTCCAAGTCAGTGGGTCTTAGCTTGTGAGGTTCCATGGGAGTGGGACCCACTGAGGGAGGCTGCTTGCCTCCCTGGCTTCAGTACCCTTTCCATGAGAGTGGATAGTTCTCCTGCCACCCTGGAGTTCCGGGAGCCACCAGAGTATGTAAAGATCCTGCAGCTCAGTGCCTGCCCCATTGGTTGCTGACCGGTGCCCCTGTCGTGGGTATGCCCAGTTTTGTGCTTGGGACCCAAGGTCCTGGTAGTGTTGGCACACGAAGGAATCTTCTGATCCACAGATTGCAAAAATCCGTGGGAAAAGTGTAGAATCCCAGGCAGGTAGCATAGTCCCTCACCACCTCCCTTGGCTGGGGGAGGGAGGTCCCTTTGCTCTGTGCAGCTCCTGGGTGAATCGTCACCCCACCCTGCTTTTCGTTCCTCTCCATGGGTCGTGCCAACCTTCTATCCAGTCCCACTGAGAACATCCGTGTCCCTCAGTTGACAGAAATCACTCGCCTTTTGCGTTTGTCTTGGTGGGAGAAACAGACCAGAGCTGTTTCTACTTGACCATCTTGGCCCCTCCCCCCCATTTTAAATTTTGATGCCCAAATTGTTCCAGATTTTCCAGTGAGAGACCCTTGGTGACAGCTCCGTAGCTCACTTAAATAAAATGACACAGATACATTTTAGGTTCCATACTGAGCATACTCCGTCTTCCTTCCTTCCTTACCACCATATGGAAGATGACATGGATGCATGTTTTTGTTTTTGTTTTTTTACACATATGTGTACCTATAATAAATCTGTATTCTTTGTGTATTTAACATTATTTTTTTCCCGAATGGTTATCATGCTTTGTGAAACTCTTACAATGTGCCTCTTTCACTTATCAATAGGAATGTGAGATTTATCCATGCTGATACATCTAAATCTGGTTAGGCCATTTTAACTGCTCTCCAGTAGTCTGTTGTATGATAAACCACTTAAATACACCCCCCCAACACACACACACCCACATACACACATATACATCTGCTGAGGAACAGTTAGGTTGTTCCTACTTTTTAGCTATTACAAATAATGCAGCGCGTTTTTCCTTATATATGTCTCCATTGCCTATGTGAAAACAATTCTCTAGGGTTGATAATCCAGAAGTAGAGTTTCTGAGTCATAGGGTATATGCTGCTTTGAATATACGAGGAACAAATTCTCTCCAAAATGGTTGTACCAGTTTATACTCCCACCTGCAGTATGTGGGAGTTTCTGTTTCTCAATCTCCTCACCAATATCTGTTATAACCAGACTTTAAAACTTTTGCCGTTCGGAAGGGTGTGAAATGTTGTATCATGGTGTTTAAATTTGAATACTAGTAAGGCTGAACATCTTTTTATGTGCTTATTGCCTATTGGAGTTTCTGTTTTGCTGCTCATGTTTTGTTCTGTTTTGCCTTGACCCACTTTTCTATCAGGTTGTTTGACTTTGAAAAATTATTTTATAAAAGTTTCTAATACAGCCTGCATATTAATCACCCATGGTTTATGTGCATTGCAAATATCATCTCCCAGGCTGTGGCTTATCTTTCAATCATGTTTATAGTATCTTTTGACATACAGAGCCTTCAAATTTTAATGTAGTCAAACTTATCAATCTATTGCTTTGTGAGCTGCACTTTCTGCATGTTTAAGAAAACTTCCCTGCTCTGATGTCATGAAGATATTACCTTACATTATATTTTTTAAGTTTTTTGTCTTTATATTTTTAGTCTATCTTTTGTGTGTAATGTGAAGTAGTATAGCAGACTATCCTTCTTCCTTACTTAGAGCACCCCAGGTTATTCCTGTTCAGGTCAGCAGTGTACTTCTCTTTCTGGACTTCCTTGTAGCCAGAAAAGGTCATGTGACATGGTTCTGCCCATTGAGGCATGAGAGAAGGGGATTTCTGTGAAATGTTATGATTTCTTTCTTTCTTGATATGAGTGTATTTCCATCTACCTTCCTTCTTCCTTCTTCCTTCTACTTCTTCTTTTCTGAAAAAATGGACATAGGCTAGAGATGAATCACCCTTTTGTCACCATGAGGTCACAAGCTTTGACACAGGAATAATACAGGGTGGTCACAGGAGAATAGAAAATTCCAGGCAGCAGTTTTACATGACTAGCAAAAGAAAACTTGAAATAGCTACAGAAGCTAGGGATTGACAAGACTCTGAAAACCAAAGTTTTGGACCAAGCTGGCTAAGACCAACCGGACACAACATGGTGCTGGATTTGACCTAGGTTTCACTTAGGACCTCATTATGCATTCATTAACATACACATCACACTCGCACCAGCCCCATGACAGTTTCAGGAACACCCATATTTGGTGTAAAAATGGGTGGCACTACAATTCTGAGAAATCTTCACCTTTTTCCAGGAATTTTCATGAATATTCCACCCCCTGGTTAAAGAAACCCATAAAGGTGGAAACCCCAAACTCCACTGTGTGACTCGCTTGAGTACACCCACACTCCCCTTTCTTGAGTATGTACTATTTGCTTTGCAATAAATCTCTGTACTTTCACTATTTTCTTGCTTGTCCTTGAATTCATTCTCTCGACGGTGTCAAGAACGTGGACACTGGCTGGGGCCGCAGTCCCACAGGTGTTTGGGGACCTCTCCCCACCCACTGGGATGAACTTGAAGACAGAAACTGCACACTAAAGATTGTAAATGGACAGGCAGAGAGAATATGAAACATTAATGGCATTGTGGAGATGCTACACCACTCTGCCTCTAGGTTCTTTTTAATCTTCATAGTTTTCTTCTTTTGTTCATTTTTGGGTTTCTTTTTATGAGAGAAAATTAATCCATTTTTCATTAGGCTGCTTTCATGTGGCTTGTAGCTGAACGTAAATCCTAGCGATAAAGATAAGAATCTATTTTTTTCATGTTCTTTAAGCATGGTTATTTGAATAGTTTACCCTTTCCTCACTGATTAATAATGCTTCCTCTAGTATATAACAAGTTTTTGTATGTAGGTGGATCTGTTTCTAAACTCTATATCCTGTTTTATTGGTCTATTTATTTACCCTGTGCTTAAATTATACTCAAGAGTTATTCTAGTTCTTAATACTTGGTAGGGCAAATCTCTCCTCCTTCTTCTCCTCTTCTTCTCCCTTTTCTTTCTTCCTTTTTTTTTTTTTTCCTGACACAGAGTCTTGCTCTGTTACCCAGGCTGGAGTGCAGTGGCCTGATCTCGGCTCACTGCAACCTCCCCCTCCCACGTTCAAGCAATTCTCCTGTCTCAGCCTCCCTAGTAGCTGTGATTACAGGTGTGCACCACCATGCCTGGTTAATTTTTGTATTTTTGTAGAGGTGGGGTTTCCCCATGTTGGCCAGGCTAGTCTCGAACTCCTGACCTCAGGTGATCTGCCCCCGCTCTGCCTCCCAAAGTTCTGGGATTACAGGTATGAGCCACCACGCCTGGCCTCCTTTTTCTTTTAAGTTGTCATTCATTTTTTCACAATTTTTTTTGAGCACCTACTGTGTACCAGGCACTGTTCTATACTCTGGGATGTAAAATTTATGCCCTGTTCCATACTCTGGGATGTAAAATATTTCTCTCATAGTGCTTACATTGGATTGGAAGCCTTGTCCTTAAGACTTCCCTGTTAATTTTAGAATCAGCTTGAAAAACTCTGAAAACTTTAATGAAAAATGTTTTATGGAATTGCATTGAACTTATTGAATATTTAAGAAGAATTTTCATTTTATGACTTTTGAGACATTCCACTCATAAAGATGGAAAATTTCTCTATTCACTTCAAGAGTGATTTTTGTTGTAATTGGAAATGGCATATCTTTTTAACATTTTATTTTTAAATAATTTTAGACTTGCAGGTTGCAAAAATAGCTCAGAGAAGTCCTGGTACCCATCATCCAGGCTTTCCCAATGGTGACATCTTAATTGCAGCACTTTATCAAGACAAGGAAAGGACCACACAATTAACTAGACTACAGACCTTAATTGGAGTTTACCAGTTTTTGCATGACTCATGTTTTGGGTACATTTTCGCATGTGGTTCTGTGACTTTTTTTTTTTTTCTTTTTGAGATGGAGTCTCGCTCTGTCGTCCAGGCTAGAGAACAGTGGTGTGATCTCGGCTCACTGCAACCTCTGCCTCCCGGGTTCAAGTGATTCTCCTGCCTCAGCCTCCTGAGTAGCTGGGATTACAGGCACGCCCGGCTAATTTTTGTATTTTTAGTAGAGACAGGGTTTCACCATGTTGGTCAGGCTCATCTCGAACTCCTGACCTCATGATCTGCCTTCCTCGGCCTCCCAAAGTGCTGGGATTACAGGCGTGAGCCACCGCTCCCAGCCAGTTCTATGACATTTTATTCCACCTATAGATTTATATCACTACCACCACAATCAAGATACACAACTGTTCATCACTACAAAGGAATTCCTTCCTGCTACCACTTCGTAATCACACCCTCTGCTGATTACCCCGATTTCCTCTGGCAACAACTGATCTATTCTCTACCTCTAAAATTTTACGTTTGAGAATGTTACATAGGTGGAATTATATAGCATGCAACCTTTTGAGGTTGGATTTTTCATTCAGTATAATGTCTTAAGATCCATCCAAGTTTTCGCGTGTATCCACAGTTTGTTCCTTTTTGTTGTATGTAGTATTCCGTTGTCTGTATAGACCATGTTTTGTTTAAATATTTACCCATGGAAGGACATTTGGGTTGTTTCCATTTAGGGATATTAAGGTATTATACATCTACAAACATTTATGTACAAGCTTTTTCTTGTGAACGCATTTTCAATTCTCTAGGATAAATACCTGGGAGTATGATTTCCAGATTATAAGGTAAGTGTCTGTTTAACTTTTTAAGAAACTGCCAAACTGATTTCCAGACTGGCTGTAGTATTTCACATTCCCACTAGCAATGGATGAGATATCCAGTTTATCTACATTCTTATCAGCATTTGACACTGCCAGTACTTTTTATTTTAGCCCTTGTAACAGGGGTGCAGTGGTGTTATATCATGGTTTATTTTATTTTTATAATTTCAACTTCTATTTCGGATTCAGAGGATACACGTGCAGGTTTGTTACATGGGTATATTGTGTTATGCTGAGGTGTGGGGTATGCCTGATCCCGTCATCCAGGTAGTGAGCATAGTACCAACAGGTAGTATTTTAGGCCTTGTTTCCCTCTCTCCCCACTCTAGTAGTCCCCAGTGCCTATTGTTCCTATCTTTATGTCCATGTGTACCCAATGTTTAGCTCCCACTAATAAGTGAGAACATCTGGTATTTGGTTTTCTGTTCCTGTGTTAATTTGCTTAGGATAATAGTTTATAGTTTGAGGTCTTAGATTTACATCTTTAATCCATCTTGAGTTAATTTTTGTATATGGTGAATGGTAGGGGTCTAGTTTCATTCTTCTGCGTATGGCTAGCCAGCTATCTATCCCTCCAGTTGAGTTAAGTGTTTAAGTTCCTTATAGAACATACATCTTGCTGCTGCAAAATACATGATTTCATTTTTTTTTTTTTTTTTGAGATGGAGCTTGCTCTGTTGCCCAAGCTGGAGTGCAGTGGCGCAATCTCGGCTCACTGCAGCCTTGACCTCCCAGGCTCAAGTGATCCTCCTACCTCAGCCTCCCAACTAGCTGGGAACACAGGCATGCACCACCATGCCTGGCTAATTTTTGTGTTTTTTGTAGAGACAGCAGTCTCACTATGTTGCCTAGGCTGGTCTGGAACTCCTGGGCTCAAGCAATCCTCCTGCCTCAGCCTCCCAAAGTGCATGAACCACCACGCCTAGCTTGATTTCATTCTCTTTTATGGCTACATAGTATTCCATGATGTATACGTACCACATTTTCTCTGTCCAGTCCACCATTGATGGACACTTAGTTTGATTCCATGTCTTTGCTGTTGTGAATAGTGCTGCAATGAACATGTACATGCATGTTTCTTTTTTGTAGAATGATTTCGTTTCATTTAGAGATATACACAGTAGTGGGATTACCGGGTCAAATGGTAGTTCCATTTTTAGTTCTTTGAGAAATCTCCAAACTACTTTCCACAGTGGCTGAACTAATTTACATTCCCACCAGCAGTGTATAAGCATTCTTTTTTCTCCACAGCCCAGCCAGCGTCTGTTATTTTTTGTCTTTTTAATAGTAGCCATTCTGACTGGTCTGAGATGGTATCTCATCGTGGTTTTGATTTGTGCTTCTCTGATGATTAGTGATGTTGAGAATTTTTTCATATGTTTGTTGTATATCTCCTTTTGAGACTTCTCGAAAGGAGTGTCTGTTCATGTCCTTTGCCCACTTTTTGATGGGGTTATTTGTTTTTTGCTTGTCGAGTTGTTTAATTTCCTTATAGATTCTGGAATTAGACCTTTGTCAGATGCATAGTTTGCAAATATTTTCTCCCATTCTGTAGGTAGTCTGTTTACGATGCTGATAATTTTTTTTCTTGCCGTGTGGAAGCTCTATAGTTTAATTAGGTCTCACTCATCAATTTTTTTTTTTTTTGCAATTGCTTTTGAGGACTTAGTCATAAACTCTTTGCCAAGGCTGATGTCCAAAATGGTATTTCCTAGGTTTTCTTCTAGGATTTTTATAGTTTGAGATCTTAGATTTACATCCTTAATCCATCTTGAATTAATTTTTGTACATGGTGAGAGGCAGGGGTCTAGTTTCATGCTTCTGCATATGGCTAGCCAACTATCCCAGCACCATTTATTGAATAGAGAGTCCTTTCTTCATTGCTTATTTTTGTCAACTTTGTCAAAGATCAGATGATCGTAGGTGTGCAGCTTTGTTTCTGAGTTCTCTATTCTGTTCCATTGGTCTATGTGTCTGTTTTTGTACCAATACCACGCTGTTTTGGTAACTGTAGCCTTATACTATAGTTTGTAGTTGGGTAATGTGATATATTCAGCTTTGTTCTTTTTGCTTAGGATTGCTTTGGGTATTTGGGCTCTTTTTTGGTTCCATATGAATTTTAGAAGAGTTTTTTCTAATTTTCTTCTATCTCTTTTATCTAATCAAATTGCTTTGAATATAAATATAGAAATAGCATTGAATCTGCAGATTGCTTTGGGAAGTGCAGCCATTTTAAATTATGTTAATTCTTCCAGTTCATGACATGGAATATTTTCCATTGCTCTGTCATCTCTGATTTATTTCAGCAGTGTTTTGTAGTTCTTCTTGTAGAGATCTTTTACCTCCTTGGTTAGATGTATTTCTAACTATTTTACTTTTTGTGTGATGATTGTATATAGGATTGCATTCTTGATTTGGCTCTCAGCTTGAATGCTATTGGTGTATATAAATGCTGCTGACTTTTGTACTTTGATTTTGTATCTTGAAATTTGACTAAAGTCATTTATCAGGTCGAGGAGCCTCTTGGTAGAGTTTTTAGGGTTTTTTAGGTATAGAATCAAATCATCAGTGAAGAGAGAATTTGATTTCTTCTTTTCCTATTTGGATGCCCTTTATTTCCTTCTCTTGCCTAATTGTTCTGGCTAGGATTTCCAGTACTATGTTGAACAGGAGTGGTGAGAGTGGGTATGCTTGACTTGTTCTTGTTCTTTAGGGGGAGTGCTTCCAGCTTTTGCCTGTTCAGTATGATGTTGGCTGTGGATTTATCATGGATGGCTCTTATTACCTTATTTTGAGATATGTTCCTTCAGTGCCTAGTTTGTTGAGGATTTTTATCATGAAAGAATGTTGGATCTTATTGAAAGCTTTTGCTGTCTATTGAGATGATCATATGGCTTTTGTTTTTAATTCTGTTTGTGTGGTGAATTACATTTATTGATTTGAGTATTTGAGCCAACCTTGCATCCCATGGATAAAGCCTACTTGATCATGATGAATTAACTTTTTTTTTTTTTTTTGAGATGGAGTTTTGCTCTTGTTGTCCAGGCTGGAGTGCAATAGTGCAATCTCGGCTCACTGCAACTTCTGCCTCCTGGGTTCAAGCGGTTCTCCTGCCTCAACCTCCTGAGTAGCTGGGATTATAGGCACCCTCCACCATGCCTGACTAATTTTTGTATTTTCAGTAGAGATGGGGTTTTACCATGTTGGCCAGGCTGGTCTCGAACTCCTGACCTCAGGTGATCTGCCTGCCTTGGCCTCCCAAAGTGCTGGGATTACAGGCGTGAGCCACTGTGCCCGGCCTGAATTAACTTTTTGATGTGCTACTGGATTTGGTTTGCTGGTATTTTGTTGAGGATGTTTGCATCTATGTTATTAGGGATATTGGCCTGTAGTTTCCTTTTTCATTGTGTCTTTGCCAAGTTTTTGTATCAGGGTGACGTTGGCTTTGTAGAATTAGTTATGGAGGAGTCTCCCTCTTCCTTGATGTTTTGGAACAGTTTCAGTAGAATTAGTACCAGCTCTTCTCTGTAGGTCTCGTAGAATTCAGCTGTGAATCCACCTGAGTCAGGGCTTTTTTGTTGGTGGTAGTGGTAGGTCTTTATCGACTGATTCAATTTTAGGACTTGATATTGGTCTGTTCAGGGTTTCAATTTCTTCCCGATTCAATCTTGTGAGGTTGTGTGTTTCCAGGAATTTATTCATCCCTCTGGATTTTCTAGTTTGCGTGCAGAGAGGCGTTCATAATAGTCTTTGAGGATCTTTTGTATTTCTGTGGGATTGGTTGTAATGTGACCTTTGTTGTTTCTGATTGTGCTTATTTGGATCTTCTCTCTTTTTTCCTTTGTTAATTTTGCTAGTGGTCTATTGATCTTGCTTATCCTTTCACAATATTAAAACCATATTATGGCTTTAATTTGTATTTCCCTGATGTCTAGTGATGTTAATATATTTTCAGTGCTTGTTTTATTTTACTTTTTTTGTTTTTTTTTTAATTTATTATTTTCATAAAGATGGCGTCCTGCCATGTTGGCCAGGCTGGTCTTGAACTCCTGGTCTCAAGCAATCCTCCTGCTTTAGCCTCCCAAAGCTCTGGGATTACAGGTGTTTGCCACCATGCCCAGCCTCAGTGCTTCTTTTACATATTTAAAAATTACATTTATCATTTTAATTGTAATCATAAACAACATGGTTATTAAAATTTTTGCATGTATTGATCTCCATTTAGCAACTATACTAAACTTCCTAGTTTTAGTAGTTCATAGGTTATCTTGAATGGCTTGTTCACATAATGACAATTTTGCCTCCTTTCTCATTTTTATACCTCTCATTTCTTTCTCTTATTCAATTGTTCCTCTTATATCTCTAGAATAATTTTTCTGACTTTAATGGAAGTGTTTCCAGTATCTCACCATTAAGCATAATGTTGACTTTTGGCATAAAATATTTAGAAACTGTACATCTACTGTTATTTGACTAAAAAAGTGTTTTAAAAATCAAGAATTAATGAATTTATCAAATACCTTTCAGTCTTTTTAGAGATGATCATGCCTTTTCCACTTTAATATTAAATTATTCTTGCCTTTTTGGTATAATATCAATTTGGTTGTGATGTGTTGTTCTTTCAATGTGCTTCAGAATTCTACTTACTAAGATGTTAAAGATTTTTTGCATTAATTTCATAAATAAGCTTGGTCTGCCCATTTCTTTGTACTGCACCTTGTTAGAATGGCCAACAGTATCACAATGACTATATTTATTCATTTATTAAAGAAAGGTCTTGCTTTGTCACCTAACCTGGAGTGTAGTGGCACAATCATGGCTCACTGCAGCCTCGACCTCCTGGACTCAAGCCATCCTCCCACCTCAGCCTCCCAAGTAGCTGGGACTACTGGCATCCACCATCACACCCAGCATTTTTTTTTTACTTTTTGTAGAGACAGGGACTCATCATGTTCCCCAGGCTGGTCTCAAACTCTTGGCCTCAAGGGATCCCCCCACCTTGCCTTCCCAAAGTGTTGGGATTACAGGTGTGAGCCACCATGCCTAGCCATGATGACTTCATAAAAAGCGTGTGGATGCTTACATTCTCTGTGCTCTGTAACGGTGCAAATGGAATTGGAGTTATCTCTTTACTACTGCCTTGACATAACTCACCTATGAATCATCTGCACCTGGGGCTTTTGGGGAGTAGCTTGTTGCCTACTTGCCAGAGAGATCATGTCATTCCCATTTTAAGACTCTTCAGTAGCTTCCCACTGCTCCTAGAATAAAATCTGTACTCCTTCCCAGGGCCTTCAAGGCCCTGCATAACCTTGCACAGGTCTATGAAACACCTCCTCCCCTGTAGTCTCCCACTGTTCACTGCCCTCCAGTCATACAGCTGCCTTTCTGGTCCTGAAACACATCAGGCGCTTCCCAGCCCAGGGACCTTTGAACTTGCTGGTTCTTCTGCCTGGAATGCACTTCTTTCAGCTCTTTACTTGACTGGTGTATTCTGTCCTTCAGGTGTTGCTTCATATCAGTTTTTCAAACAAGCCCTGCTTACCCCTCTTATCTGGTATGAGATCTGTTGTCTTTCATCACACTCTTTCCTTAATGTATCACTGATTACGCTCTATAATTATCTTGTTTATTTTTTACTTGCTTATTGTTTGATATCCCACTTTCCAACCCACTGTTGACTGCAAATTCCTTTGGGGGAATCCCCCAGGATTTTGCCCGTCTTACTTACTCGTTTTTTATTCCCCAGAACTGTGTTTGGCACATAGCAGATAGCAAAAAAAGAAAAGAAAAAGAAAAACAAACTAAAAACGTTGACAGAATGAATCAATCAAAGAACCCATGCAGGAGGGCACTGGGAGGAATAACAGTACTGTACCATTGGCAGAAAAGAGATAAGCAGGAATTAGCTAGGGTGGGGTTCAGGTTTGCACAGGTTTAGTTTCAGATGACAGCAGAGGAGCCAAGTAGAAGCTTCTGATAGACATTTGGAGATATAGGGATGGAGGGAAATGAAGAGGGTTAGGAATGTAGATTTTAGAGCGATCCTTAACCATCAATTAATGTCTTATTCACCCTTCCACTCTTCTATCAATGCATCTGTCTTTTCATCCACCTATGCATGCATCTGTTCACTGATTCATCCCATAAACTTTTGAGTAAATCATGAGCCAAGCCCTGGACCTCAGGGATGCGGTGACCAATAGACAGTCTTGGCCATCAAGACTACACATCTGGAGGGAATGGGAGGGGAGTACTAGACGTAAATTTAAATAGATTGTAGTAAGTAGTGCTATGGGGGAGCCACAAGTGCATCACAGAGGTTATAGTTGAAAACATGTACGTGAAAACAGAAGACAATCTTGAGGGCATGCCAAAAATTAGGCAGCACTGGACAGGAGAAACTGACAAGGGCTGACAAGCAAAGGAAAAAGTAGATCATGATGATAAAAGGAAAAACAGAAGAAAAATTATCTTTTTTTTTGAGACAGAGTCTCGCTCTGTCACCCAGGATGGAGTGCAGTGGTGCAATCTCAGCTCACTGCAACCTCTGTCTCCCTGGTTCAAGCGATTCTCCTGCCTCAGCCTCCTGAGTAGCTGGGATTACAGGTGCATGCCACCATGCCTGGCTAGTGTTTGTATTTTTATTAGAGACGGGGTTTCACCATGTTGGTCAGGCTGGTGTCAAACTCCTGACCTTGTGATCCGCCTGCTCGGCCTCCCAAAGTGCTGGGATTACAGATGTGAGCTACCGTGCCTGGCCAGAAATTATCTTACAGTAGGAAAAACCTGGGCTTTAGAGTCAGAGTGACTATGCGGTGAATCTTAGCCCTGTTTCTTACCAGCTTGGTAACTTTGGAGAAATGATTTATTCTCTCTGAGCCTTGGTCATCTTCTCTGGAAAACAGAGATAACAGTACAAACCTCATAGCAACGTTATGGGGCTGGGCCCTGCCTGATGCACAGGAGGTGCTCACAGATGACGGATGGGTGGTGGGGATGCTGCTGATGGTGGTGGTGGTGATGATGATGATCAATCAGGAGAGTGGTGACTGGGAGGCACTTTAGAGCCCCTGGTCCCTGCTTGTAGAGCAGTATGTTCAACCCTGGGATTTCTTGAGATGTGGATGTGAGAACATCACAGTAAGTTTTGGTGGAGAGAAGAGTGGGCCAAGTCTGTGCCTCCATCTTTTGCAGAGTGACTGCAGTTTGGATGGAAACTGGATACCAGCCATCTACTTTCTGGAAGGAAAATGCATTAGCTGCAATCCATTACACTGATTTGCTAACTCAAAATCTTTCATGATGAGTGCTGAAATTAAGTGATTACATTTTTTTCTATTTAAAAAAATATGCCTTCCCCTTGGACTTAAATAGTAAAATAGTAGGTAGGGTCAAATGCAATGGTCAGGGGAAATAGGTTTTAGTTAGAATCGATTTTGATTTTGATGCATATGGGGGACTGTGGCTTGGAACTTGGCCAAGAGGATCTGCTTTCTGCCTTCTGCACCTCTGCAGAGTGGCGGCACGCTGGACGTACTAGCGGTAGAAGTGAGGGAGCGGAGCCTATTGGGAATAGATCAACACGTCTGTCAGGCAGGTGAAGAGTGATAATACTACCTGCTTAGGCATCCAGCACTGTGCCCGGCACGCATCAGCTATAAAGCAAACAGACCTCCCAGCCCTTTCTCACATAGGTACCCTGACATAGGGTACCTCACATAGGCATCCCAGGTACCCTGGTGGCAAGGACTCTTGAAAAAGGAAAGGAAGCCAGGACAGGGTTGGTCAAACGCTGTGACCGATGAGATTGTGGGCCAAAAGTTGCGAGGGAGGAAACTCCTCTTTATCAAGTGCCTACACAGACTGCCAAGCATGGTGCTAGTGGTTTCATCCTATCACCCATAAGTTGGTATTACTTACCTCATTTTGCAGATGAGGAAATCAGGGCTCAGACGGGGGAAGGGACTTATCCCAAATCATGGAACTCATTCATATTGAACCAGCATATGAATCCAGGCTTTTCTGACCCCATAGCCTCCATTCATTCCCCAAAGCCCTGTGATGTTGGAGTGCTGGGGAAATGGCGTATTGAAAATAAGACTGAGATATGAGAGAGCCAGTGGCTCTGACCTCTCTTCACTTAGCTCAGAGCCATAAATTCTTAGAGAAGCCAAGCTTCAAGAGAGCTGAGTCTGAGCCAGCATCACTAGGGCGGGGAGAGGGGGTGGTGTCAGGGCTGGCAGGAGAGGACAGCAGAAGTATACCAGAGGGGGTTTGGGTACTCAGGATTTCCTGGATCCCACTGGAGAGGGATCCCCAGGCTCAAACCTCTTTCTCTCTTTTTCTCATCCCCAGGCCCTCTGTGACACAGCAGGTGTGGCCTGGATACCTATGGATGTGAGGAGCCTGCCACTCTCCCGCCCCAGCCACCCAGCCCTGGTGTGACTTAGCCCTAAGTTCTTTGGGAGGCCTGGCCTCTTTGCAGAGACCCAGGGACCTTTTATAGCTTCATGGCTTTGGGCCCATAAATTTTTCAAGAACTTACACAAATATTCAAGCCCTGATTTAAAAAAAATTGATGCTAAAATGTGAGCAGAAAACAACATTAAAATTAATACATGTTTAATTAAATGTCTACAGATGTGGTATTATACCAACTAGCCAAGCATAGCCCAGATCAATTCTTACTTAGGTATAATGAATAAATTCAAGTTAAAAAACAAAATGAATAATTTACTCTTCACAAAATTCAAAATTATAACAAACTTAAAAAAAAATTCTGCTGCAGTAAATAGTATTTAATGCAAGAGCTGTGTTATTATACGTGTCATGACCAGGGTGGACATTGGGCCTGTGAAGGCCTCAGAAAGGCTCCACTGGCCTTCCAGGACAATGTCCCTCTTGGTCACAGCAGTGGCTGTGGATGAAGGAGGCTGCAGCTGCCCTCTGGGTGGAGCTGGGTCTCTCAATGCAGGGGGCTGGGGCATGGCTGGGACTGGGGGCATTTGCCATCAGCAGCTGTGGTCTCAGGAACTACTGGAGATGGCGAAGGACAAGGCAGTCCCTCTGGCTACACACAGGAGACCAAAACCCCATCTGTCCTCTTCTCTGCCTGAGCAAGGAGAACAACGCATTCAGCTGTGGGCTCCAGAAACTGCCTCTGGCTGCTGCTGTGTGGAGAAGGGGCTCCATGGAGCGAGCCCAAGGGCAGAAAGATCAGGGAGGTGGTCGTAGCAGGGTCCAGTGAGAGGTGATGGTGGTCTGGCCTGCAGCACGGGTAGTGGAGACACAGAAAAGAAGATGGATTTGAGAGATGTGTCTGAGGCGGAAATAATGGGACTTTGTAAAGGACAGAGAGTGTGAGGTGGAGGAGAAGGAAGAGGCTTGGATGATGTCAGAGTCCTGGGTTGGGGTAGGGGCAGGCGGTGATGCCCACAGGAGCCAGGGAATGAGGAGGGGCACATGTTTGGTATATGCTGATGTCAGTTTGGGATGTGGTGGGCCTGAAGGGCTTGTGAGACATCCAGGGGAAATGGTCCAGGAGGCAAAGTGGTGTGTTGGCTTCACAAGGTGGACCCAAGGTGAGGGCACAGATGAGGACACTCCCCAGGTCAGACAGAGCACAGGCCTAATTCAGTGGAGGCCCAGAGGGCAGAGCCCTTTCCACCCTGGGCCTTCACCTTCTGCGCCTTCCATTTACATCATCCACAAACCTCCCTGGATGTTCAGTTTGGTGGGGAATGAGGCTTGAATGTGGCACCGGTGGGAAGGGTTCCCCACTTTGAGTTCTGTGGGTTTCTACTTTTACCTGGTGGGTGTGGTGGGGTCATAGCAAGCCTCATGAAGAAAGTGGGGTTTGAGGTCAGGAGTTCGAGACCAGCCTGGCCAGGAAGTGGAGTTTGAATTCTTTCTCAAAGGTGGGCCAGTGGTGCATATGGGAGATGACAATGTTAGGCACAGAGAGAAGAGCACAGATGATTGTCATGGCTGTTGAAGAGAATGAAAGAAAAGACAAATTTTAGAACCAAGACATCATGAGCCCCTGTGAGGTACTGTCTTCACTTCCCATGGCAGGTACAACAAATAACCACAAACCAAGTGGTTTGAAACAATTCACATTGATTCTCTGAAGGTCTGGAGGTCGAAAGTCTGAAACAGTTTCACAGGGCTAAGGTCAAGGTATCAGCAAGCCTGGTTCTTCTGGAGGCTCTAAGGGAAGCCTTTGTTTTCTTGCCTCTTTTAGTCTCTAGGGGCTGCCATATTCCTTGGCTGAGGCCCCTTCTTCCATGTTCAAAGTACATCAGATTGGTGAGGACCTTCTCCTGTGACCCTGACCCTCTGCATCGCTCTTATAAGGACGGTGTGATTACACCAGGCACATCCAGCTCCTGCAGGCTAATCCATGATGATTTCAAACTTCTTCATGTAGTCACACCTGCAAAATCCCTCTTGCCATACTAAGTATCTTTCCCAGGTCCTGGGGATTCAAACATGAACATCTTTGGGGGCTTTATCCAGCTGACCACAGGCACCAGCACAGTCATCATCACCAGGGCATGGAGAGCCACATTCAGCCCAGGACCATGTCTAACCCAAGGCCCAGGCTTCATTGCCACTCCAGGCTGACTCTCCTTTTCTTTTTTGAGACGGAGCCTCGCTATGTCGCCAGGCTGGAGTGCAGTGGCGGGAGCTCAGCTCACTGCAACCTTCACCCTCCCTGGTTCAAATGATTCTCCAGCCTCAGCCTCCCAAGTAGCTGGGATTACAAGCGCGAGCCACCACACCTGGCTAGTTTTTGTATTTTTTAGTAGAGACAGGGTTTCACCGTATTGGCCAAGCTGGTCTCCAACTCCTGACATCGTGATCTGCCTGCCTCCGCCTCCCACAGTGCTGGGATTACAGGCCTGAGCCACCACGCCCAGTCTCCAGGCTGACTCTCTAGCAATTCCTGGACAGAATGGCCACAGCTCCTGAGCTGAGGACTTGTCTAGTTTTGCATTAAATTGTATCCCAGTAGTTAGATAAACAAGGCTGGGAATGTCTGGGTTGAACCCAGCTAAATGGGCTCCTTACAGCAGGACTTCTCAGAGCCTTTACCCCATGCTGGATACTGTGACACTCTAAACTTCATTCACCATGGAACCTTTACGAGATAACAACATTTCAAACAGAACACAGTTTGAGCAGTGCTGCATAGGCCAGGCTACTGCATGGGGTGTTCAGCCAGAAGAAAAGAAACCTCAGAAGAGCAGGCACTCCCTTCAGCTCTCAGAAGGGCTATAGTGGGAAGAGACAGCCTTAGTTCCAAGTTCCTTTATTCAACAAGCACACCTGGGTGCTGAGGACAGATTGGTGAATTACATAAACCTGTTTCCTGCCCTAAAGGAGTTTACCATCTATTGTAATAGATAAGGGCTGTGGAGAAATAGACAGGGTACAAAGAGAGGAAATAGGGTGTTCAGAGAAGGTGTCATTTAAACCAAGACCTGGGCTGGGTGCGCTGGCCCACGCCTGTAATCCCAGCACTTTGGGAAGCTGAGGTGGATCACCTGAGGTCAAGAGTTCAAGACCAGCCTGGCCAACATGGTGAAATGCTGTCTCTACTAAAAATACTAAAAAAAAAAAAAAAAAAAAAATTAGCTGGGTGTGGTGGCATGCACCTGTAGTCCCAGCTACTCAGGAGGCCGAGGCAGGAGAACTGCTTGAACCCAGGAGGCAGAGGTTGCTGTGAGCCGAGATCGTGCCATTGCACTCCAGCCTGAGTGACAGAGTGAGACTCCGTCTCAAAACAAAACAAAACAAAAAACCAAGACCTGAAGGAGGACTCGGCAGCACACAGAGTGAGGGGAATGGGCACTCCAGGCCAAAGGAACAGCATGAGCAAAGGCCCTCAGGTGGCTGGCAAAGAATATGGCCTAGTTGAGGAATCAGAAGGATGAAAGGAAGGCAGTGTGGTTAAAACCCAGTGGACATGGATGGAGAAGAGGAGAGGCTTGCTGGGAGAAGGTGCTGGAAATACTAGGTTACACAGGCACTTTGGGCCACAGTGAATAGTTGAAAGTCAGCATATACGTGTTAAGCGAGAAACTGCATAATTAAAACACACAAACACAGACACACAGAACAGTAACAAGCCCATTGTTTGGAGAATAGACAGGGAGAGGCTAGAGGGCAATATTGCATCTGCTGTTTCCACAGTGTCCAGGACAGTTCCTGGTAAGCAGCATGTGCTCATCAATGATTTGTTGAATGAATAAATCAATAAGAGAGGTAGGAGGCTGGGTGCGGTGGCTCAGGCCTGTAATCCGAGCACTTTGGGAGGCTGAGGCAGAAGGATCATTTGAGGTCAAGGGTTCGAGACCAGGTTGGCCAACATAGTGAAAACCCGTCTCTACCAAAAAGACAAATAATTAGCCAGGTGTGATGGCCCACACCTGTAGTCCCAGCTACTCAGGAGGCTGAGGCAAGAGAACCGCTTGAACCCACAAGGTGGAGATTGCAGTGAGCCGAGATGGAGCCACTGTACTCCAGCCTGGGTGACAAAGCGAGACCCTGTCCCCCCGCCCCAAAAAAGAGGTAGAAACATTAGCATGAAGGCTATTGCAGAAGTCCCTGCAGTTGAGGGTGACTTGGAGATGGAAAATGGATGGGAAGAAGCGGTTGCATTCAAGGTATATTTTGGAACTAGAAGCAACAGGACCTGTTCATGGGTTGAAGGTGAAGGTGTAAGGTAAGGGAGGAATCTAGAATGTTTCCTGGGTTTCTGCCTTGAGTAACTGGCTGGAGGATGATGTCATTTCCTGTGAAGGGGAAGATTGGGAGAGATTAAGGGATATAGTCCTGGGTGACCAGGAAGAGAAGCAAGATGCCACCCCTGAACATGTTGGGTTTGAGGTGCCTCGGAGCTACCCAAGTGAAGATACCCAGTTGGCAGTCTGGAGCCCAGAGAAGGGTGAGGGGTGGAGATCTAAACTTGGGAGGCATCGTGCGCAGATGGGTTTTAAAACCATGTCATGAGCAAGATCACCCGGGGAGAGAGGGCAAATAAAGAGAGAAGAAGGCCAGGAACTAGGTGGGTTCAAAACAGTCTTATTAAAACAAACAAACGAAAAAAGAAAGCAGATGAAGAAAGGGGGCGTTACTGTGGTGAGCTGGAGCGATTTGTTTAATACCTCTGAGTTTGTTTCCTCCTCCGTCAAATGAGATAATAATTCCTTCTCATTGGACACACTCCAAAGCTTGCCTGACCACGGACGGGGGCTCAACCGCTGATGGAGTCCGAGCAAAGCTCAGAATTCTCCATCCTGACAAGTCCTGGAGAGGGACAGACTTAACTCTCCTCCAGCCAAAGGCAGCAGGACTAGAGCCTTTAGCCACCTCGGTGGGTGATCCTCCTTATAGCTCGGGCCCTTGCCATGCTTCTCCCGAGCCTGAGCCCGCCCCACGCTGGGCACCAAGTCCACCTTGTCCGCAGCTTCTCAGAATGACCACCAGAGGGCGCAGTTCCTCACCGCGGGCGCTTGCCTGCCTCCTCCCCGCTGCCTCCTCTCCTCCCTCTCATTCCCCTCCTACTGCGCCTCCGCTGGATCCTTCATCCTAACGTCCCTCCCACTTGCCCTGCACGAGGCTCTGTGTCTAACATTGAGGACATGGGGTCCCGGAGCCTGAGGATTTCATGGGCTGGGCAACAAAGGAGAACAGTTATAATCGTGGAGGGAGAGTATGATGAAGGGGAAAGTAAGGGCTGGGGTAAAGAGGCCCAAATTAAACCTAAATTCTGCCGCCTATTAACTGCGAGACCTTAGATACACGGCTTCACTTCCCAGAGCCTGGCGGGACTAACCTATGTTGGAGGGTTGTTGTGAGAGGTACATGACATGTCAGTTTGTATATGTGCCGGCTAGTGATTCTAACAGCATCCACCTCAGAAGGCTGCTTTGAGAATTAAATGAAATAATACACATAGGTTGCCTATTTAATAGTAGACACTCAAAAATCCTAGCTCTTTAAGAAGTATTAATATAAAGAACAACTCACAGTAGGCCCTTAACGCTAGTTCTTTCCCCTATAATTCTATCCCCATCCCTAGTCTGTGGATTTGGAAACAGGCCCAGAGAGGGTCTGTGCTTCCTCAAGGTCACCTAAGGAATGAGAAGCAGAACCGGTACCTGTCATTCTTCTGTGCCCGGCCTAAAGCCAGTAGCACAGACAGAAATCCCGGGTCCTTAGGGCCAAACTGTCAAAAAAAAAAAAAAGTCCTCTTCATTCTTTGCTAAGGGCAAGAGGCCACCAGGGCAGGCCAGGCCTTGCCAGCAGAGGTGGGCACTCAGCACCCAGTGGCTAATGGGGTCCTCTGTATGGCACCCACCAGCAGCACTTGGCTTTGGTCGCAGGTTCATTTGGTTATTTCTTGTTAGATGAATCAGCCTGCTGGCTGAGAGCTCTGAGGCATTCAAGACCTTTAAAAACTGGGCCTAGTGAGGAGCACCTCTGCCCAGCCGCCCCACCATCTGGGAAGTGAGGAGCCCCTCTGCCCGTTCACCACGCAACCCTCCAGGTTCCCCTGAACCCAACATGTTCAAGGGTGGACTTTTGCTTCTCTTCCTGGTCACCCAGGACTATATCCCTTGATCTCTCCCAATCTTCCCCTTCAGAGGAAATGACTTCTGTGTGATCTTTCTGCCCTTCCCAAGTTTGCATTTTTGACATTAAAGTTTACTTTTAAATTAAAAAAAATAAAAAATAAAAAATAAAAACTGGGCCTAATATAATTCCTAATTTTTAGTTCCATGCTTGTCTTCTCCCACTCCTCCACCACTTTATGTTCCAGATACTTTCATTCATCCATTCATGCATGCATGCATGCATGCATTCATTCATTCAATACATTCTCTAATATATGCCAGACCAGAAGGTCTTGCCAGGAGGTCTACAAATAATCTATAGTTAACATCATGCTTAATGATGAGAAACTGGATCCTTTCCCCTTAAGCTTGGGAACCAGGCGAGGATGTTGTCTCTTACCATCTAGTGCAATAAAACAAACGAATAAAAAGAAATAAAAGTTATACAGATTGGGAAGGAAGAAATAAAACTCTTTACTCACAGGTGACGTCGCCGTCTATGTAAAAAAAACCCCAAAGAATCTACAAAAAGTCTCCTGGAACTAGGAAGTTGCCGAGACCAGCTTGGTGGGAGAGACCCTAACCCAGCAGCGCTGGAGGAATTAAAGACATACACACAGAAATATAGAGGTGTGGAGTGGGAAATCAGGTGTCTCACAGCCTTCAGAGCTGACAGCCTCGAAAAGAGATTTACCCACGTATTTATTAACAGCAAGCCAGTGATAAGCATTGTTTCTATAGATTATAGATTAACTTAAAGTATTCCTCAGGGAAACAAAGGGATGGGCCAAAATAAAGGGATGGGTTTGGCTAGTTATCTGCAGCAGGAGCATGTCCTTAAGGCACAGATGGCTCATGCTATTGTTTGTGATTTAAGAACGTCTTTAAGCGGTTATCTGCCCTGGGTGGGCCAGGTGTTCCTTGCTCTCATTCCGGTAAACCCACAACCTTTGTCACGGCCATCACGAACATGTCACAGTGCTGCAGAGATTTTGTTTATGGCCAGTTTTGGGGCCAGTTTATGGCCCGATTTTGGGGGCCTATTCCCAACAGAAGTAAAAATGGCAAGGTCCCAGGACACAAGATCAATATATACAAAAGTTAATTCCTCTTTATTTAATTTATACATTTAATGCAACCCCAACAAAAACATCAATAAACTTTTTTTTTTTGTGGAACTAGACATGTTGATACTGAGCCTCATATGGAAGACGCTGTCTTTAATGTTTTCCTGGCTAATCCTTCATACCTATTTTTCCATATAATGCTCAGTATCAACTTGTTTAGTTCCATTAAAAAGTTGATTAGTGGCCGGACACAGTGGCTCATGCCTGTAATCCTAGCACTTTGGGAGGCTGAGGTGGGCAGATCATGAGGTCAGGAGTTCGAGACCAGCCTGGCCAATATGGTGAAACCCCATCTCTACTAAAAAATA
Source organism: Homo sapiens (assembly GCF_000001405.40). NCBI lineage: Eukaryota > Metazoa > Chordata > Mammalia > Primates > Hominidae > Homo > Homo sapiens. The sequence continues at coordinate 75,709,012 of NC_000011.10, forward strand.
TAAAAATTAGCTGGGTGTGGTGCTGCGCACCTGTATTCCCAGCCACTCAGGAGACTGAGGCAGGAGAATTGCTGGAACCCAGGAGGCGGAGGTTGCGGTGAGCCAAGATCACGCCACTGCACTCCAGCCTGGGTGACAGAGCGAGACTCCATCTCAAAATAAAAATTTATTGGTGTTCTTACTGGGATTGCATTAAATTTATAAATTAAATAAGAAGGAACTTATATTTTTATGATGTTGAGACATCCTAAACAGGAACAAGTGATGTCTTTTCGTTTATTTTACTTCTACTTGAGCATCTTCCAGGAGTGTTGTAAAGTTCTTCTTATATAGCTTTTGCATATTTCTTATTACGTTTATTCCTAAGTAGTTCATCTTCTTTGTTACTATATAAATAGAGTTTTCTCCTTCATTATATTCCCTAACTAGACATTGCTTGTGTATACTGAGGTTATTAATTTTTGTATGTTAATTTTATATCCTGCTATTTCACTGAATTTTCCGTTATCTGGATTAATTTTACCATTCATTCTCTAGGGTTTTCGGGGTATGCAATCATATCATCTGCAAGGGATAAATTTACTCCTTTTCCCCCAAATTCTTGTTTCCTATTGATTTCTCTGACTGCTTTGCCTAATATCTCCAGTACAACATAGAATAGTAGAGGGCCTCTTTGTTTTTTCCTGCACTTAGCAGAAACACTTCCAGTATTTCCCCATTCAAATTCTAGCTTTAACAGGAGTTTGAGACACACCTGGCCAACACGGTGAAACCCCGTCTCTACTAAAAATACAAAAATTAGCCGGGTGTGGTGGCACATGCCTGTAATCCCAGCTACTTGGGAGGCTGAGGCAGGAGAATCGCTTGAATCCAGGAGGCGGAGGTTGCAGTGAGCCGAGATCACGCCACTGCACTCCAGGCTGGCGACAGAGCAAGGCTCCGTCTCAAAAAAAAAAAATCTAGCTTTAGGAACAAGGTATGTATATTTTATTATATTGAGAAAACACCCATTCATTTCACTCTGTGTTGAGTTTTGTCAACAGCTTCTCCAGCATCTATGGAGATACTAATATGATTTTCTCCTTAAATTGATTAATCCTTTGTATTATATTAATGGCTTCCTTAATCCTACCTGTTCATGGTGTATGGCAACATGATGTTGGATTCCATCTTCTAGTATTTTCTAATATAAGATCTCTAATATTTTATTTAAATATTTTGCATCAATTCTCATAAATTATTTGATAAATATGTACTCTTCTTTTTTGCTCTGCTTTTTTTAATTGAGTATAAATATCAATGTTATATTTGCTGTGTAAGAAAGAAATTGGAAATTTTTCTTGAATTTAAGACCTTTGAATCAATTTATGGAGCACTGGGGCTATCTAATCTTTCCAGATTTGCTAAACTTCACCTGTGAAACTGTCTGTGCCTGGTGCTTTTTTTGTGGGATAATTTCTTGATAACTTTCTCTGAGTCTATTATGGAAGTTAACCTGTTTAAGTATTTCTATCTTTAATTGGTTCAGTTTAGTTTACAGCTTGTTTGTATAGAAGTTTACAAAGTAGTTCTAGTTTCTTATGATTTTTAGAAATTTCTTTTGTTTCAATATTTCATTCATTCTCCTTTTTTATTTTTTGTACATGTGTGATTTATCTCTTTTTGTGATAACATTAACTAGTAGTGTATTTTTAATGTAATCTATTAATTATATCTTTGTTTTCTCATCTCTATCACTAATTTCTGCTTTTGTATTTATTACTTTCTTCCTTGGGCTTTCTTTTGAGTTTCTTTGTTATTCTTTTTCTAGATTTTATAACCTAGGAATTTAATTCATTCATTCTTAATCTTTCATTTTTATTTATATATGCATTTCCTCAAAATGAGTTCCATTCAGCGAATTCCAATATTCCAAGAAAAATGTTTTTGAAATTTAAGATGACTATATAATGTATATATAATGTAATAATGTAATGTGTGTATAATGTATATAGAATTTATATGTATTCATGGAACATATATGTATTATATGTATATATATATATATAATGTATATGTAATGTATATCAATGTAGCCTGGACACTTACACTAAACCTCCACTCCAGTAACACCCATAGATTGCCTCTCCTAAGACACATGTGACACCTAAAACATAAGGACACTTTATGTTGGATGACTACAGTCTTAACACCCTGGTCCCATCCGTCACGGCCTCCTTAATATTATGTAAGTTGCTGATTCTATTCAACCAACAAGTGGTAAATACTTTGCTCTTATATATTTGGCTAACCTTGTCTGTTTAGTGCCTATTCCAACAGCCTCTCAGCTTCTGTTTGCCTCCACTGCTGAGGGGACACAATACACCTTTCCAGGGTACCCATGGGGGACCTTCACAGCTTTGTCACCACACACAATCTTTGCAGACAAGATCTTAATGACAACTGCCTTCCCCAGGGGCACAGATATGACATTGCATTGAGGACGTCCTACTCCAAAGAAATGCATTTGATACACACATTGAAGACATTTAACCCCAATATTTCTTAATACTTTTGGGCTCTGGTGGCAACATATTTCTCATTGACAAATTTTATTGCTAAATTAAAATCAACAGGCACTCCTGTGTGTGATCTCAAAAGGCTCCTTCACTGTAAACCTTTGGCAAGCTCCCGTAATGTCTCCTGGAGTCTCTGGATCACTTATGATAGTCATTAGTTGCTTTAGGGCTTCTGATGCAAGATCTTGTCCCTCTTGGCCTCAGGCTATACACCATTAAAACAGCAAATGACTGGCTACCTATGAACTGTCTTGGACATAGAGGCTCTCACAGACCCTGAGCCTGTGACCCTCCATACCCAGTTGTCCATTATGCTTTGAGGTATGGAAACATCACCCCACAAGCTCAGCTTGGCTACCAAGGCCTCCCTAAGACAGGATGGAGCCAACTGGGCCCTCTGGGATATTCCATCTGCAGGAGAGGGTGGCCTCCTCATTCTCTCGGTCCTTTGCCAGATGCCAGGGTGCTGGAAGAGGTCACCCCTCCCCAGGCCCCTTGGCTACCTGGGAAGCCCTTTGGTGTTAACTGAGTGAACAGGAATGGGAGTTCATGGACTGTAGGAACGGCATCGTTAGCCATCACACGTGATGCAGCTTAGTGGAGAGCTGTTCCTTTCCATCCCTTAGCCAGGATGATGAAGGACAGGACCCAAGAAAAAACACACTTGGTCAAACTTCAGGAAGTCATCCTAGCCCTGGCTGTCCTGGCTAACAAATGGTCTCATCTTCACATTCATTATTAATTATTGGGCCATTACCTAAAAATTGTTCCCATCAAGGTAAAAAGCAAATAAACCCCGGGAATCTCTTATTTCACAGACATCAAATTATAAATCAAAATCACATAACTCCATGTTGCAAGGCCTTGCTAGTTCACTGCTTGTTTCTTTCAGAGTTAGAGACATTACTAATAGCTATGAAGGCACACATTTCACTCCTTAGAATACACCACTATGCTGGGCTTCCAGAGGAGGCATCCAATATAAACTTCATGTCCCTGATAGGTCCCAATGGTTGCTCTAATGATGTCCTCAAACAACTTCTTTTCAAATTCCAATACAATAAATACACTAAAGATCTTGAGTTTACCCCAGGTCTTAACCTATTCTTTATAAATTTCAATCTCTCCCCCATCCCTCAAGGGTTAGGGGCCAGATTAAAGATGCATATACTCCTGGGACTCATAACCATAGATTGTTCCTTAGATCAGGCAGCTAGCTGCCCCTCTGATAGGGGACCCATTTGAACCCAAGCTTCCACGCAAAACAAACCCTGTCAGGTGCAGCCGCACACTGTCCTGTTGTTGGTTGGTCTTATCACTACTGCCTTGCCTGCTTCACTGGTTACAATCAGAGGCCCAAAACCTTCAGCAGACCACCGTTTTAACCTCAGCAATTATGACAAGTGCTGAGGCCCACGTTAACTCGAGTAGGTCCCCATGAAAAGGACACACCTGTCCCACATCTCAGATGACATTACCTTTGCCTTATAATTCACCTCTGAAGGTGACATTGCCTCAGATGACACATCTGAACCCAAGACCTTGATGTTGGAGATAGCTTTGCCCCTGGTGCCACAGACGGCTTCACTTCTTACACTAAACCTCTACTCCAGTGATGCCCATGGACTGGCTCTGCTAACACACAAATGGACAGTGTGTAGTTTTGCTTTTCTTTCTGTACTGACTGCCTGCTTAGCTCCTGATCTTGGTATACTCCTTGCTCTCTGCTCAAAGGTACACTGCCACACAGCTCTATACCTCAACAAAACTCTAGCCTGGTGAAAGCCAATCTAGAAGCAATGGCACAACAGATAACAAGTATTTTATAACCTTACCCGGGTTCACAACAACCTTCCTACTTTGCCCTAGGTGAAGGGTTGCTCTATTCACTTGGCTCAACCCCACACAGTGGAGTGGATGCCTGTGAGTGGAGTTTAAGGTCACAGTGGTGCCTCCACATTGTTTGTGTGTTCAGTGATGCTCATCAAATGCCTTGCTCCATGCCTGGCCCACATTTCTCCAGTAGCCTTCAATGTCTCCACTATTTAAGCAGTAGTCGTCACCAAACACAAGGTCATATGCCCAGGCATCACAGGGTCAGTTGTAACAGGAACACACAGAAAAGGTTGCTGTCTAGTCATAGAAATAGACTGGCACACCCAAATGTCTCAAACGGGGGGCCAGAGTTCAGAACTTAGAGGCATCTCTCCAGCCCAGCCCAATGGGCTTTCTGCTTTGCCACTGATTCCTTTAAAGGGACAATTCAGGTATTTGCCTGCAAACTTTAAGTGACTTACACCCCATTCCCTTATATCTACCACTAGTTGTGGGGTTTCTCTCTCTCTCTCTCTGCCTGACTTTGCATTCATGACCCCAGGATGGAGCACTGCCTTCGTGACTCACGGCACCCTCCCTGTCCAGGATTCATAAGTAATAAGTTAGTGAACATATTTTTTATTGTGGGGTGTATTAAATTTGCACCCTCTATCTGAAGAACCAGAGACTACCCCGATGGCTCCCAGAGTCCAAGTAATGGTCAGGCAGACATAAATTGGACACAGATCTGATAAGAACCATCAGGGCATCTGCCAATGTATTTTCCTTTTCTTTTTAACTTTTTTTACACAACCTTTTCTGAATCCAGAGCATCTGCCACTATAAACAAGCTTCCTGTGTGAGGGACTCCCTGGTTGTGGGTCGGACAACTAGGCATTAGGCTGTCCCCCAGGTAAAGGGAGTATCCTATGGAAAACATACTGTAAAACCCCACCCCGCTCAGGCAGTGTTGCTAGCTGCTCCGGTACCGGAACTCTAATTTAGCTGAGGGCTCTTAAAAACAGTGTGGTGCTGGCAGAGATAGATAAGAGGACAAACAGGAGAGAATAAAAGCCCATACACGGACCACGCATCCGTAGAACTGTCTCACATGACAGAGGTGGCATAACATATCGTGGGGAACGGAGGGAGTGTTCAACAAAGAGACTGAAAAAAAATGCTTATCCACATGTCAAAAGCTCAGATTGGAACCTAACTCATACTATCTAAACATCCAGATGAATTAGGACTTACATATAAAAAACAAAACTTCAAAATTTTTAATGAAATGTATAAGTAAGACAAGATTTCCTAGATCCAACCAAACAATGTGTATTTTATAAAAGACTGGAAAATATGACATATTGAAAAAATGTTTGTTCATCAAAGGACATCTTAAAAGACAAGCTAGGGCTGGGCGCGGTGGTTCACGCCTGTTATCCCAGCACTTTGGGAGGCTGAGGAGGGTGAATCACTTGAAGTCAGGAGATCAAGACCAGCCTGGCCAACATGGTGAAACCCCATCTCTACTAAAAATTCAAAAATTAGCTGGACATAGTGGCGGGTGCCTGTAATGCCAGCTACTTGAGAGGCTGAGACAGGAGAATCACTTGAACCTGGGAGGTGGAGGCAGCAGTGAGCCGGGATCGTGCCACTTCACTCCTGCCTGGCAACAGAGTGAGACTCCTTCTCAAAAAAAAAAAAAAGACAAGCTAGAAACTGGGAGAAGAGATTTACAATATATATGCCACACCAAAGGGTTAATATCCTGAGTACATAACGAAGTACAAATGATTATGAAAAGCACAAACAACACTCCAGAGAATTGGGCAAAAATAAAGACCAAGCTTTTCACAGAAGAGGAAATGCCCATAAATAAAGAGATGTTCAACATTAGTGTAGGCCGGGCGCGGTGGCTCACGCCTGTAATCCCAGCACTTTGGGAGGCCAAGGCGGGCGAATCGCCTGAGGTCAGGAGTTTGAGACCGGCCTGACCAATATGGTAAAACCCCATCTCTACTAAAAATACAAAAATTAGCCAGGCATGGTGGTGGGCACCTGTAGTCCCAGCTACTTGGGAGGCTGAGGCAGGAGAATGGCTTGAACCCGGGAGGCAGAGGTTACAGTGAGCCGAGATGGTGCCAGTGCACTCCAGCCCGGGCGACAGTGGGAGATTTGGTTTCAAAAAAAAAAAATTAGTGATAAGAAAATGAAAATCAAGAGTAAAATTTGGTCTCATTTCATACCCTAGCAAGACAAGAAGAAGTCTGACCATACCAAGGGTCAGAGCAGATCCATGGGGGTGGGGGTGGGGTCTCTCGATTCTTGGGGAGACTATACCTTGATGTATTATTTTGGAAAACAGTTTGGCTCTACTCCCAAACTTGAACATTCACATATTCATAAACCCAGCAGTTTCTCCTGCTGTGTTGAAATTGTGGAGAGGAGAATGAGGATAGAAAGTAAACGGAGAGGCCAATAAGGAAGACAGAGCCAGTCTATAAAAGAGGCTGGCTGTGGAGGTAGACAGCAGCTGTTCAGTTCAAGAGACTGAAATCAACAAAACACTAGAACAAGAAGGTCATAGAAAATGATATCCAAATGGTCAGTAAGCATATTAAAATGTGCTTATATTTATTAGTTGTTAGGAAAATGCTATAACCACAATGAAGGACCACTACACACCCACCAAAATTCAGAACTCGGAATTCTTATATAAGGCTATGGGAGTGTAGATTTGTACAACCACTTTGGAAAACTCTATGGCTATCTACCATGAGACCCATCAATTCTATTTCCAGGCACATACCCAACAGAAATGTGTATAGATGTGTACTGAAAGACATGTACAGGAATGTTCGTAGCAGCAATATTCATAATAGCCAGAAACAGGTGACAGCCCAAATGCCTGTCAGCGTCCAAATGGACACTTTGTGGCATATTCACACAATGGAATGCTATACAGCAATGAAAACAAAGGCAATACAGGCACATATGATGTCTCAAAAGAGTATACACTAAATGATTCAGTTTTCATAAAGTTCAAGAACAGAGATGAGGATGGTGCTGAGCTACAGGGAGGAGAGCAGTGACTGGCAAGGCCAGAAGGGGTGCTAGGTAAGTTCTGTTTGTCGATCAGAGTGGTGATAACTTTCACTTTGTGAAAAGACATTTCTCTGTCCGCTTAGGATTTGTGCATTTTTCCGTATGTATGGTATACGTCAATTTGAAGTTGACATTTAAAAGGAGGGACTTAGAAGAACTGATAGGACATGGTGACTGGTAGAGGTGGATGGAGAAGAACAGAAGGGATCTAGTGTGACTCAGGTTTTGGCCTGAGCAACTGGGTAAATGGCATTACCCTTTACTGAGATGGGAAAGAGCAGAGGAGGAGTCAGTGGGGCAGAAGGGAGGTGGGGGAGGGAATCAAGTTCACCTTTAGACATGCTACGATGGAGGTGCCTATCAGGCATTCAAGTGAAGATGTCAAGGAGCCACCTAGAGATTCAAGTTTAGAGCCCCAGGGAGCAGAGCTGCAGATGCAGATTTGGAAGTCTTTGCTGTGTAAATACAATGCAAGGTGTGAGCCTGGATGAGATCTCAGAGAGCAGAAACTGGAGAGAAAAGAGAAGTCCCGAGGATGGAGTGGAGGAGGGGGACTCGAACAGCTGGCCTGGTGAAAGACGAGAGGCACAAAGGGAGCAGCCAGAGAGCTAGGAAGAAAACTGGGAGAGCATAGTGTCCAAAGGCCAAGTGGTTTCAAAGAAACGGGAATGATCAACCATATCTAATGCTGCCAATAGGTCAGGATGAGATCTGAGAATTGATTACTGGATTTAACATCATGGAGGTCACTAGGGAACTTGCCAAGGGCAGTTTTGTGGAAGGGTGATACCTGAAGTGTGGACCACCATTTGTGGTACCACAGATGGGAGGTGAGGACAGGAAGGCATGAAAGATAGCTCTTCCGAGAGTTTGCTGTGTGAGTGAGCAGAAAAATGGGGCAGGAGGTGGAGGACACAGTGTGGGTGGGGATTTTTAGGTGGGAGTTAGTACAGCATATGTGTGGAGGGGGAACAATGGACAGGACAAGGTTATCCTATCCATTGACCTTGGGGCCAGGTCATTGAATAGGTGGGAAGGGGGTGAGATTGCATATGCTTGGGGCTTCACCTGCCTAGTTATAGGAAGGACAAGATTTAAGCAATTGGGGAAAGGCAGCCATGCAGATAAGGCATTGCCTGAGAAAGTTGATAAAGGCTATACAACCCCTTCTCTTCCTCCTTCCTTAGCCAGGCTCCAGCAGGTAGATTCAAAGGTTTCTTGTAGGATAGAATTTCCTGCCTCAGCAGGGGCAAGGAGGCCTTGGGGCTGGGCTGGGCTGGGCTGGGTGTGGCACTCTCCCTGCCAGCTTCTACAACCTGGGGAGGGAACAAAAACCTGTGGGTGCCTCAGACCACAGCAGAGCTCACAGAACCTGCGGGAGCCAGGCTGACCCGCCAGCATGGTAGAGTTCGCGCCCTTGTTTATGCCGTGGGAGCGCAGGCTGCAGACACTTGCTGTCCTACAGTTTGTCTTCTCCTTCTTGGCACTGGGTAAGTTGGGCTGCACTGTAAGACGGGAGACCACCGCACTCAGGTGGGGCAGAGCAGCCACACCAGGTGCACACAGCACATTGATGGTGGCAAGACATTTATCCTAAAGGGGGCTTTGTTGCGCTCAGAGCCCCTGCCCAGAGAGAACTCCTGGGCCTGCCCAGAGGCTTCTTGGGGGTGGAGTGGGGTAGAAGTCACCGTCTGCTGCTCTGGGCAGGTTACTTACTCTTCCTGGCTTGCACTGTGGGTTCTCCTTTGGCACTTGGATGAAGACCAGTCTGCAGGCTGCCAAGTGGTGTGGGAAAGCCTCTGGGCGATGACGGGAAAGTTCTGGGCTCTGCAGCCTGCTCAGAGAGGAGAGATTTCCTTCTGTGCGCTCAGGGAGGAGGAAACTGGGGCTGGTAGTAGGGTAAGTGAGAGAAACAGGGAAAGAAAAGAAGGGTGGGGAGAAGGTGCAGACTGAGAGTGGACTGTGGAGTGGGCATGCTGGGTACCAGGAAACCCGGAGTCAGACTCAGCTGGGCAACTGACTTTAGCCAGCCCATGCCTGACCTCTCCAAGCCTCGACTTCACCATCTGCAGAACGGGGACAACAATGCTGGCCTTGCAGGGCTATTGTGAAGGAAATGAAGAAATGTGCTGACCTCTGCTTGGCACAGACCTGGCCTGGACCCTGGGCTGGGCTCACACTGGAGGGCATGAGCATGGCCCCTTACCCACCCCACCACTGATTTGTGGCCAGAGAGATCACCCTTGCCCAAACAATAGCTCTGCCAAAGGTAACATTTTCTAGGAGGGTCTGGATCTGTGGCTTGGGAAGGGAGAATGACTAGGAGTCCGTGGGGTTTTTCCTTTCATCTGCTGGCACCAGACAAGGTAGGAACTGCTGCTTCCAGGGCTGAGGTTCAGCCTGTACACAGATACCACTCTCCTGGTTGTTAAAATATTGACACACTCTGAACACATTGCTCAGTAGCCATCTCTCTTTCTCTCTCTCTCTCTCACACACACACACACACACACGTACTTCCTCAGAAACTCCCCCACAATTCTGTAGTGAAAAAACTCCCCCTTGGCAAAGCAGGCCCTCCAGGACCCTGCCCTAGCATCCCTTCTGGTTGAGCTGTGTCTCTGTTCTAAGGGTTTTTAGACATTTTACACATTCCTGTATACCCCCTTTGCACAGATGAGCCAAACAATCAAGGATTTGCCTCCAGTAAGGGCTGAGAAACCATCAGTCAGAGGGGAATTCCACACTAGGCCTGGTCTTAGCCCTGATGCACCCCTGATTATGGGGCGGCCAGGGGCTGGCCTCTTCCTCCCTCCCTCCTTTCAACAACAAACGTCACTGGTCACTGAAGGCAAAGGAATCAGAGCTCAGCAGGTTTGGGAACACTGTGTAGTTCAGAGTGGCCACAGACAAGAGGCAGGAGCGGGAGGGACAGGGCCAGCTCTGGGGCTCCTGGAGGCCAGGCTGAGCTACTTGGACTGTGCCCAAAGTTATGGGGAAGTCATGAAGGGCTTGAATAAGGGGAGGCACCTGGCTGGATTTATCTCTGGGAAAATGGGGCAGAGGATGAACAGAAAGAGAGCAGGAAAGGGTCTCCCTTTGCTCTGAGATCCCAAAAGATGGAAACTAGAACAGTTTATCCAACCAGTTGTCCCCATTGATTGAGCACTTAATGAGTACAAACAACTCTCCTGGGGAGAAGGAGGACAGGCAGGGGATGGAGTGAATTAGGCGGCCTGGTGCAGTGGGAGAAAGTGAGCTTTGGAGTTAGGCCTACCTAGGCTCAACGCGTGCTCCCAGTGACACTGGGCTGGCCGTAGTCCCTCTCAGGGACTTTGTCTCCTCTTTGAATGCCCCGGAAGCTGCTGTCTTCCTCCTGGGCCCGAGGATTGGACAGGACAGTGCTGCTAGTGCCAGGCCTATGGGCAGAGTTCAGTCTGAGCAATCTCACCTGCCTTCCTCTCAGACCCCTGTCCCTGACAGCTCCTTCTTCCCTCCCCAGCCGAGATCTGCACTGTGGGCTTCATAGCCCTCCTGTTTACAAGATTCTGGCTCCTCACTGTCCTGTATGCGGCCTGGTGGTATCTGGACCGAGACAAGCCACGGCAGGGGGGCCGGCACATCCAGGCCATCAGGTGCTGGACTATATGGAAGTACATGAAGGACTATTTCCCCATCTCGGTGAGTATTGAGGCTGGTTGGGGTTGGGGAGGGAGTTGGCTGGGGTGTGGTCAGGGCCAGAGTGCCGACGTCTCCATGGGAGAATATGGCCCTGCATGCACTGAGGAGGGTACTGGGCTGGGAGGCAGGAGCTAGGGCTTCCGCTACTATGTGACCTAGAGAAGAGTCCAGCTTCTCTCCGATCATGGTTTCGCATCTGCAGGGATGCGGGGCCAATATGTGGATTGATGGATGTCCAGCATTTGAAGGAGTTCTGTGGGTTATATGGTGTGAGGCATGCCTATGTATCTTAAAGGCACAAACCCATCAGCAGCCCAGGCTTGGGAGTGAAGGTAATAAACTTACAGGTTCTAAGGACCATCTAGCCTCACACTTAACATTCATCAGAAGAGGAGGCTGACACCCAGAGATGGAGGAAATGTCACCAAGGTCACACAGCAAGTTCTTTTACAGATTTCCAAGTGTGTACACTGACTGTGGGCAAAGGGACAGAGGAGAGAGCCCTGAATTGTTCTCAGATCCTACCCTGACCCTAACTCTGGCATGTGGTATATCTTTGGGCAAAGCTTTATCCTGTTCTGAGGCTCAGTCTCCCCATGTATCTAGTAAGTACACTGATTCCTCCTCCTCTGCATGCCTTCAAATCTCTGGCTTTCCGACTCCTGTCACCTCGTGGTCATTGTGGACGCTGGGCCCTGGACTTGAAGTTGTGTCCAGAGCAGAGCAGATCCCTGGATTTGAGTGAGCAGATCTTTCGGCTCCTTCAACGGAATCCCAGGCAATTTAAAGCCTTGATCTATGCAGCCAGGCAGTGATGGTTTATTGGCCAGAAGGGATAGGATGGGGAAGGCAGTGGGGACGCAGAGAAGGGACAGGCAGGGGCAGTTGGCCCTCCTCTGGAAGCAGGAGAGAAGAAAGGGGTAAGATATGGCCCGTGGAGACAGGCAGACTAGATTCTGATCCCAAGTCTGCCCCATACCATATCAGCTGTATGATCGTAGGTAAGTTGGTCTCTCTGAGCCTCAGTTTCCTCATATGTAAAATGGGGATAATGACACATACCTCACTGGGTTGTGTAGATTCAATGAGACAAAGCAAGTAAAGCACTTTGTAGGTTTTCTTTTTTTTTTGAGATGGAGTCTCGCTCTGTCACCCAGGCTGGAGTGCAATGGCACGATCTCAGCTCATTGCAACCTCCACCTCCCAGGTTCAAGCAATTCTCCTACCTCAGCCTCCCGTGTAGCTGGGGCTACAGGTGCCGGCCACCACACCTGGCTAATTTTTGTATTTTTAGTAGAGACGGGGTTTCTCCATGTTGGTCAGGCTGGTCTCGAACTCCCGACCTTAGGTGATCTGCCCACCTTAGCCTCCCAAAGTGCTGGGATTACAGGTGTGAGCCACTGTGCCTGGCTAGCACTTTGTAGGTTTTCAGTAAACAGGTAGCTAGTATTATTTTACCTCGGCAGTGGGACTCTGAGGAAGTGTGGTCGTGACCTCGAGTCTGGGGAGGACTCTGAGAGCCCAAGCCCTGCTGCTCTGACCTCCACACCTACGTAACTTCTCCCACCCCGCCTGGGAACCCTACCTCTTCCTGTCCCATCAGAAACAAGGTCTCCAGCTTGCAAAGGGGGAGGGGTAGAGGAAACAAACCCACCAAAGTTAAGCAACTTGTCTGAATTATGGGAACGCAGGGTGGTTGGGGTTCCTGCCTTGCTCCCTTCTGAGAGTCCAGGGGCCCAAGAAGGACTAGCAAAGGCTGAGCCACAGCTGGAATGCAGGAGCCTCTAGCACTGCAGTGAGCAGGGCCTCCAGGGCAAAGGGCAATGGGGGTGCTGGGCAGACAGCGGGCAGCGGCTGGCAGAGACTGCCGTGCTCACGAAGGGTGGTAGATGTGGTAAGGCGGAACATGGTCTAGCCTGGGGGGCTCAGGATGGGGGCAGTTTCCCCTGCACCTCATATGTGTTTCCTGCAGGGCCCACTCCTGGGTCTTGTCAGCAAAGAAACTTAGGGCTTGCTGAGTTCTGGGAGCAGTCATGGACGTGTCAGAGGCAGAGTCCTCATCCCCACCCCAGGACCTCTGCACTTTGAGATTCACCTCCCTTTCCTGCCTCTCCTCTCTCCAGCCTGGGCTTCCTCTTCTGTGCCAGGAAGGTCAGAGTTTCCCTGGGAAAGTGTGCTGTGGCCAGCCTGGGGACGTGTGTGTGACATCAGGGACCAAGCCAAAGAAAACCTGAAGCAGGCTCTGGCCTCCGGGAGAGCTTCAGAGGTTCTGGCTCTGGTCTCACTTCCCACTCTTGAGCTGAATCCCAAGCTCACCGGGGGGGAAAGGAAAAGCAGCCTGAAAAGGCAAACACACAAGCACAGGCCCAGACACTTGCCGCAGGGTGAGTTCTGAGCCACAGCCTGACATTCAGCGCGGCTAAAGCAGAAGGCAGGCCTGCAGAGGAGGCTGGGGAGGCCCTCAGGTCAGAGGGTGGAGGCCATTGGAGGACATTCCGCAGGACTGGGACTGCTCACCTGAAAGTTCTCCCGGGGTGTCTTCAGCCAGCCCAATGGCCTCAAAGGACAGCATCTGGCCCTCTTTGCACCTGGAGCATTTCCATTTGCAGGTCTGGCAGAAATGCTGAGGCAGCTCTGCGCCTACCCTATCAACGTCCGTCCTTCCTGCTCCTTCCCCAGCCAGGTGGCTTTTGAGGAGGATATCTCAACCTTAGTACTGTTGACACTGGTGGGACACAGGCCTCGATTTGCAGAAATTCTATGTGCATCTTTTTGTTTCTTTGTTTTGGTTTTGTTTTTGTTTTTTTCGAGACGGAGTTTCACTTTTGTTGCCCAGTCTGGAATGCAGTGGCGTGATCTCGGCTCACTGCAACCTCCACCTCCCAGGTTCAAGCGATTCTCCTGCCTCAGCCTCCTGAGTAGCTGGGATTACAGGTGCCCGCCACCACTCCCGGCTGATTTGTATTTTTTTAGTAGAGACGGGATTTCACCATGTTGGCCAGGCTGGTCTCGAACTCCTGACCGCCCACCTTAGCCTCCCAAAGTGCTGGGATTACAGGTGTCAGACACTGCACCTGGCTCTGTGCACTGTTTTGTTTTTTGTTTTTTTTTCCAGGATCCTTCCTCACCGCAGGCCCTTTGCAGCACCATCTGCCGAGGGTGACAATGCCACTGAGTGGCCAGCAGAGGGCGAGATGATGTTCATTTTGACTATGTCCTAAGCTGGGCCTGTGGGGTGGGGCTGTGGCCTGTAGACGCTCTTTCCATAGACCCTCCCACCCTCCCACACGCCTTTACTGCCCAGGCCCCGCAGGGATCATGGGGTGAAGAGACAGTAGGGATCCTCATTCCTGGGCTCAAGCAATCCTCCTGCCTCAGCCTCCCAAGTAGCTTGGACTACAGACACGCACCACCACAACTTTTAAAAAAATGTTTGTAGAGATGGAGTCTCACTGTGTTGCCAGGCTGCTTGGCCTCCCAAAATGCTGAGATTAGAGGTGTGAGCCACCACACCTATCCCACACCTTTTAAATATACTGAAACCCTGAATGTCATACTTTAAACGGATGCATTTTATGGTGCATAAATTATATCAACTAAAAGCAATAGCAGCCCCCAGAGCCTAGTAACCTGGCTGTGCCCTTCTCCAGGCCCCACTGCCTACTGCACACCCAGCCTGCCAGGGCATGCACCCAGGCAGGATTTTCCCCAGACAGCCATCTATCTTCGCTTAGTCACACTCCCCTCGCCTAACAGAACTGAGGGAGGGAGACAGACCACAGCACTTCACAAACCTCCCCTCTTCTTTGTTTACCCCCCTTGAACCCTGTAGCAACCCTGCCAGGGAGGCGTTATCAGTGTCCTGTGGGACAGAAATAATTGAGCCACAGAGGGGACAGGGGCTTGGCAATGGTCATGTGATGAGCCAGCGGCAGAACCGGGGTCTCCTGACTCAAGGTTCTTTTTCCCACTAGTGGAACCCTGGTGACATGCCAGGATAGGATTGGGGTCAGGGAGCCTTCCTTCTGAGGCTGTACCAGCCTCATCCATTGGGCTCATTCCTTCCTTCCTTCATGCTATACCCTTTCCAGAGCATCTCCTCTGTTCCAGGCCTGCACTGGGGACACAGATGCATCAGATACATGGTCTGTAATCTTCACAGGGATGTTGTGATAGATTTGGGTCCAGGGGACAGATGGAAGAGGTTAGCACAGAAAGATACCAATAGAGACCACATCTAGGGAGGTGCAGACCACACCTCAGTATCCAAGTGCCTGCACTGTGGGAGGGCCTGTGTCTAGGTCACTGAGCCAGTATTAGCACATGCATTTATGTGCACGTATCCAAGTTCATGCTCGGTGGGCGCTTGTCATCCCAGCTACTCGGGAGGCTAAGGCAGGAGAATTGCTTGAACCCAGGAGGCAGAGGTTGCAGTGAGCTGAGATCACGCCATTGCACTCCAGCCTGGGTGACAGAGTGAGACTGTCTCAAAAAAAAAAAAATTCAAAAACAGACCAAAGGGTAGGTGTGAAAAGTCCTCATTCCACATCATGTCCCATCTCCCCAGTTCCTGTCCTCAGAGGCAACGATGACTACCAGTGTTTGGTGTATCCATATAAAGCAAATGTGTTTTTCCCTTCTCTGCACAGTTGCAACACTCTCCACACATTGTCCCCCACCTTGCTTTTCCAGTTAACAAGCTGCCATGGCCCTTTTTCCCTATCAGGACAGAAAAAGCTGCTGTACTTCTCTATGGTGACACAACGGTCCATTGTGTGGATGTTTCACAAATTGTCTAAATAGGCCCTGCTGATGGTCATTTAAGTGGATGACAAATTTTTCATATCACCAAAACCTGATGCTTCTGTGAATAACCTTGTTCAGGTGTCATTTTGCACAAGTGTGAGAAATTCTGTAGGCTAAATTCCTCAGCAGTGGAGTTGCTGGGTTAAAAGATCAGTTATATTTTTTGGGTTTGGTAGATATTGTCAAATTGTGTTTATGGAGGTGCAAAATTACCCTCCCACTAGCAGTGAATGAAAATTTATAAGCAAGTGTTTCCATGCATTGAGCTAGATAGGTTTTTAAAGAACCACCACCAGGCCAGGCACGGAGGCTCACACCTGTACTTTGGGAGGCTAAGGTGGGCAGATCACACGAGGCCAGGAGTTTGAGACCAGCCTGGGCAACATGGTGAAACACCCTGTCTCTACTAAAAAATACAAAATTTAGCCAAGTGTGATGGCATGTGCCTGTAATCTAAGCTGTTTGGGAGGCTGAGGCATAAAAATTGTTTGAACCTGGGAGGTGGAGGTTGCAGTGAGCTGAGATCATGCCACTGCACTCCAGCCTGGGCAACAGAGTGAGACTCTGTCTCATAAATAAATAAATAAATAAATAAATAAATAAATTGCAGAGGCCATGTCCGGGTCAAGGACAGGAGAATGTGGAACTGTTCAGCCTGGATGGGGCAGACAGGCTCCAGGCCTTACAGATGTCTCCAGTCTGCTCTGAGAGAGGGCAGCCAGGCCTCTGCTGCTCCCCAACAAGAACCCTCAGGGAGTCACCAGCTGCATCTTGATGACAGGAAGAATTTTTACACTGGCAAAGCTGTGCCAGAGGGGAAAGGCTGGCCTCTGACCTGAGGGAGTGCACATTGCAGGGCCTGGGCAGTCCTATCAGGGAGCCTCCCGATGGGGTATGTGTGATTGGGCCAGAGACCCTGGGGACCCTTGGACTCCGATGGCCGGGGTCTTCCAGACACAAGGCACTGAAAAGGGTGGCCCCCGCAGTTCCTTACAATCACCACCCACAGCGATAGTCTTTGTAGATTCAGCTGCTTGGCACAGCCCGTCCGGTATCTGGCCAGGAGCAGCATTTGTTAACTGCATTTCTTCCCCTTTCACCTTCACCCCACTTCACCTAGAAGCTGCTAATGACAGCAGCTCTCTCTCACTCAATCTACAACGTCCGTTGGATGCTGCTACACTCTCATGCTGCAGGCCTGGCCAGACCCAGGCAAGCTGCTGCGATGGCTGGGGAAAGAGAGTGGCCAAGGGGCAATGAAGGCCTGGCGAGGGGAAGCAGAGAGCCACAGGGTGCCATGCATCATGCATACGGGTAAACAGGGCTAGAGCTTTCCACCCAACAGGACTCGCTCCTCAGATGGCCTACAAAGCCTCATTCCCACATCTGAAGTGCCAATTTTTTGCCCCGAGACATCCATTGGGGACTGGTTCCCGGACCCCCGCAGATACCAAAATCCACTGATGCTCACGTCCCTCGTATAAAATGATGTAATATTTGCCTATACCTTATGCACATCCTCCCATATACAGTAACCCATCTCTAGAATATGTATGACACCTAATACAATGGAAATGGTATGGAATGTTGTTTAGGGAATACTGATAAAGGAAAAAAGTCTGTATATATTCACTACAGGTGCAACAATCTATTTTTTTTTCTGAATACATCTGAGGTTGTTTGAATCCATAGATGTCTCATGGATATGGAGGAACATTGATTTTTTTTTTTTTTTTTTTTGAGACTGAGTCTTGCTCTGTTGCCCAGGCTGGAATGCAGTGGTGTGATCTCGGCTCACTGCAACCTCTGCCTCCTGGGTTCAAGCAATTCTCCTGCCTCAGCCTCCCTAGTAGCTGGGATTACAGGTGCCCGCCACCACGCCCAGCTAATTTTTGTATTTTTAGTAGAGATGGAGTTTCACCATGTTGGTCTCAAACTCCTGACCTCAGGTCACCCACCCGCCTTGGCCTCCCAAAGTGCTGGGATTACAGGCGTGAGCCACCGCGCCTGGCTGGAACACTGTTTTTCTTAAAATGGGGCTGTTTCAGCATGGCGGTGCCTCCATGTGGCCTTTTGGTGTCTTCATGTTATATCCTGTCCAGGTGGTGTTGGTATAAATAATTCTAGGCACCATCATACCTGAGTTTCTCAGTAGCCCTAGGAGGTAGCAGGGACAGGTCCAAATACTCTATTGCCACTTTACAAATGAAGAGCCTGTAGGAGAGGGAAGCAATTTGTCCCAAGCCAGCATCAAGTCTGTGGCACAGCCAGCACCATAATATCTCCAGGTGCTGTCACATACCATATCTGAATCTTCGTAAGAACCCAGGGTGGTCAGACATATGGATGAAGACCTGGAGGCTCAGAGGGGAGGTTTCCCAAGGTCACACCAGTGAGTGGCAGAGTCAGGGCTGGTACACAGGCCCCGCCCTGGCTCAGCAGGTTGCCGTCCCTGCAGCTGGTCAAGACTGCTGAGCTGGACCCCTCTCGGAACTACATTGCGGGCTTCCACCCCCATGGAGTCCTGGCAGTCGGAGCCTTTGCCAACCTGTGCACTGAGAGCACAGGCTTCTCTTCGATCTTCCCCGGTATCCGCCCCCATCTGATGATGCTGACCTTGTGGTTCCGGGCCCCCTTCTTCAGAGATTACATCATGTCTGCAGGTGAGTCTTTCTACCCCTGAGCAGCTCAGGAAGGTAACAAATTTTCGGAAGGGTTGCCAATAGTTCTGTACTTCTTCCAAGAGCGTGTGCAGTAGGAGAAGGAGGCTAGGCCCAAAGAAGCACTTCCTACAGCACCATGCTGGGCGCTGAGTCCATCAGGGGGTTGGGAAGAGGGAGAAGACTCAGGGAGCTCCTAGCTGGAATGGGGTGCAGTGGGGGAAAAACCCCAGGCCTCAGTAGGCATTGCTGGTGATCTCTTTATGGGCTACATGTACTTTCATAGCCCCTGCTCCCTCACCCCATACCTGACCCACTTTTCTCTTTCCCTAGGGTTGGTCACATCAGAAAAGGAGAGTGCTGCTCACATTCTGAACAGGAAGGGTGGCGGAAACTTGCTGGGCATCATTGTAGGGGGTGCCCAGGAGGCCCTGGATGCCAGGCCTGGATCCTTCACGCTGTTACTGCGGAACCGAAAGGGCTTCGTCAGGCTCGCCCTGACACACGGGTATCAAGCCTCTGGGAAGAGCACTCTGGGTTCAGTTGGCAATTGGCAAGGATTTTATTTTGGTGGGAAGATGGCAGAGACGAATGCAGATTCTATTTTGGTAGAGATTTTCAGTCCATTCACAATTAAGATTATATTTTGGTGTCTTATGCCCAAATACCTAGAAAAGTTTCCACAACGGAGACTCAGTGA
This sequence comes from Homo sapiens, assembly GCF_000001405.40. Classification (NCBI taxonomy): domain Eukaryota; kingdom Metazoa; phylum Chordata; class Mammalia; order Primates; family Hominidae; genus Homo; species Homo sapiens. Next base: position 75,728,337 of record NC_000011.10, read on the forward strand.
TCTAAGAAACTAGGTGGCAATGAACATATTCCACAAAGCTGGCATTTGATCTGAGATCTGTGGTATCTAGAAGAGTGATATTTGGGGTACATTTCAGAGCTGTTCTCCCTCCTTGGGGTGAAGCATCCTTGAGAAACATGAGCCAGCTGAGGTGGGAGATATTTTTCTAGGAAAAACAATGCAGATTTTTATATCTGGGAGGACTCTCTGAAGCATTCTGGTCTACCTCTCATGGTGCAACTGGGAAGTTGTGGCCCTGCAAGGGACCTGCCCAAGGTCAGAGAATGGGGCTGTGAAGGTCTGGGAGATAACCCAGGCCTCCACCTCCAGCCCAGGTGGCTGACCTCTGCTCCATTTCTTGGTCACTGAGTCCCTGCAGGAAGCTAAAGGGCCTTTCAGCTCGTGCCTTCTCTGGGGCCTCCCACATGCCCTCTTTCCTCTATTTGTCTCCAGGGCACCCCTGGTGCCAATCTTCTCCTTCGGGGAGAATGACCTATTTGACCAGATTCCCAACTCTTCTGGCTCCTGGTTACGCTATATCCAGAATCGGTTGCAGAAGATCATGGGCATCTCCCTCCCACTCTTTCATGGCCGTGGTGTCTTCCAGTACAGCTTTGGTTTAATACCCTACCGCCGGCCCATCACCACTGTGGGTAAGTCCAGGACCAGGCTGGGAGGGAGGAGGCCAAAGGGACAGGGCAGGTTGTGTGCTGCAAGGGGACATGGAGATGAGCCAGATTTATTCCTGCCCTAATGGGGCTCACATTCTAGACTGGGAAACATACACACACAAGCAGATAGAATAGAAGACAGTCTGGGATAGGAACTATAGCAGAGGTGCCAACAGCAATAGTTGTGACTAATTGCTGAGCACCTGCTGTGTGCCAGGCACTACACTAGCTGCCCTACATGAAGCAACTCAGCTTATCCTAACAATCTTCATGGCAGGATTTTTTTTTAAGAGTTTTGCTCTTGTCGCTCAGCCTGGAGTGCAATGGCACAATCTCAGCTCACTGCAACCTCCGCCTCCTGGGTTCAAGAGATTCTCATGCCTCAGCCTCCTGAGTAGCTGGGACTACAGTCGCTCGCCACAACACTCAGCTAATTTTTGTATTTTTAGTAGAGATGGGGTTTCACCATGTTGGCCAGGCTGTTCTCAAACTCCTGACCACAAGTGATCTGCCTGCCTTGGCCTCCCAAAGTGCTGGAATTACAGGCATGAGCCACCGCGCCTGGCCATACCTTCAAGACAGGAGTTACTATCCCCATTTCATTGATGGTAAACTGGGGCTCAGAGAAGTTAAGTAACTTCCAAAATATCACACTGTTTTTGAATAACAAAGTTGAGGTTTTTACTAAGATCATTCTGACTTTTTACAATGCCAGAGAAGGAGGGTTTAATTCTTTTTTTTTTTTGTTTTTTTTTGAGACAGAGTCCTGCTCTGTTGCCCAGGCTGGAGTGCAGTGGCATGAGCTCAGCTCACTGCAACCTCCACCTCCCAAGTTCAAGCGATTCTCCTGCCTCAACTTCCAGAGTAGCTGGGATTACAGGTGCGTGCCACCACGCCTGGGTAATTTTTGTATTTTTAGTAGAGACAGGGTTTCACCATGTTGGCCAGGCTGGTCTCGAACTCCTGACCTCAAGTGATCACCCAGGCTTTGCCTCCCAAAGCACTGGGATTACAGGCATAAGCCACCACGCCTGGCCTCCGACAGACTTTATAGAGAGTAGTCCATTCATGTCATCTCCATCCATCCACTTGCTAATTGAGCAGACTTGGTAAACCCCTACATCATGAACTCCCCTGTGTTGTGTAGCAATATTTTCATGAATTTTAATATTTCTGCTGCCTCCAGAGCTATTGCCAGAAGAGAGGACAGAGGAACTGCCTTCCCAGCCAGGCAGAACCAGAGAAAGGGATGAGTTAGGTCCTTCCTGGTTCTTCCCTGGGATGAGAGAAGCCACTGCAGGTCAGCGTGGAGGGGTAGAAGGGAAAGAAGAGCTGCCTGGGCTATGAACACACCCCATCTTAGAAATATAGCCGCTTCCATTCATGGCATCTTGGACTCCCCAAATCATATAGCCTGAAGGTAAAGGGCACATCCCTGGGGTCTAAAACCTGGCAGTGGTTCTTCCTGGCTATGTGACCTTGAACAAGTCAGGCAACCTCTCTGAGCCTCATTGACTCATCTGTCAAATAGGAATGACAGGTTTTTATACCCATAGGATAAAAGGGAGTATTTCATGTAAAGCACCTAGTGCATTGCCTGACACATTGAAATCCAGCCACTGGCTGGGCGTGGTGGCTCACACTTGTAATCCCAGCACTTTGGGAGGTCGAGACGGGCAGATCACAAGGTCAGGAATTCAAGACCAGCCTGTCCAATGTGGTGAAACCCCATCTCTACTAAAAATACAAAAATTAGCTGGGCATGGTGGCGCATGCCTGTAATCCCAGCTACTCGGAAGGCTGAGGCAGGAGAATTGCTTGAACCAGGACGCAGGAGGCAGAGGTTGCAGTGAGCTGAGATTGCGCCACTGCACTCCAGCCTGGGCTACAGAGCGAGACTCTACCTCAAAAAAAAAAAAAAAGAAAAGAAAAGAAAAGGAAGAAAGAAATCCAGCCGTTGTTATTATATCAGAATCTTGGAGTTGCCCTAATATCTTAAAATTCATTAGGGTTGGAAGGAATGGAGTAAGAGCACTTTTCTGCAGGGATGAACCATGGGGGTGGGCACCTGCACCGAGGGTCCCTTGCCTACCCTAGGCCACTGCACACCTCTATGCCTTGCAGTGGGGAAGCCCATCGAGGTACAGAAGACGCTGCATCCCTCGGAGGAGGAGGTGAACCAGCTGCACCAGCGTTATATCAAAGAGCTGTGCAACCTCTTCGAGGCCCACAAACTTAAGTTCAACATCCCTGCTGACCAGCACTTGGAGTTCTGCTGAGCCCAAAGGGCAGGGCCAACATTAGGGAGCCCAGCAGGAGGTGCTGTGCTGAGAAGACTTCCTGGAGGTGTTTGTTGAACATATCTGCAGAGCCTTCCCAGACTCCTGCAAATCCAACCCATATCAGGCTGTAAGTCAGAGCAGGCAATGCAGAAGAGGAGACCAGACCAAGGGGTCAGCTGGGGCTAGGACAGTGAGGGCTGCTAGAGGGGCTGGGCCTCTCTTTGCACATGGACACTGGGCCCCTCTCTATATTGAGTGGTCTGTTAACATTCATTGGTGGCTGATTCCAAAAGATGAGAGCCAAAGCTGCACGGACTCGAGTCCTAGGCTGCACACCTCACAAGCATCTCTTCTACTGCATTCTGTTGGTCGAAGCAAGTCACAACCCAGCAGATTCAAGGAGTAAGGAATAGGATCCCCCTCTGGATGGGAGGAGCAGCAATGTCATATTACAAAAGGGTGTGGACACATGCAGGGATTCTTACTGCCGTCTTTGCAAACAATCCACCAAAACTTAAAAACTAAAAGCCTGAAGCACAAGCACTCTCCACCCCAGGCACACACACCCTGGAATTCCCTGTGTGACCATGGTACCACCACTGTGTGTCCCGAGGATCCCAGCTCAGCTTTGCATCGCTGCCCTATCTCCCTCTCGCTCTCCCCTGTTGATCCCTCATGCACAGCCACAGCGAGCTGTCTAAAACACAAAGCTGACCGCGCCATTTCCTACTCAGCATCCTTCCATGACCCTCCATTGCTCCTAGGATAGGGTTTGGACCAGTCTGAATCCAGAGGATCAGGATCCAGCAGGAACCAGAGGATAATTTGAGGAGGGTTTAAAAAGGAACCATTTTTTGAGGTGTGTGCACTGTTTCCACCCTGAGGCCTGGAAGGATGAATGGAAGCAGCAGTTCCTGAACCAGGAAGACTCATGTGTGGGGGCCATTGCTGGTCAAGGGGCACGAACAGGTCTGGTGACCCTGCAAGGGAGGAGCCAGGAGCAAGCATTCCCACTTCACCTTCCTCCATTCAGTCTGCTGCCAAGTTCCCCACTGCCTGAGCCCAACTAGAAGCTGGAGGGAAGGAGGGCCTGTGGCTGCAGTCCAGGCATGTAGGCCTCCTGGGAAAGGGAGAATGGCAAAGACAGGCAGAGTGGATCTGGAGGGGTCAACGGAAGACGGAACATGTCCACTTCCAGGCCCGAGCTTCTCAGCCTGCCGTTTGCCACTCTCCAGCATCTGGCCCAGCCTGTCCATCCTCATCTCTCTTCCTCCCTTACTCCGTGCTCCCATCACTCGGAACCATTTGCATTTCTTTGTCTCAGCTATATTGTCTCACCTCTGAGTTTTTGCCCATGATGTTGGATGCCATGGAATGCCATATCCTCCCCATTATCTCCCCCTTGTCTGGATAATTCCTACTCATCCTACAATACTGATTTTATCTGTGCAAAGAAGTCTTCCCCAGTGCCTCTGGTTGACAGGGGTTTCCTCTGGCTTCTCCAGACTTTCTGTTCCTCCACCACAGCCCTTAGCACCCTGGGGAGGAGGTGTTGCTGTCCAGGTAAATGCTGCGCCAATGCCCCTGCCTCTAGTGCACTCCCTCCAGCCTACCCACAAACAGGACCTGCATCCTGTCTCACAAATAAAACTGAACTCTTGAAATGGTGTCCAATGCCTCGGGATAATGCCTAAACTCCTCCTCAGCCTGGCATTCAAGGCCTTTATCATCTGCCCTCTAGACCCCACCAGCCTCACCTCTGGACCCTCTCCCCTTGCCACCTGTCACTCCCGCCCCCTTCGCTGCTCTCTGAATATACTCTGCTCTTGCACTGGCTTATTTAGGGGCGCACCGTTCCCTTCCTTCTGGAACACTCTTTCTTCTCAGTCTGGTCAGCGTCACTCACTTCCAAAGGTCGCCTCCTTTGTCAAACCTCATCCTACACTTCTACCCTCAAACTCTGCCCTTTGCCCTGAATCAGCCCTCTTTTGCACTGTCTTCAGGGATGAAAGGGTCATAGTCATTCATAGGCGAGTGTACTTCTCTGTCTCCCAGTGGACTGGGAACCCCCTTAGGCCCTTATCCATGGTGGCTTCAGCCCCATTCAACCCAGCTCCACCGCCAGCACAGGACCTCAGCATCCCCAGTGAGTGGGAGTTGGTTGAGTAAATGAATTCTCACATGTGTGCTTCCTCTCAATCCCACCCACATGAGGCCTGGGGCAGGGATAAGGGGAAGAAGACTCAGGCTTTGCCTCCGAGGTGATTAAATTAGTTCTGCATCACTGCATGACAGATCACTCCAAAATTTGGCTGCTTTAAACAACAAACCCTCATCGACTCTCGGTTTCCGGGGGTCAGGTGTCTGGGAATGGCTTAGTGGAGTGGTTCTGGCTCAGGGTTTCTCATGAGGTTGCAGCCAGGCTGGGGCTGGGGCGGGGGCTGTGGTCTCTGAAGGCCTGAGTGTGGCTGCAGGACCTGCTTCCAGGCCTACTTGTGTGGCTGTTGGCAGGAGGCTTCTGTTGTTTGCTATGTGGGCCTCTCCACAGGGCTGCCAATTACTTGGCTTCTCCCAGAGTGAGTGAGCCAAGAGAAAGAGAGAGGCCACACTGCCTTTTATGACCTGGTCTCTGAGTTTCACACTATCAATTCCACCTTACTTTCTTGGTTAGATGTGAGTCACTAAGTCCAGCCTATACTCCATACAAGGGTGTGAATACCCAGGGGTGGAGTCCCTGGGCACCAGCTTGGAGGCTGGCTGCTACAGTGATGGTGGATGAGCTTCAGAGTCTAGACTGTATCACACTGATGCTGTTTACTTCTGCACAGGGCAGCTTGCCTTGGAGGACAGAGACTGAGCCAGCCATATAAAGGGGACCCAGAGGGGTGAGAGCAACAGTTTGAGCAAAAGCTGCAGGTAGGAATGATGACTGTGACCCCCCAGCCTGGGCTAGGATGGAGTACAAGGTGGCCATTAGACAGACGGGTGCCAGGATGGGAGATAAGGGGTAGGGGAGAGGCTTGAGGGGCCAGAGAGGAAAGGTCTCTCCTTCTTTCACAGCAACCTTGGAGGCTTCATGTTGAAGATATCAACAGCACAAGATGCAAGGTGTATAGAGCCCTGATCTCAGAGAAGGTCTGCCCAAGAGAGCCACCCAAGCAGGAATATCCATGCTGGACTTCGCATGTGCAAAAACATGCCCTTTTACTGGCTCAAGCCACTGAGATAGGAGTGTGTTTGTTATGGTAATTGGCCTCCCCAACTAATGTGCCAGGAGCTATCCACGTAAGGACTCAATTATTAATTTAGCACTTCCTAACAACTCTCAGGGGCCCTCAGAGCCTGCCTCAGAGGCCTCACCCTTATGTGGGGAAGGCAGCCTCCTCCCCTCCATACATGCACAGATAAAGGCAGCAGAGGATGGCAGGATGTGTCAGGCATGGTAGAGAGGGTCAGAGGCCCTCAAGTAATGGGGACAGCTGGAGTCTCCTCTGGAAATCAGCCTGCACTTTGACCTGGGGAGAAGTTCTCAGACATTATTTCCCAAGGGGACAAAGGGCCTGCTGAGACGCAGTCCCTCTGATACTGCTTTATGGTGACTTGGCCAGGGGTTGGCCAGCATAGCACAGCCAGCAGCCACGTGGCAGGGACAAGGCTGCAAGTGCAAGTCGGGTCCACTTGCTGAGTCTCAGCTCCCAAGGGGACTGTGCTTTGTGAGGGTTCAGAAGCAGGAAGGAGGGAGGAGGGCATCCAGATGGAAGCTGCTGAGTGAGCAAACACAGAGGGGAGGGAAAATGTGGGGCACAAGTTGGTGACAGCTGCAGGTGTGAGTCACGGTGCAAGGGTGAGTTTCAAAGAAAAGGAGGCTAGAGGTAGGTCTCTTTTTAGAAAACTTTTATTGAGTCCTTGCTATGTGCCAAGTGCTGGGGACAGAGTGGCAACCAAGCTGGATTGGGTCCCTGGCTTTCCCTTGTCTACTGAATGGTGGAAGCCAAATGTCCAGTCAAGGAGTCAGGAATTTCTCCCAAAGGTAGGGAGGAGCCCTGGAAAGTCCTTGAGCTGGTGTAGGTCAAGGGCAAGGCCACAAGGGCAAAAAATGCCTTAGGTTGAACAGGGCATTTGTCTTAATGACCTCACAGAAGGGCAGAGTCAGCACCCTGAGCCATTTACTGAGGACCTACTATGTGCTAGGATCTGGATGGGATGCTCTACATGTATTATGTCAAACACACCCACAGTGACCTCTTTATAATAGATGAGGTTCATTTGTCAGAAAGGCTAAAGGACTTTCTGGAATCCTGGCCCCAAGACGTGGACTGCCTGCCCAGACAGCTATCACATGCTCCTCACATTCTGCTGGGTTCTGGCCTCAGACCCAGCCGAATGGCACAATGGAAATGGCAGAGGCCGGAGAGCCAGCCTGGCTGCGTGACCCTGTGCAAGTCAGGTCCAGTTGCTGAGTCTCAGTTTCTTCACTTGTAAATGGTCTTCCCACAAATGGGTGTTCAATAAATGCCAGTTCTTCCTCCCTCTCCCCCTTTATAAATTCCAGGAAATGGTTTTTGAAAGACTTACGAGAGTTTGTGTCTATCACAAATGAGGTTAGGGCATTTCTAAGACTCTAGAGTCCCTTCAACCCCTGCTGGAAAACCAACCTGTTTCCCTTTTCAACAGTTGAACTGGTGTACATCTGTTCACATCTTTAGTGATAAGGTGAGGAGAAAATTATGACAGGCAGCTCGTTTCTGGCAGCCCCTTTTAGCTTTTTTTTTTGAGACAGAGTCTTGCTCTGTTGCCCAGGCCGGAGTGCAGTGGCACAATCTCGGCTCACTGCAACTTCTGCCTCCCGGGTTCAAGCAATTCTCTTGCCTCAGCCTCCCAAGTAGCTGAGATTTCAGGCACATGCCACCACGCCCGGCTAATTTTTTTGTATTTTTAGTAGAGACGGGTTTCACCATGTTGGCCAGGCTGGTCTCGAACTTCTGATCTCGTGATCTGCCTGCCTCGGCCTCCCAAAGTGCTGGGATTACAGGCTTGAGCCACCGTGCCCAGCGTCAGCCCCTTTTAAAGGGGACCTTAAAGAACAAAAAACAGCCACAAAACTCTGTCCCTATCAATAACATGTCAATGATTTAAGAGCCCCTCCTCTTTTTTTTTTTTTTTTTTGAGACAGAGTTTAACTTTTGTTGCCCAGGCTGGAGTGCAATGGCACGACATTGGCTCACCGCAACCTCCGCCTCCCGGGTTCAAGCGATTCTCCTGCCTCAGCCTCTTGAGTAGCTGGGATTACAGGCATGCGCCACCACACCCGGCTAATTTTGAATTTTTAGTAGAGACGGGGTTTCTCCATGTTGGTCAGGCTGGTCTTGAACTCCCGACCTCAGTTGATCCACCCGCCTCAGCCTCCCAAAGTGCTGGGATTACGGGTGTGAGCCACTGTGCCCAGCCAAAAGAGCCCCTCCTCTAAAAAAAAAAGTAAAATTGTCAAAAGCCTGCATTTGGGGATGCCCTAGGTCAATGCTTCTTGAAATGTCTGTGGTAAACGACCAGATTTTTGGTTTTTGCTTTTTTTCCCAATCCTTCATGGACCTATCCATTTTATAAGACACAATATAAGTTACTAGAAAAATGAGAAAAGAAAACTAAGACATAGTATAACATTTTATTATTAGTTTCAACAGACATGAAATTACTGTGCCATATTGCTCTGAAGTCTCTGAACAGTTCCGCTCCATTTCTGTAATTATTTTGTCAAGAACCAGTAACAAGCTGTTCATGGACGTGCATTGGTCTCCAGACCACATTGGAGTAACACAGCACTGCCCTGGAACTCTTTGTTGTGACTAAATGCTGGCATTGTAAGGTTGTTGCGAGTTAAGAAACACAAAACTAACCGGTGAATTGCAAAGTGCTATACACTAATTGGTTAGGGATGTCATCTTAGCCACTTTCACCCAGATAAGCTGAGAAGGCTCCTAGAAGGGCAGGGCTTGCCTGAAGTCACATAGCTGGTAAGTGGCAGATGCAGAACTGGCATCCCAGTTCCCACCCAGTGCTCTTTCCACTCTGCCTTGGGCAGTGGATACGAGGATGTGTCCCCAGGCGCATTTTCGGGGAAGAACTCCATTCCCAGCTGCAGGAAGTGTAGTCTGCCCCTTCTGAGATCACCTCCACTGCAGAGAGCTGCCTCTGCAAGGGCATACAGCCCATGACTGAGCCAGCCAGGGTAGAAAGGCCGGGCCACGTCAGCCCAGATCAATACAACTCTGATGGGACATTTCAGTTTGACTTCTCCCTCCATCCAAATTTGCTGCGTTCCCTTCCTTCTTGTGGTATTGACTCCAAAGGTTCTCTAAGAAACATCCTGTAGGCTACACACCATCTCAGAATCCACTTCCTGGAGAACCCAATCTGTGACATCATGCGTATTTAAAGGGGTAAATCTCAGTACGAGGCTCGGAGAGGTTAAAAAATTTGTCTGCAGTCACACTGTTTTTAAGTGGTGGAGCGAGGATTTGAATTCAGATCTGACTGCAAAGGCTGTATTTTTGTCTAATAAAGTGTGACCTGACTACCAGCTTGGGAAACAAAAGAAAGGATCAGAATGGTTGGATTTAATCTGTAAAATTAAAAATAACTCTTATTTATTCAAAATGGCACAGCCATTTTAGAAGACAGTTTGGCAGATTCTCATAAAGTTAAACATAGACTTACTACACAACTGAGCAACTGTGCTCTTAGGTATTTACTCTACTGATTGGAAAACTAGTCTATATGAAAACCTGTACATGAATGTTTATGGCCACTTTATTCATAATCACCAAAAACTGGAAGCAACCAAGATGTCCTTCAATAGGTGAATGGATGTTTTAAAAACCTGTGGTTCAATCCATACAATGGAATCCTATTCAGAAATACAGATAACTGAGCTGTAAATTCACACAATAGCATGGATGAATCTTAAGTGCATTTTGCTAAGCCAAAGAAGCCAGACCAAAAAGGCTACATACTGTATGATTTCACTCCTATGACATTCTGGAAAAGGATAACATATAGGGACAAAAAAGCATATCAGCTGTAGGGAGCCTATGGCTGAGGAAGCACTGGGAGCTTTCTAGGGCAGTAGAACTAATTCCTATGGTATTATAGTGCTGTCTACTTGATACTATGCATTTGTTAAAAACCACAAGGTAGGCCAGGAGCGGTGGCTCATGTCTGTAATCCTACCACTTTGGGAGGCCGAGGTGGGTGGATCACCTGAGGTCAGGAGTTCGAGACCAGCCTGGCCAACATGGTGAAACCCCGTCTCTACTAAAAATACAAAAATTAGCCAGGCTAGGTGGCAGGCGCCTATAATCCTAGCTACTCGGGAGGCTGAGGCAGGAACGTCGCTTGAACCCAGGAAGTGGAGGTTGCGGTGAGCCAAGATCATGCCACTGCACTCCAGCCTGGGTGACAAGAGTGAAACTCCATCCCCCACCCCCCAAAAAAAAACCCACAAGGTAAACTTTAATGTACAGAAATTAAACTTTTAGAATCGCCCAAAAAGTTAAGGTATCCCAGGGTAGAATGCAGACTGTGATGATGAAAGAATCTCAATTGTCTTATAAATGTATGAGAAAACTTCACTGAAGGGAGTGAGAGAACAAAGGGCTGACCTAAGTAACTTTGGGAAAGAATATTTTGACTGGAAACTGCAAGACTGATGTAAAAATACAATGTCCATAAACACTGCACCGTACTTGGTAAAGATGAATTTATCATGGGGGTGCAGGGTAACAAGTCTGAAACTGCCATACATGTGTTGCAATTGAACACATAAGTAAATAGATGACAGGGGCCACTTTTCTCACTGTTGGAGAAGGAGGATGACTAGAATGATCCATGTGGTAAGGAATTAGAGGGAGACATCATATGAACTCATATTTAGTTTAATATAGACACAGCTGGATAGATGCAATTATAAATAGGTATGTATACATGGGAAATATATGTCTCCTAGCTCTGTCTTCTGAGAGGGACTAGAAACAGTGGCACCCAGTAGCAACTAGCACACCGAGAGCTCAGATCTTGGTTTCTAATACCTTTCTCTAAAAAAAGAATTCCTGGCCAGACACGGTGGCTCATGCCTGTAATCCCAGCACTTGGGAGGCTGAGGTGGGAGAATCATAAGGTCAGGAGTTCAAGACCAGCCTGGCTAACATGGTGAAACCCTTTCTCTACTAAAAATACAAAAATTAGTCAGGCGTGGTGGCAGGCACCTGTAATCCTAGCTACTCAGGAAGCTGAGGTGGGAGAATTGCTTGAATCCAGGAGGCGAAAGTTGTAGAGAGCCAAGATTGCACCACTGCACTCCAGCCTGGGAGACAAGAGTAAAACTCCATCTCAAAAATAAAATAAAATAAGTAAAAAATAAAAATAAATATAAAAAGAATTCCTGAGACACTTAAAGAAATGCCTGATTCTAGGGCTGGAGTAGGGAAAATGCAAGATGAGCCTGAAAAATCTTGTAGTGCCAGAAAGTAAAGAAGTGCTTAAAAAAACAAAATGATGAGGATATCTCAAAAGGACACAGGAGCCAAACAGAACAAGCTCCCAATGTCCACAGCTGCAACAATTCAAACAATAAAATAAACAACATAGTACTGGGATTATAATCCAAAGTGTAAAATAAATATCCATGAGTACATACTGATATAAATGATTGAATAATAAATAAATGGGAGAGAAGAGACAAATCTCCCTAAGAGAAGAATCCCAAATAACTTCTGTAGATATTCCCCCTGAGATGAAGCTCAGCCCTCTCCCAGTTGAACTGGGTTGTGCTTAGAGACTTGCTTCCAAGGGTAGCACTGAGAAAGAGCTGGGTGTGGAGGGAGGGACAGGGAGTAACTTTATAGTGAAAGCACCTAGAAAACACTACCTCTGCCAGGTGATCAAGGTTAAAATCACCAGTGATAAGTCATGTTGATAGTAAGTACCCTTGATGTATTATGATGAGAATGGCACATCACTCCTGTGGCCTTTCTCCCCAAACGCCATAACCCCAGTTTAATCAGGAGAAAAACATCAGATAAATCCATATTGAGGAACAGCCCACAGAACACCTGACCTGTACTTCTCAAAACTAAACATCATCAAATACAAGGAAAATCTGAGAAACTGTCACAGACCAGAGGAGGCTAAGAAGACATGATATCTAAATGAAATATGGTATCCTGGGTGGGATCCTCTAACAGATAGAAGTCACTAGGAAAAACCAGTAAAATTGGAATAAAATAAGGAGTTTGATAGTAATGTGCCAATCTTGCCTTTTTAGTTGTGACAAATGTGTAATAGTTCTGAACATTTAAGGTGAAGTGTGTATAGGAATTCTCTTTACTATCTGTGCATCTTTTCTGTAAATCTAAAACTATTCTAAAATTAAAATTTTATTTACATTGAGAACAATTGCTGTGAGATGTCATGTTAGGTTTCTGCAGCTGTTATAGCAAATTACCATAAACTTAGTCATTTAAAACAACAGAAATGTATCCTCTTACAGTTCTGAAGGCAAGAAGTCTGAAATCAGTGGCAATGGTGTCAGTTTGATAAGGTGCCAGCAGGGCCACTTCCCTCCAGAGGCTCTAGGGGGGAATCTGTTTCCTTAACTTGTCCAGCTTCTAGAGCTACTTTCCTTGGCTCATGGGCCCTTCCTCCATCTCCACAGGTAGCAGCATCTTCAAATCTTTCTCTCTGCTTCCACCATCACATCATCTTCTGCCCTCTGTGTCTCGTAGAATCTCTCTCTGCTTCCCTCTTATGAACATGTAATGGCATTCAGAGCCTGTCCATATCATCCAGGGTAAGCTCCCATCTCAAGATCCTCAGCATAATCACATCTGCAGAGCTCCCTCAACCTTTTTTGCCATGTAAGCTAACATCCACAGGTTGTAGAGACTAGGATGTAGATATCTTTTGGGGGGCCACTTTTCAGCCTACCACAGATGCTAGGCAAGTTCTTCACTCTCTCTGAGACTCAGGTTCCTCATCTGGAAGTGATATATGCAAATGTGAAATAAATTAGGAGGGCTGATCTGCCACTGGACTGGTAGAAGGGGAAGGCAGGAGCCTGAAGAGCCCCTTGTCTTGGGCAAATGAGACCTGACACTACTCTCTTCCCCATGTGTTCCTCCCATCCACATTGGCCATGTCCTCATGGTAGTATAAATAAAGAAATGTGGGGTTAGGGATCCTAAGACCTGAGTTCAAGTCCCAGTCCTGTCAGCAACTTGCAGCATGTCCTCGGGTAAGTCACTTTCTGTATCTGGAGTATATAGTGATTCTACAAAACATATATGTTAATTCTGCCCTGGAAAAGGGCTGGAGAGGGACTACTGAGATCCCTCTTGCCCTGAGAGGTCATAATTATGGGATGTTTATATTCCTGGCGTCTTTCTTTTGACTAAAGGATCTAGGTCCCTCCTAGTAACTAGAGCCCAGTGGAAGCAGCAATGCTTAGTAATGGTAGTAATGGCAAAGATTTAGGCACTGTGGCTTGTGGGACGGTAAAGAGGGGAGGGAAGAGCCTCCTGTTTCTTACTCGCTTCTACCAAGGCCCCATTAGTCTAGACTAAGGGTGAGCAAGCTATAGCCTCTGTTTGAATGACCTGTGGGCTAAGAACGGTTTTTACAGATGAACATTTGAAATCAATTTAATGATAGGAAACACGAACTTTGAGCCCCAGTGAACTAAAATGTTATCTTCCAAAAAAGAACTTCATTATTCTTATTACAAGACCTATGTTACAAAAAATTATACTCAATTATTTACTTTGGGTTTACAGTTAAAATTTTGTAGCCAGGTGTGATGTCATGCACCTTAGTCCCAGCTATTCTGGAGACTGAGGCAGGAGGATCGCTTGAGCCCAGGAGCTCTGGGCTGTAGTGTGCTATACCAATTGTGTGTTCACACTCAGTTCAGCATCATTATGGTGACTTCCTGGGAGCAAGGGACCACCAGGTTGCCTAAGGAGGGGTAAACCAGCCCAGGTCAGAAATGGAGCAGGTTAAAACTCCTGTGCTGATTGGTAGTGGGGTCGCACCTGTGAATAGCCACTGCACTCCAGCCTGGGCAACTTCATGAGACCCCATCTCTTTAAAAAAACAAAAACAAAAACAGGCCGGGCATGGTGGCTCATGCCTGTAATTCTAGCACTTTGGGAGGCCTAGGTGGGCAGATTGCCTGAGCTCAGGAGTTAAAGACCAGCCTGGGCAACACGGTGAAATCCTGCCTCTACTAAAATTTAAAAAAAAATTAGCTGGGCGTGGCGGTGGGTGCCTGTAGTCCCATCTACTTGGGACACTGAGGCAGGAGAATTGCTGGAACCCAGGAGGTGGAGGTTGCAGTGAGCCGAGATCGCACCACTGCACTCCAGCCTGGGCAACAGAGTGAGATTCCATCTCTAAAAACAACAACAACAACAACAACAAATATCTTGTAGAAACACATTTCATCGCTTGTTATATGAATACCTGCATAATATCCTGGACTTTGCCTTTCTGCCTGCAAGCCTCTGTCAGCCCTCAATTAATGAGTTGTCTTATCTTCCACCTCAAATCTATCTTAAGCTATCCACCCTCCACTTTGCAGCCAGAAGGATCTTTCTAATGTAAGTCTGACCATACCATTCACCTGATTCAAACTTCCCAGTGGTCTATCTGTCCAGCTCCTTGGCTGGCATACAGCCCGCACAGTCTGGTTTCTGTCTTCCTTCCCAGCCACTCTCTACCCTCCAGCCATATTGAACTTCCAGTTCTCTAGGGCACCTTGCTTCCCCCAGGACCAGCATTTTACACAAGCTGTTCCCTCTGCCTAAGATGCTGTTCACTACTCAAATTCAATTCCTCCTTAGTCTTTTAAGTCATTTTAGACATTAACTCCACCAAAAAGCCATCCCTGATCCAACCTCCCTCCAGGCTGTGAGGTGCCTCCTCTTGGCTTCCGCAATTCCCTGCTTCCTTCCAGCCTAGCATTGATCACACTTTTGTTTTTCAGTGGTGTTTTTTTTTTTTTTTTTAGATGGAGTTTCGCTCTTGTTGCCCAGGCTGGAGTGCAATGGCGCAATCTTGGCTCACTGCAACCTCTGCCTCCTGGGTTCAAGGGATTCTCCTGCCTTAGCCTCCTGAGTAGCTAGGATTATAGGCATGCACCACCATACCCAGCTAATTTTTGTATTTTTAGTAGAGACTGGGTTTCTCCATGTTGATCAGGCTGGTCTCGAACTCCCAACCTCAGGTGATCTGTCTGTCTTGGCCTCCAGAAGTGCTGGGATTACAGGCGTGAGCCACTGCACCCGGCCTTGATCACACTTTTAAAATGTCTATGGCCTACACCAGACTGGGAGCCCCTCAGAGCAGAGGTTGGTCTGATTAAGCACTGATGTCCCCACTTCTCAGTGGCAAGGCTCCTGCTAGCTCCTACACTTTGGGGAGGGAGCAGGAGCTGGGTGTCAGGAGGCCCAGTCCATTTCCTTCCCTGGACTGCAGTCCCTCATCTGTATGTTGGAGACTGAGGGCCCCTGGCTGATCCTCTAAGGACTGGGAGTGAAATTTTGGGGGTAGGGACAGCAGCTGACCTCCAAGACACCCTTATCAGTCCTCTATAGGCAACCCCAGACGGACATGAGACTGGGCTGTGCAACAGGCGTGATCTGGGCCATTCCAGCCAAAGGTCAATCCTCAGTAGCCAGCTGCAACTGGCCTGGCCCTGGGCCCTACTTGCCCATCCCCCTACCGTCTCCTCCCCTGAGAGCCAGGAATAAAAGGGATCTTGGCTGGCCACACTTCTGGCGTGGGCTCAGGAACACGTGTGCAGACATGTATGTATGTCTATGGCTATGCTTCTGCAAGAACATCTATATGTGTGTATGGGCTTGTGTGAAAGCATGTACACACCTGTGCATGAGTCTGTGGGTGCATGTCTGTGCACTAGCATGTGTGCTTCACAAGCATAGTCACGCAAGTATGCTCCTGTGCCCCCATGTGTCTGAGGGTGCAAGACTCTGGGTGTGACTCTGTGCATGTTTATCAGCAGGCGTTGAGAGGAGAGAGGAGAGTCAGCCCCCTTCAGCCCTGCCAAACGATGACATCTGGTTCTTTGGGATTCCCCTGACCCTGTTCCCTGCCCTCACACTCCAATGCTCTCGTTTGAGGGGCCAGATTCTGGCATCCAGTCTAGAGGGACCCTCACCTCTTCTCTCATCAATCCTGTGCTTTGCAGGGAGATCTAGAATCCTGAAATAATCAGGATGAATCTAAGGGTGGTGAAGGGGACACTGGAATGCCCCACCAGATTCCCTTTTATCATTCTGTGTACACCATTCTATTGGCTTTTCTTGCTAACCACCTGCCTATGCAACTCTCCTGGCTTGCCTTGTACTACCGAAGACACTTTTCCCTATGTGCAGAGAGTATGGTAAATGTCTGGGAGTTACATTACCCCATTCTCCCCTCAGGTGACCCTCAGACTAAATGGCGAAAGGCACCTGCCTTGCTTTCCACTGGAACAAACTCTGGAGCAAAAGCCATCCCCTGGAGCTCCCCTGAGGGATCAGGCTGAGGTTGCACTGAACTTGAGTCACAAGCTTGCTTTGCTTTTCCCCTCCCCTGCCCTGATTCCCCAACCCCCTCTTTAGTTTCTCTCGTGGGCATTTCCTTCACAAACCAATAATCTCAGGGTTGGCTTCCAGGGAACCAACCTAAGACAGAGAGGATGAGCCTAGAAACCATGAACCCTGACTATCTCCCTGCACCACCAACGTACAAAGAGGACACTGAGGCTCAGAGAGGGGGTGTCTATCTACAGAGGCCCCCTCTTTGCATGCTGTACTTGCCTCCTTCATCTCCATCACCTACCTTACCACCACCTCCCCTGCAGGCCCCAGGTCCTCTCTGAAATGCCCTCAATATCCTTGGGTTAGAAAAGTTTCTTGAGCCTGCTTAGATCTCCCAATCCTGGGGGTGCCCGCTCATCTCTCCTTGGAGAGTGAAGCACTCAGGATTGAAAAGCAAAACAGAAAAAAAAAAGAGAGAGAGAGAAATAGAGAGAGAGATCTGAAGATGGGGATCAGCAAGGCAAGAATTCCTCTGCCAATGCCCCCTCACTGTCTCCAAGGGGGGACAACTGGGAGGCAAATGGGGTTCGGGTGGTAAGATCTCACTTCTCTTTCTCAGATGAGGCCGTGTATGGTAGAAAAGGTACTGTATTGGAGATTGGGAGACCTGGATTCCAACTTCAACTCTCTCATCACCTGACTGAATAAAGAAGCCCAACTTCAACTCTCTCCTCAACTGACTAAATAACTTTAAAGAAGTCAACCCTTCAGAGTTGAAACTTCAAGAGTTTCAAGAGTCAAAATATCTGAGTCAAAGCTCTGAAGAACTCCATTTCCCCATCTGTGGAACGGCAGCAGTGGAAGACAGAGAAGTGTAGCATTTCAGCGACAAGATTCCAGCCTCAAATTCACTTCCTAGGCAATCTCTTCGAATACACAAATCAGTTACTAGCCCCATCTGTGCCTTAGTTTCCTCATTTGTCGATGGAGATGATTGCAGGACTGACCTCACGGGTTGTTCTGAGGATTAAATGGGATACTGCACGTAGAGCCCTTTGCAGGTCCCCAGCACACAGCGAGCTTTAGATAGCTGGTGGCTATTTTTGCCCTTGTTATGTATCATTCCAGAGTTGTATAACTGGCTTGGTCCTGTGGCCTCACCAACTTGACACAACTCCTAGGCTCTGTATCAAAGGACATTGCACAGAGGAGACAATGTCTGGTGGAAGGAGAGTTTAAAGGGCTTCCCTTCTCCCAGTCTCACCTGCCCTGCCTCTAATGCCTTTCCTGGCTTCAGAAAGAGGAAACAGATTCCCCAGGGGCTCCGGGCACACAGCTGGGCTCCCAGGTGAGCTGATCCGTGTGGGATGAGTGTGCGGCTCTAACCTGATGTGGTCTGCTGAATAGCACAGTCAAATCCTATTTCCTTTCCATTTAGTGAAGTGGATCGAAATAATGCAGGCGTAACCTTTTCCCACTTTCCGTGCCAGCATTCATTCAGAGAGGGTTTTGTCATTGTTACTGATGTTGCTGTTTTTGTTTTATTGTGATTCTTCAGGTTAGAATGTATTTATTTTGTAGTATTTCTTTAAAATTTTTGAAATTATGGTGAAATATAAGGAACATAAAATTTACCATTGGAACCATTTTTAAGTGTACAGTTCAATGGTGTTAAGCACGTTCACATTGTTGGGTAACCATCACCACCACCCATCTCCAGAAAGCTCTTCATCTTGTAAAAGCAAAACTCCATTAAACAGTAACTCCCCACCCCTTTCAATCCCCTTGTCTTTGCTTTTTTTTGTTGTTGATCTGTGCAAGAATTGGGTTTTGTAGTATGATCTCTTTAATAAATATTCACCAATGGTTCCTGACCTGGCACTCTACTAGGCCTGGAATGCAGGGGGTACTTGAGGCTTATCATCAGCTCTGAAGGTTTAGGATTCAATAAGACTGAAAAAATGGAGGAAATTTTTTTTCCAAGTATTCATTCAACAAAATGTTCCTGACCTTATCAGGCACATGGGACCAGGAAATAGCAATGGGAGATAAACCCTTTCCCCACCCTGGAGGTACTCATGTCCAATGCCACAGTAAAGGAGGTGGTGTGACCAGTGGCTATCTGGGCTTCCCCTCCCCATGCCTCTCTGCTTAGCAAAATCCTAGCCCCACACTAGCAGAGGGAAGCACAAACCGCTATGGAAATGCAGGGGTGCAAACAACCCATTGCGTACCCATAGGTGTGCAGGAACTATGGAAGGCTGAGGGTGGAGAAGAGCTGAGAAAGGACTGATCAAAATTTAACTTGTATGTTTGAAAGGACACTATCGAGAAATGTTAAAGATAACCCACAGAATGGAATAAAATATTTGCAAAGCATATATCTGATAAGGAACTGGTATCTACAATACATTAAGAAATCTTGCAACTCAAAAATAAAAAGACAACCTAATTAAAAAATGGACAAAGGATCTGACTAGACTCTTCTCCAAAGAAGATACATAAATGCCCAATAAACACATGAAAAAAATGCTAAACATTGGCCAGGCACAGTGGCTCACATCTGTAATCCCAGCACTCTGGGAGACTGAGGTAGGAAGATCACATGAGGCCAGGAGTTTGAGACCACTCTGAGCAACAAAGTGAGACCCGCATCCCTACACACACAAAAAAAGAAAAAAATTAGCCCAGGGATGGTAGTGCATACCTGTAGTCCCAGCTACCCAGGAGGCTGAGGTGGGAGGATCACTTGAGCCCAGGAAGTCAAGGCTGCAGTGAGCCATGATTATCTCACTGTACTACTTCCTGGATGACAGTGAGACCCTGTCTTTAAAAAAACAAAAAAAAAATTGCCCGATGTCATTAGTCCTCAGAGAAATATGAATCAAAACTACAGTGAGACACCACTTCATACCCACTAGGATGGCTACAATAAAAAGTCAGGTAATAACAAGTGTTGTCGAGGATGTGGAGAAATTAGAACCCTCAAACACTACTGGTGGGAATGTAAAATGGTGCAAGCAATTTGAAAAATAGTCTGGAAGTTCTTCAAAAATTTAAGCATGTGGCCGGGCACGGTGGCTCACGCCTGTAATCCCAGCACTTTGGGAGGCCGAGGCGGGTGGATCACGAGGTCAGGAGATTGAGACCACCCTGGCTAACATGGTGAAACCCCAACTCTACTAAAAACACACAAAAAAATTAGCCGGGCATGGTGGCAGGCGCCTGTAGTCCCAGCTACTCGGGAGGCTGAGGCAGGAGAATGGCGTGAACCCAGGAGGCAGAGCTTGCAGTGAGCCGAGATCGCGCCACTGTACTCCAGCCTGGGCAACAGAGTGAGACTCCATCTCAAAAAAATAAAAAATAAATAAAAAATAAAAAATTTAAGCATGAAATTACCATTGGATTCAGCAATTTCACACCTAGGTTTATCCCCAGAGAAATGAAACATATTCACACAAAACTTTGTACACACATGTTCATAGCAGCATTATTCATAACAGCCAAAAGGAGGAAACCACCCATATGTCCATCAATTGATGAACAGATAAACAAAAGGCGTTAGGTTGGTGCGAAAGTCATTGAGGTTTTTGCCAATAGCATCCCTACAATGGACTATTATTTGATCGTAAAAAGTAATGAAATACTGGCCGGGCGCGGTGGCTCATGCCTGTAATCCCAGCACTTTGGGAGGCCGAGGCGGGTGGATCACAAGGTCAAGAGATGGAGACCGGAGGAGCCAAGATGGCCGAATAGGAACAGCTCCGGTCTACAGCTCCCAGCATGAGCGACACAGAAGACGGGTGATTTCTGCATTTCCATCTGAGGTACCGGGTTCATCTCACTAGGGAGTGCCAGACAGTGGGCGCAGGTCAGTGAGTGCGCGCACTGTGCGCGAGCCGAAGCAGGGCGAGGCATTGCCTCACTTGGGAAGCGCAAGGGGTCAGGGAGTTCCCTTTCCGAGTCAAAGAAAGGGGTGACGGATGCACCTGGAAAATCAGGTCACTCCCTCCCGAATATTGTGCTTTTCCGACCGGCTTAAAAAACGGCGCACCACGAGATTATATCCTGCACCTGGCTCGGAGGGTCCTACGCCCACGGAGTCTCACAGATTGCTAGCACAGCAGTCTGAGATCAAACTGCAAGGCGGCAGCGAGGCTGGGGGAGGGGCGCCCGCCATTGCCCTGGCTTGCTTAGGTAAACAAAGCAGCCGGGAAGCTCGAACTGGGTGGAGCCCACCACAGCTCAAGGAAGCCTGCCTGCCTCTGTAGGCTCCACCTCTGGGGGCAGGGCACAGACAAACAAAAAGACAGCAGTAACCTCTGCAGACTTAAATGTCCCTGTCTGACAGCTTTGAAGAGAGCAGTGGTTCTCCCAGCACGCAGCTGGAGATCTGAGAACGGGCAGACTGCCTCCTCAAGTGGGTCCCTGACCCCTGACCCCCGAGCAGCCTAACTGGGAGGCACCCCCCAGCAGGGGCACACTGACACCTCACACGGCAGGGTATTCCAACAGACCTGCAGCTGAGGGTCCTGTCTGTTAGAAGGAAAACTAACAAACAGAAAGGACATCCACACCAAAAACCCATCTGTACATCACCATCATCAAAGACCAAAAGTAGATAAAACCACAAAGATGGGGAAAAAACAGAACAGAAAAACTGGAAACTCTAAAACGCAGAGCGCCTCTCCTCCTCCAAAGGAACGCAGTTCCTCACCAGCAACGGAACAAAGCCGGATGGAGAATGACTTTGACGAGCTGAGAGAAGAAGGCTTCAGACGATCAAATTACTCTGAGCTACGGGAGGACATTCAAACCAAAGGCAAAGAAGTTGAAAACTTTGAAAAAAATTTAGAAGAATGTATAACTAGAATAACCAATACAGAGAAGTGCTTAAAGGAGCTGATGGAGCTGAAAACCAAGGCTCGAGAACTACGTGAAGAATGCAGAAGCCTCAGGAGCCGATGCGATCAACTGGAAGAAAGGGTATCAGCAATGGAAGATGAAATGAATGAAATGAAGCGAGAAGGGAAGTTTAGAGAAAAAAGAATAAAAAGAAATGAGCAAAGCCTCCAAGAAGTATGGGACTATGTGAAAAGACCAAATCTACGTCTCATTGGTGTACCTGAAAGTGATGGGGAGAATGGAACCAAGTTGGAAAACACTCTGCAGGATATTATCCAGGAGAACTTCCCCAATCTAGCAAGGCAGGCCAACGTTCAGATTCAGGAAATACAGAGAACGCCACAAAGATACTCCTTGAGAAGAGCAACTCCAAGACACATAATTGTCAGATTCACCAAAGTTGAAATGAAGGAAAAAATGTTAAGGGCAGCCAGAGAGAAAGGTCGGGTTACCCTCAAAGGGAAGCCCATCAGACTAACAGTGGATCTCTCGGCAGAAACCCTACAAGCCAGAAGAGAGTGGGGGCCAATGTTCAACATTCTTAAAGAAAAGAATTTTCAACCCAGAATTTCATATCCAGCCAAACTAAGC
The DNA here is from genome assembly GCF_000001405.40 of Homo sapiens. Taxonomy (NCBI): domain Eukaryota; kingdom Metazoa; phylum Chordata; class Mammalia; order Primates; family Hominidae; genus Homo; species Homo sapiens. The sequence continues at coordinate 75,750,381 of NC_000011.10, forward strand.
TTCATAAGTGAAGGAGAAATAAAATACTTTACAGACAAGCAAATGCTGAGAGATTTTGTCACCACCAGGCCTGCCCTAAAAGAGCTTCTGAAGGAAGTGCTAAACATGGAAAGCAACAACCGGTACCAGCCGCTGCAAAATCATGCCCAAATGTAAAGACCATCGAGAATAGGAAGAAACTGCATCAACTAACGAGCAAAATCACCAGCTAACATCATAATGACAGGATCAAATTCACACATAACAATATTAACTTTAAATGTAAATGGACTTAATGCTCCAATTAAAAGGCACAGACTGGCAAATTGGATAAAGAGTCAAGACCCATCAGTGTGCTGTATTCAGGAAACCCATCTCACGTGCAGAGACACACATAGGCTCAAAATAAAAGGATGGAGGAAGATCTACCAAGCAAATGGAAAACAAAAAAAGGCAGGGGTTGCAATCCTAGTCTCTGATAAAACAGACTTTAAACCAACAAAGATCAAAAGAGACAAAGAAGGCCATTACATAATGGTAAAGGGATCAATTCAACATGAAGAGCTAACTATCCTAAATATATATGCACCCAATACAGGAGCACCCAGATTCATAAAGCAAGTCCTGAGTGACCTACAAAGAGACTTAGACTCCCACACATTAATAATGGGAGACTTTAACACCCCACTGTCAACATTAGACAGATCAACGAGACAGAAAGTCAACAAGGATACGCAGGAATTGAACTCAGCTCTGCACCAAGCGGACCTAATTGACATCTACAGAACTCTCCATCCCAAATCAACAGAATATACATTTTTTTCAGCACCACACCACACCTATTCCAAAATTGACCACATACTTGGAAGTAAAGCTCTCCTCAGCAAATGTAAAAGAACAGACATTATAACAAACTATCTCTCAGACCACAGTGCAATCAAACTAGAACTCAGGATTAAGAATCTCACTCAAAACCGCTCAACTACATGGAAACTGAACAACCTGCTCCTGAATGACTACTGGGTACATAACGAAATGAAGGCAGAAATAAAGATGTTCTTTGAAACCAACGAGAACAAAGACACAACATACCAGAATCTCTGGGATGCATTCAAAGCAGTGTGTAGAGGGAAATTTATAGCACTAAATGCCCACAAGAGAAAGCAGGAAAGATCCAAAATTGACACCCTAACATCACAATTAAAAGAACTAGAAAAGCAAGAGCAAACACATTCAAAAGCTAGCAGAAGGCAAGAAATAACTAAAATCAGAGCAGAACTGAAGGAAATAGAGACACAAAAAACCCTTCAAAAAATTAATGAATCCAGGAGCTAGTTTTTTGAAAGGATCAACAAAATAGATAGACCGCTAGCAAGACTAATAAAGAAAAAAAGAGAGAAGAATCAAATAGACACAATAAAAAATGATAAAGGGGATATCACCACCGATCCCACAGAAATACAAACTACCATCAGAGAATACTACAAACACCTCTACGCAAATAAACTAGAAAATCTAGAAGAAATGGATAAATTCCTCGACACATACAATCTCCCAAGACTAAACCAGGAAGAAGTTGAATCTCTGAATAGACCAATAACAGGAGCTGAAATTGTGGCGATAATCAATAGTTTACCAACCAAAAAGAGTCCAGGACCAGATGGATTCACAGCCGAATTCTATCAGAGGTACAAGGAGGAACTGGTACCATTCCTTCTGAAACTATTCCAATCAATAGAAAAAGAGGGAATCCTCCCTAACTCATTTTATGAGGCCAGCATCATTCTGATACCAAAGCCGGGCAGAGACACAACCAAAAAAGAGAATTTTAGACCAATATCCTTGATGAATATTGATGCAAAAATCCCCAATAAAATACTGGCAAAACGAATCCAGCAGCACATCAAAAAGCTTATCCACCATGATCAAGTGGGCTTCATCCCTGGGATGCAAGGCTGGTTCAATATACGCAAATCAATAAATGTAATCCAGCATATAAACAGAGCCAAGGACAAAAACCACATGATTATCTCAATAGATGCAGAAAAAGCCTTTGACAAAATTCAACAACCCTTCATGCTAAAAACTCTCAATAAATTAGGTATTGATGGGACGTATTTCAAAATAATAAGAGCTATCTATGACAAACCCACAGCCAATATCATACTGAATGGGCAAAAACTGGAAGCATTCCCTTTTAAAACTGGCACAAGACAGGGATGCCCTCTCTCACCACTCCTATTCAACATAGTGTTGGAAGTTCTGGCCAGGGCAATTAGGCAGGAGAAGGAAATAAAGGGTATTCAAGTAGGAAAAGAGGAAGTTAAATTGTCCCTGTTTGCAGACGACATGATTGTATATCTAGAAAACCCCATCGTCTCAGCCCCAAATCTCCTTAAGCTGATAAGCAACTTCAGCAAAATCTCAGGATACAAAATCAATGTACAAAAATCACAAGCATTCTTATACAACAATAACAGACAAACAGAGAGCCAAATCATGAGTGAACTCCCATTCACAATTGCTTCAAAGAGAATAAAATACCTAGGATTCCAACTTACAAGGGATGTGAAGGACCTCTTCAAGGAGAACTACAAACCACTGCTCAAGGAAATAAAAGAGGATACAAACAAATGGAAGAACATTCCATGCTCATGGGTAGGAAGAATCAATATCATGAAAATGGCCATACTGCCCAAGGTAATTTACAGATTCAATGCCATCCCCATCAAGCTACCAATGACTTTCTTCACAGAATTGGAAAAAACTACTTTAAAGTTCATATGGAACCAAAAAAGACCCCGCATCGCCAAGTCAGTCCTAAGCCAAAAGAACAAAGCTGGAGGCATCACACTACCTGACTTCAAACTATACTACAAGGCTACAGTAACCAAAACAGCATGTTACCGGTACCAAAACAGAGATATAGATCAATGGAATAGAACAGAGCCCTCAGAAATAACGCCGCATATCTACAACTATCTGACTTTGACAAACCTGAGAAAAACAAGCAATGGGGAAAGGATTCCCTATTTAATAAATGGTGCTGGGAAAACTGGCTAGCCATATGTAGAAAGCTGAAACTGGATCCTTTCCTTACACCATATACAAAAATCAATTCAAGATGGATTAAAGACTTAAACGTTAGACCTAAAACTATAAAAACCCTAGAAGAAAACCTAGGCATTACCATTCAGGACATAGGCATGGGCAAGGACTTCCTGTCTAAAACACCAAAAGCAATGGCAACAAAAGACAAAATTGACAAATGGGATCTAATTAAACTAAAGAGCTTCTGCACAGCAAAAGAAACTACCATCAGAGTGAACAGGCAACCTACAAAATGGGAGAAAATTTTCGCAACCTACTCATCTGACAAAGGGCTAATATCCAGAATCTACAATGAACTCAAACAAATTTACAAGAAAAAACCAAACAACCCCATCAAAAAGTGGGCGAAGGACATGAACAGACACTTCTCAAAAGAAGACATTTATGCAGCCAAAAAACACATGAAAAAATGCTCATCATCACTGGCCATCAGAGAAATGCAAATCAAAACCACAATGAGATACCATCTCACACCAGTTAGAATGGCAATCATTAAAAAGTCAGGAAACAACAGGTGCTGGAGAGGATGTGGAGAAATAGGAACACTTTTACACTGTTGGTGGGACTGTAAACTAGTTCAACCATTGTGGAAGACAGTGTGGCGATTCCTCAGGGATCTAGAAGTAGAAATACCATTTGACCCAGCCATCCCATTACTGGGTATATACCCAAAGGACTATAAATCATGCTGCTATAAAGACACATGCACATGTATGTTTATTGCGGCATTATTCACAATAGCAAAGACTTGGAACCAACCCAAATGTCCAACAATGATAGACTGGATTAAGAAAATGTGGCACATATACACCATGGAATACTATGCAGCCATAAAAAATGATGAGTTCATGTCCTTTGTAGGGACATGGATGAAATTGGAAATCATCATTCTCAGTAAACTATCGCAAGAACAAAAAACCAAACACTGCATATTCTCACTCATAGGTGGGAACTGAACAATGAGATCACATGGACACAGGAAGGGGAATATCACACTCTGGGGACTGTGGTGGGGTGGTGGGGGGAGGGGGGAGGGGTAGCATTGGGAGATATACCTAATGCTAGATGACGAGTTAGTGGGTGCAGTGCACCAGTATGGCACATGTATACATATGTAACTAACCTGCACAATGTGCACATGTACCCTAAAACTTAAAGTATAATTTAAAAAAAAAAAAAAAAGAGATGGAGACCATCCTGGCTAACACAGTGAAACCCCGTCTCTACTAAAAATACAAAAAAATTAGCCGGGCATGGTGGCGGGCACCTGTAGTCCCAGCTACTCGGGAGGCTGAGGCAGGAGAATGGCATGAACCCAGGAGGCAGAGCTTGCAGTGAGCCGAGTTTGTGCCACTGCACTCCAGCCTGGGCAACAGAGCGAGACTCCGTCTCAAAAAAAAAAAAAAAAATTAATGAAGTACTGATACAGGGTACAACAAGGATGAAGCTTGAAAACATGCTAAGAGAGAAATCAGAAAGAAAAGATCACATTTCATGATTCAGTTTAACCATTTCAAAGTGTATAATTCAGTGGCATTAATTACATTTACAATGTTGCACAAATAATACCATCTCATTCCAGAATTTTTTTTAATCCCAACCATAAACCTCATACCTATTCTCCCTTCTTTCCAGGCCTTGGCAACTACAGAGTTTTTGGTGTGTTTTTGTTTTGCTTTTTTGAGATGATGAAATGTTTTAAAATTGATTGTGGTGACAGTTGCACAACTCTGTAAACATACTAAAATCCATTGAATTGTGTACTTTAAATTGGTGAATTGTGTGGTATATGCATTAAATCTCAATAAAGCTGTTACAAAAAAAAGAAAGAAAGAAACATTGAGAAGAATCCTCTGACATTCCAGTCTCTCCCCTCAGCACAAGTTAGCAGGTGTCAACCACTAGAAAAATTTGCAAACATGGCAACAGCAAAACCCAAACCTAGCTCAACTCTGACTAGATCAGCTCAAAAACCACAAATATCAATATACATGATATTTGAAATTCCATCAAAAAACAGGTGATACTCACACACACAAAAATATCCATTATCAAGAAATAAAACACACAGAAGAACCAGACTGAAAGAAAAAGTGAAACCATAAGATGTTGGGGCCGGGCGCAGTGGCTCATGCCTGTAATCCTAGCACTTTGGTGGATCACCTGAGGTCATGAGTTCGAGACCAGCCTGAACAACATGGTGAAACCCCGACTCTACTAAAAATACAAAATTAGCTGGGTATGGTGGCGTGTGCCTGTAATCCCAGCTACTTGGGAGGCTGAGGCAGGAGAAAAGCTTGAACCCACGAGGTGGAGGTTGCAGTGAGCCGAGATCGCGCCATTGCCCTCCAGCTTGGGTAACAAGAGCAAAACTCCGTCTCAAAAAAAAAAAGATGTTAGAAGTGTAAGACAGAGGTTTTAAAATAACTATGATTAGTAAGTGAAAGGATTCAGTGGAAAAGACAGACAACCTGAATGAACAGATGGAGAATTTTAGCAGAGAGATGAAAACTATATTTTAAAAAATGAGTCAAATGAAGTGCTAGAAATAAAAAAACAACATATCAAAGATCAAGTCGTCCTTTGATGTGCTCAGCAACACAGAGATAAAAAAGTGTGTGTGTTGGACACAGGGAGGGGAACAACGCACACCAGGGCCTGTTAGGGGTTGGGGATGAGGGGAGGGAAGTTAGAGGACAGGTCAATAGGTGCAGCAAACCACCATGGCACACATGTACCCATGTAACAAACGTGCACATTCTGCACGTGTATCCCATTTTTTGTTTTTAGAATAAATTTAAAAAAAAGCAAAAAGAAAAGAGTATGTATGAGTTGGGGGGGCATGGCAGGAAACAGAGCATCTAAGACCTGTACAACAATATCAGTCTAAATATGTGTCTAATTGGAGTTCTAGAAGGAAAAAGAGAGAAGAAAAAAGAGAGAAAGTTCAAAGAGATGATGGCCGAGAATTTTCCAAATTTAATAAAAGACAACAAATCACAGATCCAAGAATTCCAGAGAGCCCCAAGCAGGATAAATACAAAATATACACCCACCTAGATATAAAAACCACCAAACAACAAAATCAGGAGTAAATATTAAAGATAACCAGAGAAAAAATGAAATATTACATACAAAAGAACAAAGATAATATTTACTGCAGATTCTTGTCAAGAATTTTTGCAAGGCAGAACACAATGGAGTGACATCTTCACTAAAGGGAAAAAGCTGTCATCTCAGATTTCTATTCCCAGGGAAAATGTCATTCCAAAATGAAGATAAAATAAAGACTTTTAAGACAAAGCTTAAGAGAATTAATTGCCAGCTGACCCACACAACCAGAAATGTTAAAGAAAATTCTTTAGGTGTAATACCAGATGGAAATTCAGATTTACACAAAGAGATAAAGAGTGCTGGGAACTATAAAAGAAAACAAAGGTCTGGTGTGGTGGCTCACACCTGTAATACTAGCACTGCCGAGGCGGGCAGATCCTCTGAGGTCAGGAGACTGAGACAAGCCTGGCCAACAGGGCGAAACCCCGTCTCTACTAAAAATACAAAAAAATTAGCTGGGTTTGGTGGCACATGCCTGTAATCCCAGCTACTTGGGAGGCTGAGGCAGGAGAACTGCTTGAACCCGGGAGGCAGAGGTTGCAGTGAGCCAAGATTGCACCACTGCACTCCAGCATGGGCAGACAGAGCGAGACTCCCTCTCAAAAAAAGAAAGAAAGAAAGAAAGAAAGAAAGAAAGAAAGAAAGAAAGAAAGAAAGAAAGAAAGAAAGAAAGAGAAAAAATAAAAATAATAAAAAAGGATTTGAATCAATAATCTAAACTTAAGAAAAAGGGCAAAATATAGCCAAAGCAAATGGAAAGTATAAAGATAAAAGCAGAAGTAAATGAAATTGAAAACATACATAGAGAAAATCACTGAAACCAAAGGGTTTTAATGAAATAAATAAAATGGATAAATCTCTAGTCAGATGGGTCAAGAAAAAAGTAAAGACACAAATTACCAATATCAGGAATGAAAAGGAGATATCACTAAAGCTCCTACAGATATTATAAGAATAACCAGTGACTATTATGAACAACTTTATGCTAATGTATTTGATATCTTATGAAATGTCCTAACGGAGGCCCTCAGAAACAGCCAAGTCGTTTCTTCCACATCTGTACCTGGTCTAATTGTGACGCTTGGGGCAGCCATGAAGGGAAGGGCTACACAGTGTTCAAACTGCTGTGGGGATCAAGCCTTCAGCCCTAAGTGGATGGGGTTAGCCTGGCAGAGGCCACACTGTGCTAACTGATAGGGTTCAAAATCTCAAGTTTATCTCAGGTCTGAGTCTGTTTCTCAACATCAGGTACACAAGAAATGGTGGCCATGGACTTAATTCTGGAGATTGCCCAATGGCAGTGTTGGAAAACTCCCACATTTAGGCTTTTCTTTTCTGTCCAAGCCACGTTGGACAGCATCTGACACAGGGCTCTCTCTCTATCTCTCTCTCTCTCCTCATCACCCCACCACTCCACCCCTTCTTCCATTCAGGCCCAGGTAAATAGAATAAGAACAAGCAAGGGCTTTGATATCGAAATAACCAAGATTCAAGTCCCTGCTCTTCCTCTAACTAGCTACCACTTCTCTAAGCCTCAGTTTACTCATTTATATTTTAATGTTGTGAACTCACACCTCCAAGATTGCTGTAGAGGTTAAATAACAAGATGCAGGTATACTGTTATGAACAAGGTCAAGGCTAAATTGCTATCAGTCTCTGGTCTCTTCCCAACTCCAATGCGGATTACTCCCTCCTCTTAGTTTGACCTTGAACTTCAGAAGCTCCAGGAAGCCAGGGACTGGGTCTGTTTTCTTCTCACCGTTGTATCTCTAATACCTACACAGGTCTTGCAAGGCAAAGAGCATGTATATAATAACTGTGTTAAATGAATGAGTGAATGAATAAATGGATGAATGAATGACAACAGTCATTCTAGGTACCATGAGATTTAATACTGGATGCCACAATGTATTTTCCAAGTTCCCAGAGTGCACATGATTGCAGAGGCAGGAATGGGCAACAAGATGGATAAGATCCAGTCTTTACCCTTGAGGAACCCAATAGTGTTTTCTGGTGACTTCCTTGTGCCAGATCTGCTCAGAATCAGCTTTGTCCCTGCCTACAGTCAGGTGGAGAGGGAGGAATGTAGACAGATACATTACTGGAGGTGGCTCACACCTGTAATCCCAGCATTCTGGGAGGCCAAGGTGGGCAGATAACTTGAGGTCAAGAGTTCGAGACCAGCTTGGCCAACATGGTGAAACCCAATCTGTACTAAAAATACAGAAAAAAAAAAAATGCCAGGTGTCCCAGCTACTCGGGAGGCTGAGACACGAGAATCACTTGAACCCAGGAGGCAGAGGTTGCAGTAAATCGAGACTACACCACTGCACTCCAGCCTGGGCGACAGAGCAAGACTCCATCTCAAATATATGTATATATATATAAAACAAACTGTTTGCTTCCCCAAAATGTGGCTTCTCCATGCTGTGAACTTCTAGCAGGGAAGGACTCTACTCCCAAATTTCCAGCCCAAACACCAGTGTTAAAGTTTTTGTTTGTTTGTTTGTTTGTTTTTGTGCAGCAAGCAGCAGAAGTGTTAAAGTTTAAGTGAAAGTTTTAAAAAGGGGTATGTGTGGTTGTAAAGAAGGCTTCTTGGAGGAAGATGCATCAAGACAGGACAGATGGACAGGGTGTGAAAAAGGGGGAGCTTGGGGAAGGGCTTGAGCTCAAGAGCACAGTGTGGGCAGGGACCCAGAGGTGGAAAAGCACGTTCAGGGGCAGGGCAAGTGACCTGATGGGCCTAGGGAGCTGGACCCACATTAGAGCATGGCGGTGGGAGAGGAGTGGAGGCGGCTGGAGAGAGTGGCAGGAGCAGGATGATGTGAGGCCTTGAATGCCAAGTTAAGGAGCTGGGGCCTCATCCTAAGAACTATGGGGAGCCACGAGAAACAATGGTTGGGTTCTGTGTTCTGAAGCTCATTCTGGGAATCTGGAGACAGGGGACCAGTGAAGAGGATAGTACAGCTGTCTATGCAAGGTGGCATGGCCCAAGGCAGAAGAGAGAAGGAGAGAACTGTTTCCTGGTTGTTGGGCATAGAGGTATCAGTGTGAATGTTTTTGTATGTGTCCATGAGCACAAGTAATCTTTCTCAGAGAGTCAGCCTAAAAAAAAAAAAAAACCCAACCCTATTCAGTTTCATGACCCAGCATACCCAGCAGCCTGGGGGAGGCCAAAGTTACCAAAGAAAGAGGCTGAGAGACATTCAGTTAAAGCCTGACTTTATAGTTCTTCCTCATCAACACCATCCTGCAAATTCACATTCATCTACAGGCTTTCAGGGTGTTTTAATCCCAGTTATCTCACCCAAAATATTTGCTTTTCCGCCTTTCTTTGTGTTTCCTGTATGCCTCATGTCAGCATCCTTGTTCAGGTCACTTACTTAAAAAAAAAAAAAAATCCATAAGGCCGGGCTGAGGTGGAGCCTGGAGTGACCAGGAAACCACTCTAGAATGAACTCCTACCTGAGGCAGCTCCTCCTCCCTAGCAGAGCCCACACTGGCCTGCTGATCACCTCCCTGCTCAGGACTCTGCTGATACCATAGACCTAGTCCTAGGCCAGTTTGGGAATCTAGAGAGGCCATTGAAAAGAAAACTGATATATGGATACCACCCCTCCTCGGTGACTCAATCGTAGCTCCTGACAACTCAGGGTTTTGTTTTTTTGTTTGTTTGTTTTTTCTCTTGAGGGTTACAGAGCATCATTTATAGAATGCAGTTTATACAACTGACCTCAGAATATGGCCAGGATTTTGCAGCTATTATAGAGCATGGTCTCTGGAGCCAGACCATCTCAGCTTAAATCCTGGCTCTGCCACTTCCTAAGCTGTGTGACCTTGGGCAATTTTTTTTAACCTCTTTGTGTCTCAATTTCTCCATCTGAAAAATGGACTCATATAGTATCTACTCCAAAGGGTTGTTGTGAGGCTTAACTAAATCCACCCATGTAAGGAACCTAGAATAGTAACTGGCAGACAGTAAATACTCACTGAAGTTTAACACCTGTTATATTGCCTGTTATAGTTCATGAAAACTGTTGCTTCTCCTTTTGGAAAAATCAGGATGGCACTAGCCCACCTCCAGTCTCCCAACGCTTCTCCAGCTGAACAGCATTTCCTAGAGATTACAGATTCTGTAATCTGCAGGTTCTCTGAGATGCAGTTGGAACAATTTAATACAGCAGAGCAGTCCCATGCTCCACTGTAGTCTCACTGCAAAACAGTTCAGCAGCGGTTCTCAAAATGTGGGCTTCAAACTAGCAGTATCAGCATGTCCTGGGAACTTGTTAGAAATGCACATTCTCAGCCTCACTCCAGAACCTACTGAATCAGAAACTCTGGGGGTGGAACCCAGAAAGCTATATTTTAACCAGCCCTCTGCTAATGTTTGAAAACTGCCACAGCATATTATAGCACAGTGGTTTATTTAGGTAGATATGGCGCAGTTCATTGCCCACTCCTTCTCCACAAAGTGTTCCTGATTCCCCCAGAACCCTCTTTTACTAACAGCTCTAACTTCCTCCCTGTATTACTGTTGTCCATGCTCAAAAGTGCTCAATCCTCCCTGGATTACAGGTTACCTGAGAGCAGTGTTGGGTCTTACACATCTCTGCACTGGGCAGCCCAGGGGCTGCCACAGGGACCTTTGCTTAGGAAAGACATGCTGAGTCAAGCGTGCAACATTTCCAGTTTCCTCTGACTAAGGCTACTATTACTGAGCCTCTGCTCCTTCCAGGACCCTTGCTCATACTGCATTTTCCTTTGTGAATTGTGGTCATCTCCTATGCTAAGATGCCTGGTTCTTTGTCATTTCTAGTATCCTCCAGTTCCACTGCCTTCTCAGGCATTTTACTCTTCTCCCTCCCTTTATGTTTGTTCAAAGCCCTTTGGAGAAGGTGTCAGAGCTCCAGGCAAACCTGTCACCCTAATCCTTATTTTCAATCATAATACTTCTACTGGTAACAATTTGTCAAGTACTATATGCCAGGCCCTGTCCTGGGCATTTTACATTCATTCATTCATTCACTTAGAGACAGGGTGTCTCTCTGCTGCCCAGGCTGCAGCGCAGTGACACGATCATAGCTCACTGCGGCCTCTAACTCCTGGACTCAAGCAATCCTCCCCTCCCCCTACCTTGGCCTCCTACGTAGCTGGGACTACAGACACATGCCACCATGCCTAGGTAATTTTTTTTTTTTGGGTAGAGATGGGGTCTGTCTGTGTTGCCCAGGCTGGTCTTCAACTCCTGGGCTCAAATGATCCTCATGCCTCAGCATCCCAAAGTACTGAGATTACAGGCATGAGCCATTGTGCCCATATGGCACTTTACATTTATTATTTTAGTCTTTACAACAACCCTAGGAGGAAGATACCTATTCCCATTTGGATGGAGCACAGGGAAACTGAGGCTCAAACACAGTAAGCAACATTAACATGTGGCAAGGTGGGGGCTTATTCAGTCTGGGGCCAAGTCAGGGTCTGGGTGGATGGACCAGGAGAAGGGCCTTGTCTAGGCATATGTATTCATATAAAAATGATCCACCAACAAACCTGTCCAGTGCCCTTGCTCAGGAAGATGGGTCTGACCAGGTGCCAGCCCACCAGGGTGCCTTTCCACAGTGTGCAGGGGGCATCCACCTGAATGCCCGTCTTCAGTGCATCCCCTGGCCCTGCACTTGCTATTCTGTGCAGCAGGAGTTTCAAACTGTGTTCCACAGAGCCCTGGAGATAGGGTGTGTGGGCTGGGCAAGTGAGAGACAAACCCTGAGGAACTGTGGGACCACCCCAGCAGCCTGTCATCCCTGTCACTTCTTGGGCTCTCAAGGTTGTATTTGAAGAAATGATTTCAGCTGGGCGCGGTGGCTCACGCCTGTAATCCCAGCGCTTTGGGAGGTTGAGATGGGCGGATCACGAGGTCAGGAGCTTGAGACCATCTTGGCTAACATGGCAAAACCTCGTCTCTAAAAATACAAAAAAAAAATTAGCTGGATGTGGTGGCGGGCGCCTGTAGTCCCAGCTACTTGGGAGGCTGAGGCAGGAGAATGGCGTGAACCCGGGAGGTGGAGCTTGTAGTGAGCCGAGATTGTGCCACTGCACTCCAGCCTGGGCGACAGAACGAGACTCCGTCTCAAAAAAAAAAAAAAGAAAAAAGAAAAAAAGAAATGGTTTCACTGCTTTTAAAAAGCTAGAAACTACTGCTGAATAATAATTGTCATTTTAGGTGTCTGTTTCTTCCCCCAGAATGCCCCTAAGGAGCAAGAACTGTACCCACAGCACCCAGCACAAGGATGGGGGGTCTCAGGAAAGGTCGGCCAGATAGAAGGGCAGATGAGAAATGAATGTACTGGGAGCTCTCTGTGTAATATCCCCTCCCCCACCCTCACCCCACCCCCCAATTCCTGCAGGGAAGAGGCCTTGAGAGAGTTGAGTAAGAAATAAGCAGGCAGAATGATGCAAGGGGAGCTGTCTGTACACATTGCAACAGAACTTTCTAAAACAAGCCTGGGGCTGCTCCCAAGGGTCTCAGTCCTGCCCTATTCCTCTACTGTCATCCAGACCTGTCACACAAGATAGGGCCAAAGGCCATTACCAAGCTCTGCTAAGGCCTGACCTTAGAGCTGGGAGGTCTGTGCTCTTGGGTTCTGGTTTGAAACCCGGAGCCATCTTCAATCACCCCCTTCCTTCCTTTCAGCCCTACATCCATGCCATCAAATCCTAGAGACTCTAAAGCTTCAGCATCTCTCAAAATCACCCTCGCTTCTCTTTTGCCTTGCCACCCCTTCAGTTCAGGCTCTGTCGTCATTATCTCTCTCCTTCCTCTCATCTGCCTCCCTCCCTTCCATCCAATATCACCCAGGTCCCTGTGGGTTGTCTGTGCCCCTTCAGCAAAGGCCACAGCTTCCATGTGGCAGCCCTCTCCGCTCAGCCCCCATTGCACCTGCAGTGTCCTTCTCTTAGTCCTTCAGGCCAGATCCCCTGTGAGGTGACTAGTCCTGGGCTACTGCACCATCCCTTGAGTTTTCTCTATAGCCTGCTTACATCTTTGCAAACAGTCTTTGTATTAAACTGTCCTCAAATTACCCAGTTTGGGTGGGCTGTTTCCCATAGGGACACTGACTAATATAAGGTAGAGGTAGTTAGGAAGGGTGCCATGGAGATGACAGTTAAAGATGTTCTTGCCTGGACAATGATCTTTCTAAAGCATAAAACTCCTGCTAAAAACCTCTATGGCTCCCCATTGCCCTGAGAATAAAGTCCAGACTCTGTAGCCTGCCACCCAAGACTATATACCATCAGGCCCCTGACCACAAAGCAGCAGCAGCATGTGGGGAAGCCACCAGGAAGAGGGAGAGTAGGGGGCTTGGACGTGGGAGGCAAAGACTTCCAAGAGGAGTGCAGCCATGCCACACAGCTGCTCTGGCTGGCAAATTCCTGTGAGTAAGGAGGCGGGTGAGTTTCCAGGCTAGAGGGCCATGCCAGGCTGCCTCTGCTTGCCAGAACCCTGCCCGCCCACTCTCCAAGTGAGTTGAGCACTGAAAGGAGTTTAACCCCAATGGGCCCTAGCCTTGTGGCATGAGAACTGGTTACATCCCAACCCCATCTGGTAAGCTATTGGATTCCCTGAGCTTTCATTTTGCCAACTGCAAAATGGGACTAACCTCCCAGGGCTGTGGAGGCGATGGATGGGAATTTGCTTTCGTCCAGTAGTTCTGCTGTTACAGGTGCTCCCTCTCCCAGCCTTGGGAGGCAGGAAAAGCGTACAGGTTTGAGGCTCTGGAAGACTTGGTGTGAATCTCAGCTTTACTACTTACTCCTTGTGTGATCCAGGACAAGTCACTTTACTTCCCTGCACCCCATGTGCAAAGCGGTGGGGGTGATCACCCCTTGTGTGGTGGCTGTGAGGACTGGGCAAGCTCACACAAGCCAGGGCCTAGCACAGAGCAGGGAGCTTGATACACGTTTGTTTCTGTCTTTCTACCTGTGCCTCTCTTAGGGCAAGTGTCCTCTCTGCCTTATAGGCTGGCCACTTACCCTCCTCATGTGTGCAATGGAGGAGCTAAGACTGCTATCACTGAAGCATATCTCAGAGGTGCATGCGTCAAACCTCTCACAAGCTACAAAGCTGCACGTGTAATCCCCAATGGCTGTACAACACTGGTGATTGAAGTGGGTGGAGGATGAGCCATCCTTGTGGATGCCTCTCTGCTCACACCCCTCCTTTGGTCCATCCCCCAACAGGATGAAGTCCAAGCTTCTTGGTGGGACCACAAAGCCCACCCTGGTCAAGCCCTTCTTGGAGGCATGACTTGACCGGTCTCTGATTTTCCCAATATACACATGGGTTGAGAGATGATGAAGGAAAGGTAACCAGGTCCTAGAACACATTCTCAAGCTGTTCTGCTCACACACCTGCAGGAAGGTCAGGGCTGGTCATTATAGGAGGCTAGGAATGTCAAGAAGCATGGGAGGGGGCCAGGAGAAGTCAGAGTCTGGTGTAAGTCCCCCTTGCCCAAACTCACACAGGGGAAAACAGTCCCAGGACACAGGAAGCTGCCATGAAACTTCCTTTCCAGGCTACTCTAAGTTTGGGTCTGGTTTTCCTTCCAAATCCAATTTGGACCAAGCTGTTTAAGCAGTACCCATGGGCATGGCGGCTGGAGGCCAAGGGGAAGGAGTGTTCTAGAAGTTGGGATGCCAGGGGCTGCTTGCTCTGTGAGGTGGCACAGAAGTAAGCAATTGTGCCTCTCAGCCCTTGGACTCACCTCTGCGTCCTCTCACAGATGTTCCCACACAGGAAGGGCCCAAGCTGGGGACCAGATTTTATGGCCCTATTCCCCAAGCACCCACCTCCACCCCAACAACCCAGCTTATCTTCCTTTTTTTTTTTTTTTTTTGAGTCTTGCTCTCTCGCCCAGGCTACCAGGCTGGAGTGCAGTGGCACAATCTCGGCTCACTGCAAGCTCCATCTCCTGGGTTCACGCCATTCTCTTGCCTCAGCCTCCCGAGTAGCTGGGACTACAGGCACCTGCCAACACGCCTGGCTAATTTTTGTATTTTTAGCAGAGAGGAGGTTTCACCGTGTTAGCCAGGATGGTCTCGATCTACTGACCTCGTGATCCACCCGCCTCGGCCTCCCGAAGTGCTGGGATTACAGGCGTAAGCCACCGCGCTGGGCCCCAGTTTATCTTTCTAACCCACCAATCCAATCAAGGTGCATCTCTGCTCACACCCCTCCTTTGGTCCATCCCCCCACAGGATGAAGTCCAAGCTTCCTGGCAGGACCCACGAGGCCGTTCAGATCTGGGCCCTGTCAACCTCTCCAGCCTCATTTCCTACCCCTCTTCTGCCTGTATCTTTCTTTCAGCCACACCAGGGTGCTCACAGGGTTCCTACCTCCAGGCCTTTGTCCATGCTGTACCCTCTGCCTGACACCTTTCCCCTTTCCCCCTGCCTCACAGAATCAGACTTCTCATCTTAGGTCTGCAGCAATATCACTTCTTCTTGACCTTCCCAATTTACCATTCCCTCTACTTCCTCTATGACTCTACTATACTTTTTCAGGGGGCAATCCACCTTGGACTAAGCGTCTATGCCGAGCTAGGCCCACACTGGGACATAGAGTGATGAGGTTCCTGCCCTTGGGAAACGCCTGGCTCCGTGGAGAGGCAGGCAGACAGTGACAGCACAGGGGGAAAGGCCAAACTTGGCATAGCCTTCCATGTTACCCTGTGCCACAGGCTGGCTGTCTTGGGATCATTGGCTTTAGGACACCATCTCTCGATTGGGTCTCCTCAAAGCCAAGGACTAAGTCCGATTACTCTCTGTGTCCTAACCAAGGCCGGGCCCAGAGAAGGTGCATAGCAAAAATGTGCTGAAGTAGATGAACTTGGGATCTGAATGTTTCAAATAGGCCTTGGTAACCCCAAATCTTGCCATTTAAGACAATGATCTCTTACATTACAGCACAGTGATAACACTCTTTTACATGCTGTGATTTCACTTCATCCTCAAATACTCAAGTGAAGTCAGCAAAACAGAAACTGTCACCTCCATTTCATAATGCAGAAAAGGAAACCTAGACAAGATAGCGATACTGACTTGCCCAGGGTGAGTGGGTGGGCCATGAGTTCCAGCCCAGGCCTCCTCCACAGGAGACCCTTCTGGAGCAGGCACGAGCCACAGACTGACCTGGGATCTTCCAGGCCAGCAGGAGTCTTGCCTCCAAGAGCACCCTCTCTGAGGAGAGGATGCCAGGATTTACTGGCACCTTCAGTATCCTCCTGGCTTCACTCCTCTTTGCCCAAAAACAAACCACACCTGTTTCTACCTCCCAGCCTTTGCACTTACCAGTCCCCATGTCTCCCCCCATCCCCCACATGTGGCATGCCACTAGCCTACCCTCAGTTTCCTAAAAGGCACTAAGATCTTTCCAGCCTCATGGCCTCACCACATGCTGGGAGCTCTGCCTGGAATGCTTTTCTTTCTACTCTTGGCCAATTCGGGCCTTGGGGCCCAGTAACACGGTTGAGAGATTTACTCCTGTGGCCTTGAGAGGGCTGAACAAATGGAAGCATCTCTAGGTTGCACCAGAGGCATCTATTACCTGCTGCCCTGTGCCTGTAACTTCTGTCATTCTCCTCTCCCCCTGTGAGAACATGATAAAGACCACAAAGGCAGGGAATTCCTCTCCTCTTATGCTGTGACCCCACAGCTATCTCGCTCCAGCTATGCCTAAGAAATCTGTCTTATCACTGACATGCTTGTTGTCCCCACTCGTTCCCTGAGCCTCCATCCAACAAGTCGCTCCACCACATGCTGGTGGATCTCGCTTCCTATGCTCTTCCCTAGATCAGGCCTTCCCTCCATTCCCTCTACCACTGCCGTGCCTTGAGGCTCATCCTCTCTCACATGGATCCCCCGCCCCTACAGCCTCCCCACTGCCCTCCTGACCTACAGCCTCTCCTGTCCATTTCCCATACCATGGCTAAGGACACTTAAAACCCACCTGACCAGCCATTTCCCTACTAAAGCTCTCCCAAGACCCGGCTCCCCCCCAATATCTCAAGAGTGGCACTCCCAAACCTCTCTCAGTTCAAGCACCCGCGCCTCTCACTTCAGCCTCATTTTCCACAGTTGCCTGGGCTCCAGCCACTCCAGGGCCCCCAGCCCTGCCCCAAACATGCTGGCTTTTCTAACACTTTATGCCTATCTTTCTGCTTTGCCCTCACACCTTCCATCTGCAAAATTCCTATTCATTAATGGGCAAACCATTCTGGAATGCTTTCTATGTGCCAGACACTACCTAGGCTCTTTTTATACCTTATCTCATTTACTTCTCAAAGTACCTCACAAAAATAATAATTATTATTCCCATTTTACAGATATGGAAACTGAGGCTCAAGAGAGGCAGGGCAAGAACTGGACTCCTAGTCTATCTGATTCCAAACCTGCTGTGCACCAACCTCTCTGGGAAGTGCACCAGCGCCCCCACTCCCCCAGCCCAGGGCAGAGTCTTCTCTACTCTGTGGTTCCATAGCCCCCTGGTTTCTCGCTTGTCCCGGCCGTTGTCACCAGTGACTGTGTGCGGCTGTCTCTGCTGCCCCCCAGCGTGAGCATCCCAAGGGCAGAACCTGGGCTGATCTGGCTGGGTCCCCAGCACCCAGCAGGGTATAGGTGCTCTGTGAGGTTTCTTAATAAAGAGATGGAAAGCCAGAAGCAGTTTGGGTGGTTGAGATACCCAGCCCTAACCTAACTAATCCTGATACCAGTGACCAAAAGCGGGACCTTCGCATCTTTGCTGCCAAAAGACAGCCCCTCCTAAAGAGTAAAGGCCCGACCCCCTGCACGCCCTCTGCCTGCACCGCACGTGCTTGGTTTTCCCCGCCCGGGTACTGGCCGCCGGGCCGTACCAATCTCCGCGGGGGAGCGCCCGGGGTCGGACTGAGGGAGCGAGGGGAATAACCGGGCGCGCCCCTTGGAAGCAGGGCTCAGAGCTGCTCTCCTCTCACGCATTCCCCGGATCCGCGCGGAGCAGGCTGCTGGCCAGCCCCGGGCCCGCGCCAAGCAGAGCCTCAGGTGCGGTTCCCCCACAAGCAAGTGGCGCGGGCGGCGGCTTAGAACGGCCCGCCCCGCCCGCCGCGTCGGCGCCTGCCCCGTTGTGAGGTGATAAAGTGTTGCGCTCCGGGACGCCAGCGCCGCGGCTGCCGCCTCTGCTGGGGTCTAGGCTGTTTCTCTCGCGCCACCACTGGCCGCCGGCCGCAGCTCCAGGTGTCCTAGCCGCCCAGCCTCGACGCCGTCCCGGGACCCCTGTGCTCTGCGCGAAGCCCTGGCCCCGGGGGCCGGGGCATGGGCCAGGGGCGCGGGGTGAAGCGGCTTCCCGCGGGGCCGTGACTGGGCGGGCTTCAGCCATGAAGACCCTCATAGCCGCCTACTCCGGGGTCCTGCGCGGCGAGCGTCAGGCCGAGGCTGACCGGAGCCAGCGCTCTCACGGAGGACCTGCGCTGTCGCGCGAGGGGTCTGGGAGATGGGGTGAGTGCCACGGCGCAGGGGTTATGGACCTGCGAGAAGATTTTCTGGAAAGGGCCCTGTGGCAGGCTGGTGGGTACTGATGAGTCCACGTTCATTCTCCACTGTGGCACTCATCAATTTTTACGACCTCTGTTACATCGCTTTCCACCCGCCCCCCAGCTTGTTTCCCTCATCCGTGAGGTGGGAGCGGTACCACCCACCATTCTTAGTTATTAGGGATATTCGAGAACTCCTCCCCAGCCCCCACTGCGGCTGGTGACCCCTGGCACTTCCCTCCCCTCTCCCTTCACCAGGTAGAGCGAGCTTTGGCAGTGATAGACTGGATGGGCAGGATGGTATGGGTTTTGCCGTCTCCTGAGACAGCCACCAGACGGGGAACATGCCCGACTGGAACAGGTGTGTCTGCCCTGTCCTCTGTCCCACATCCATCCTCTCGCCCAGGCTCTGGAGCCCACATAGCAGCAACTCTTGAGCCTGGCATGCTTAGAAGGCAGCGGAGAGGACCCTGCATGTCCTCCAAGGTAGAACTGAGGTCCTCAGTGAATCGCGCAGAGTTGAAATCAACCCCCGCCCCGCACCCCCCGCAGCTTTTCCCAAGCGAGGAATAGCAACTCTTCCAACCCCCACCTCCCTTACCTAGAGCTGGAGAAACTGAAGTGGGAGGAAGCATGCCTAAGTTTTCCTTAGCTGATGCCTTGACCCCTGGATTCAAGTACAAATCCGGTAGACCCTGGGAAGTCATCACAGCTGTCCTGGTCTGCGTGTGTGTCTTGCATGAAGCCCCTCTCCCTCTTTCTAAGTCTGTATTCTGTTTGCTGAGCCTCTCTGACATGGATTTTTCTTTAGTAACTAACGGTCGCCTACACCGCCCACCTTTGTTACAAAAATAAAGCTTGCTAATTATGGAATTTTTGAAAATATAGACAAATGAAAAAAATTTCTGGTAAATCGACTATCCAAAGATACCTTCCTATTAGCATTTTAGTATATCTCTTGATCATTTTCTTTATACACATTGCATAGATACAATTGAGGACATGCTGTAGATATAGTTATGAATCTTGTTTTCTCCCCCTTAATGTAACATCGAGGTTTCCCTTCTGTTAATCAGAATCACTTACAATGTCCTAGTGGTTGCAATAACCCACCCTGCAGCTGTACCACACTTTAACTGTGACCTAGGCATTGGCATTGCTTCTTGTGTGATTATCGCTGTGGTTATCTGCCCCTCTTGGTGTGGGTGCTGCTCGTAGCCCTTGAAGAGGAACCCAGCTGCTGCCCTGTCTCGGGGGCGAGCAGCTTGAGCTGCCCCATGTATCCAGCCAGTAGCCTCTGACAGCCCCTTCTCTCACTTGAGTCCTTTTCTGTTCCCTGTGTCCTTTGATGTCCTTAGGGACATCAATGGATGAATGGACTTGCCCTTGTTCATGCTGTTAAAAATGTTTTTGCACTGGGCAGTGGGATAGGGATGTTCTCTGTGGTAGTGCTTCCTGGAGACCCCATTCCGTCGGCTCTGCCATCCACAGGCTGGGAGCTGTGTCTTCCAGGAGGCAGTGACCCTGGCTGTCATGTTTTTGACTTAGAGTTTGTTCCTTAGGAGAACTTGTACTCTAGCGAATGGTTTTAACCAAGCCACTTAATATCATGTCAGGAACATTTCCCCATGTTGTTATCAGATCTTGAAAACTTTTTTTTTTTTAAACTGGGTGCAAGGATTTACATCATGGAATGTAGGAAGGGCTGGTATGAAATGCAAACCAGTCAGTTCAGCTTTCTGGGATCTACTTTGGTGAAAGATTGGGTGGAGTAGGGGAGGGCACTGAAGCACATTTTGTTATCTGGGCATCTCCATTAGACCTGCCTTCTAGATCCTTGGTCCTTGAAGATACTCCCCAGTGGCCTAGTTTGCCTCTGTGGGTAAGGTCCCACTGTTGTGAGCTGGTGAACAGCCCGTCAGTGACAGTATTCAAGTAGAGACCATGGATTCTGTGAAGGGAAGTCCTGTGACGGGTGAGAGATTGAAATAGATACCTTGGCATCTGGTTTCTTGGCCAAAAAAAAAGGCCAGCTGTGGGAGTATGGGTAGGTGGGTGCATGCTGGGGGAAGCGGGAGTCTGTGTTGATATTTCCTAATCCTTGGAGGGCTGTCCTGTGCCAGACGTGGAGTTTGCAGAGTTCATCAGGACAGGAGGGATATATATCCTATTCTTTATCCTTGCCTTTGGATTGGGGGCTCTTCGTTCAGAAGAGCCCTCTGACACCTGCCTGTGTCCTCAGGGTTCAGCACAGGACCTAGCATGAGATGTTGGTGGTCCCAGTAAAATTTTGAGCTGATTTGTTGTGTGCGGCTCCAAAGAGTGAGGCCAGGAATAGGAGTGGGATGATGGGTGCAAGTTTTGATGTAGCAGAGGAGTCCTTTCTGACAGCTGTTGAGGACTGCAACAGGCTGGGGTGGGTGAGGATGGAGTTCCACATCACTGTGGATCTGCTTGAAACTAAGTGGCTAGATTGTTGGGGGTAACTGGGAACTGAGGGTTGACAGTCACCTAACCTAGTCCTAAGTCAGAATGAGAACATTACTCTCATGCTTCCCTCTCCAATTCCGTGTGGCTTCCCCCCTCACCTACATCACTTCCCCAGCTGAATAGAGGCCACTTTGGGGCTGCGTCACCAAGGGCTCATCTAGGCTGAGAAAGGAGGGCCAAGAGTAATGTTGTATTAACAGGCTCAGTGACTCAATGGTCAGTGTTGAAATCCTGCCCCACCTCCACCCTCCTGCCCTCAAATTCAACAGCAAGTACTTGAGTTGTAAAAATTAGTGCTGGATCGGGCCCAACCCTCATGTTACAGATGGGATCACTGGAGTCTCCAGAAAGAAGGGACTTTCCCAGGGTTATCAAAGCCAGGCTAGAACTCAGATCCATCTCCCAGTCTGTGGCCTGACTCCTTAAGCCAAGAGAAGGGTTGCAAGGCCGTGAAGGGCTGAGTGCAGGGCTCTGTGCATTGTAGGTGCTCAGTGGTTTGCTGAATGAGTGAAGGTTGTCTCCATGGTGCGGGTGGCAGCTCATCCCTTCTCAAACTTTTTGAGGAAGCTCCCCAAGCCTGCCCTAGTGGATTAGAGCACTAAGATCCCCCAGAGCTTTGGCTGCCAGGTGAATGCCAGTTGCCCCCTACCCACACTCAGTCACACTTCAGACTTTCCAAACTCTTCCTCCTGGCCTATGAAGTAAGCCCCAGGTGAACAGCCTCCACTGCCATCACGACTTCCTCTCCTAGTATGTCACCCACCATGCTGCAGACGCATGGTGGTCTTCCTGTTCCTGCAGCATTACTCCCAATTCAGTCTTACCTCAGCGCCTTTGCATATGCTGCCTGTCTGCCCAGGTCTTCGCATGGCTGGCTTTACAACAGTCAATCTCCTCTCAGAGGTCTTCCCTGGCCACCCTATCTAGAGAGCCACTTCCAATCTAGAGAGCCACTTCCAATCACCACATCTTCTTTTATTTTTATAGCCTTTATCACTACCTAAATTTTCATGCGTGCTTATCTGTTTAAGCAATTGTCTCCCCAGTAAGAATATCAGTCCCTTTGCCGGCCGCGTGCCATGGCTTTCGCCTGTAATCCCAGCACTTTGGGAGGCCAAAGTGGGAGGATCACTTGAGGTCAGGAGTTCGAGACCAGCCTGGCTGACATGGTAAAACCCCTGTCTCTACTAAAAATAAAAAAATTTAGCCAGGTGTGGTGGTGTGTGCCTGTAATCCCAGCTACTTGGGAGGCTGAGGCAGGATAGTCGCTTGAACCCAGGAGGAGGAGGTTACAGTGAGCCAAGGTTGTGCTACTGCACTCCAGCGTGGGTAACAGAGCGAGACTCCATCTCAAAACAAAACAAAAAGAACAAACAGAAAAAGAATATGAGTCCCTTGGAAACAGGAACCTTGTCTGTCTTTCTCAGTGCTGTGACATCTAGCACAGTGCCTGGCACTGGTAATAGGTACTTAGTAAGTATCTGTTAAACGAAGGAATCATTAGTGGGACTGCCCCATTCCTCTTGGAGGAAGCCCTGCTTTTAGCTTCAGTGTGATTCCTCGAGCCTTCCTTGGGCCTCCTCTGTCCCTGTAACCACCTGTGCTAGGGACTGGGTGCTGGGGTTGTAGCTGTTCCCTGCCCTGGAGGTACCCACAGTCTGGCAAGGAGCTGGCTCCAAGGCTGAGTGGCAAGTGGGCAGAGCCAGTCTCAATGGTCACCCTTACTGCTTCCCAGGGCTTATTAGAAGCCCGAGAGCTGGGGTTCCAGGCCTGACATTTTTCTGGGATGTGGCTGGGGGCTTCACTTCCTCTCTGGGGATCTCACTCCTTCTATCTGGAAAATAGGGTCAGAATTCTCAGATTCTCAAGGATGGAGGGTTTGAGTTAACCTGAGTGTGAGTGTTTGTGAACTTGTGACATTCATGTTAGTCCTTGTCATTTGTCCTGTGTTACACATTCAGCAGGCCCCCAACACTGTAGAGAGTGGCAGACCCTGCTCTAGGGCATCCAGGAAGGCTTCACTGAGGAAGGGACTTGGGGTGTGGACCCTTCATTTTATTGATTGAGCACCTTCTGTGTGTCAGCTGCAGTCCCTGCGTTTGAGGAAGTGAGACCAGGGGGATGTACACAAGATGACTGTGCAGAGTGATCTGAGCAATGACAGGAAAGACTGCCAAGAGGTGAGACCGGGGAGCTTGATCACCCTGAGGTCAGGGAAGTCTTCCTGGAAGAGGTGACATTCAGTCCGGATCTGGAAAGATGAATAGACATCAGCAAGACAGGCAAGAACATTCAGGTACAGGAAATAGCATAAATAGAGGCATGAGATTTGGATGGGAGAGGCAGACTGACTGCAGGGCCTCTGAGTGACCAACTGAGGCTGAGGTCTTGGTGTACTGAGAGCCAGAGACAAGAGAGACAGAGAGGATGCTGGATCCAGGCCTGTGGTGGCTCACCTGTGTCTGCAGCAGGAGGAAGACTTGAGAGCTCATGGGAAAGGAGCCTGGTGCAGTTAGTTTATTGGCCTCCAGCACTTTGAGGGCCTCCTGGTATGGAGCTGCTGGCTGATTTGAGGGCCTCATGGGCAGGGCCCAGGGGTAGGAGTCAGGCCTGGGCTCTGTCCAGCTCCTGCTTGGCCACCGAACTGCTCCGCAGCCTCAGCAAGCCACTACCCTTCCTTACCCTCAGTCTCCTCATCTATGAAATGAGCAAAAGTGTCATAAGAACCTGTGCAGATTATGGTGCAGATGCAGACAGGCTACACCCTGTGAACCTTTTGGGTAAATCAATAGAAATGGGAAACACAAACTCCTTTTCTTATTAGAGCAGAATTAGCCATTCTAAGCCCTGCCTCTGCTTCCCATGTGACCTTGGGTATAACACTGCCTCTTAGGGCCTCAGCCTTCTCATCTGCACAGTGAGGAGGACTGGTTGAGATGACCCCCTTGGCTTCCTTACATCCCTGCTGGAGAAATGCGATTCCATTCTTGTCCCTAACTGCTGTGGGACTCTTGAGGTCAGCCACCTCCTCATTCTTGTCCTCAGCTTCTCCTTGTGAAAATGGTGCACTCATCCACTTGGGGCCAAGGTAAGTGCCCCAGAAGAACCTGTCTCCCCATGCTTGCCCATATATTGTGATGGGGACGTATTTTGGAGATTCCTTGGTGACCTACTCGCAAGCTAGTAGTGTTGCCATGGCAGCCCCTTCCACTGCAGTAGCTACTTTTTGAATGTGCTTGGTCACAGTGGGTGGGGTGGGGGAAGTGGGCCCCTGGGGTCCTCAGCAATCATGTCCAGGGTCCTGGATGTAGATCCATGTTCGGTATCAGGAACATGGCATTCTAAGAGTCTCACTTCCTTGGCCTTACCTCTTGGAACTTTGTGAAAGTTCTACTTGATGAAAACGGAATACACAAAAACCCAGGTGTATGGAGTAGCCCGAGGATGGGCTTATATTCCCTTTCGGGAGATCTTCTGTGGATAAAAATTCATTTGTGGATTCTAGCAGAGCACAGGTGGCCCAAGTTAGCAGCACTCAGATTTCAACAAATCCACCCCAGCTTCCTAATTTAGTGCTAATGGGGAAACCTAGAGAGGGGAGGAAGAGGCTTAGCGCCCCTGCAGGTCTACAGATGCTCAGGATGCCTGGCTCCCTGCAGCAGGCCCTGAGGACTGACAGTGCCTGCAGGGTCCTGATGGCCCACTTCCCACCTGGCACACCTAGCATAGCTGTGTGCTGGCTCTCCAGTAGTTTGGCTTCCCCTTTGGGCCAGATGTCCCAGTGGGCCCTGCTTTAAGGATACCTCATTTGCAAAACAGAACCGTTAAAGCGAATTGTTAATCTTTTCAGAAAAGAACTCACTGGCGTTTTGGGACCAGTTCTATAGCTAGCTAGCTGCCCTAGGGCTCTTAGGCACCAGTGGAGGGAGTGAGCTCTGACTGGCTGTCTTCTCTGCCTTCAGGGTAGAGGCCAGGACTCCTAGACCTAGCATCCCAGTCCTTCATGCCTCCCTGTTTCTCTACTTTTCCAACTAGACTCACAGTCTCTGTGCTGCAGTCTGACTAAACTGCTTGCAGTTAATTCCTCAAACTTGTCTTCTCTCTGTTTCGGGCCTTTGCAATGCCTTCTGGGATCCTGCCCCTGTACCTTCCTCCTGGAAGGCATCCCTAAGAACACCCTCCTGTGGGGGTTGGGGCCTCCCCTGGATTCCTAGTCCTGACTGATCCTTTATGTATAATTGTTCGCAGCTTTGTCTCCCAGCCATATCTTGGGTGGGCAGCCCAGGAGCAGAACTCAGCCTCTAGCAGATGCCCAAGAAGCAGAGGAGAAGCAGAGTCTAGAAGCTCCCCTCCTGGTGTGGAGCCTGGGGTGTAAAGGGTACTTAGAAAGCACTGGTATGAATGTTAGTGTTTGGGTTCCACCCTTCTCTCTCCCTTCCTCTGGGGCCTTCCACCATTGCCCCGACATTAACCACCCTCCAGCTGGAGAAGACCTTTCCCTCCTGATTCCCCAGAAAGCTCTGCTTGACCCTCCATCATGGCACAGGTCAGTCAGCTGTGGGTGGACTTTTTTCTATCTTTGTCTAGGCCCTGTTTATTCATCACAGTCCTCTCAAGCATTCAGTCATTCAGCAAACATCGATCGAGCACCTTCTCTGCGCCTGACCCTGTGCTGAGCACCAGGGCCCAGATGAATGAGACATGGTCCCTGCAAATGCACACACATACCTTTTCCCATAATGAGAAAGGGCTGAGTACAGGGGTGAGATGGGACAGGCAGGGATGCGGTCAATCCAACCCAGGTGGAGGAGAAGGAAGACTTTCCAGAGAAAGAGTCAACAGGTTGGTCTCTAGCAGGCCAGTGCTCAGTGCCTGGTGGATGCCTGGTATGCATGTGCTAAAAGACTGACCAAACTAGACTTAGAAGCAATAGAACTCTACCTGGAGGCACTGCAGTGAAGTCCCTCCTTCCTGGAGGGAACGAGTCTCTGGCTGAGCACATGGTGAGGCACCAAGTGGAGACAGCTTCCTGTGTGAGGCTTACGGGAGCCCAGCCCTGGCCTGGGATTCTAATAGCAGTGGGCATGACCCTCCAGAGATGGCAGCTTTGCCATGACCGGCCTCTCATCATCATGTGTGTGGACTCCCGCTGAAAGGTGTCTGCCTGGAGGAGCCTGGAAGAGAGCTCACCTCCAGCCTTGATGAAGTGGCATCTCTTTGGCACTTGGCCTGACTTCCTAGACCTCCCTGGGGCTGGAAGAGCCTGCTAGGGGTCAATATGTACTGACCCTCACTCTGCTACCTCTCCTCATAATATACAACCTGTTACTGTGCACCTCTTAAAAAACTGTTTGCTCTCTCTGTCTCCGTGCAACTTGTCCTCAGCTCTTTGGGGGTAACTTGGGGGTGACTTTCTCACTCACCTAGACCCAGGGCAGACATTAGGTCCAGATGGGCCCAGGTGTGGCATCCTTGGGGTTGGGGATGTGGGCAGGGTGACCCCCACCCCCACCCCTGCCTCAAGGAGCCCAAGAGGCTGTTCACACCTCTCTTAGCTGGCATCTTTCTGGCTCTCTCACATTGATGCCAGACATTCTGGCCCTTTTCCCTAAGTTATTTAGATTCCTTATGACAATCCTGGATTAAAGCTAAGGAGGACACTGAGTCCCAGGGACAGGGAGTGATTTGCAAGGTCTCATTGCAGGTAAGAATCAGAGCCAGGGTTTGAATCCTAAGTTAGCCTGTCGCCTACGCCTCTGTTCCTAGGCAGGGCAGGCATTATTTTACCCATCAAACAGGAGAGGACACCGAGGCTTACTTGGTAATTAATCAGCATTCATAGAGATCTTTACTTTTTATGAAGCTCTTGGCTATACATTATCTCATTTAATTCCCACAACAATCTGGTGAGGTAGGTATTAGCCCCACTGTATAGATGAGGAAGCTGAAGCTTGTATAGGAAGTGACTCATCCAGGCCACTTCCTACGAGTTAGAGGCCAGGTTCTCCTGACTCTCGGCCCCTGTTTTCGGCACTGACTCCAGGTTGGCATGTCCCCTGCCAGATGCCAGTATGGAGGTGAGGTGGGTGGAGGACGCGGTGTGGGCTTTCGAGAGGCGTGAGCTGCCCACAGTCTCTGTCTACCAGTGCTTCGCCATGTACGCTCAGGGCCTCCTCTCCATAGGCCAGGGATCCTCCTGCCCCTCTCTCTATCTCATTGCCCCAAATTATTTTTCTTCATAGCTCTCGTCGCTGCCTGATGTTACATCATACATTAATACGTAGGTGTTTTATCTCTCCCTCAGCAGAAGTTAAGCATCCTAACTTAACTTTAGCCAGTCTGACTTGGGCATCCAGGCCTATAGCTGCCTCTGAGGCAGGACATCATCTGCTGTGCTCACTGCTGTTTCCCCAGGGCTAGTATTAGCGCTTAGTACCTTGTATGTGCTCTATGCCTTGGGTCTTAGCTCTGTCCCCACCCACCTCACCCAGGAAGCCACCTTTGACTACTCATTCCAACTTCTTTATTCTCAGCTTCTATTTCAGGCAGTCACTCACCCCCCTTTCTGGGTTCTTGAGTATTTGGGTCTGCCTCATTAGAACTCCCTGCAAGGCTTTGTTCCAGCAGTTTCCCCCAACCACAGTGCGCACTTTCCTCCTGTTTGACCCCTAGATCTTGTCTTCAGGGCCCTGGCGAAGCCTCATGGCCTCCTTGGAGCCTCCTCTGCGCTACCATCACTCTGCGACCTCTTCTTGTAACACAGACCTGTGGCCATGAGCCTCTGGAAAAACTCTGCTTGCTCACTACATATACTCCTTCCCACTCTGGAGATGGGAGGAGCAATGCCAGTAGCCACCACTTAATCACCTAACAAATGCCACATGTGCCTTAAACGTTTTAAAATTTAATGTTCCTGGCTGGGCGTGGTGGCTCATGCCTGTAATCGCAGCACTTTGGGAGGCCTAGGCGGGCGGATCACGAGATCAGGAGATCGAGACCATCCTGGCTAACATGGTGAAACCCCATCTCTACCAAAAATACAAATAATTAGCCGGGCGTTGTGGCGGGTGCCTGTAGTCCCAGCTACTCGGGAGGCTGAGGCAGGAGAATGGAGTGAACCCTGGAGGCGGAGGTTGCAGCGAGTCGAGATCGCACCACTGCACTCCAGCCTGGGCGACAGATCGGGACTCCGTCTCAAAAAAAAAAAAAAAAAAAAAATTTAATGTTCCCCAAAATCCTGTGAGGTGAGGATTATCACCCTCATCCTATAGATAAGAAAACCAAAGCTAGAGTTAGGTGACTTGCCCGAGGTCACAGAGCCAGGCAAGGGCAGAGCTGGCCCAGGGCCCTCTTTCTCAGATTTAGGGGGTTGGGGCTCAGACACTGCTGCCCTCAGGCATGTGAGAGGAAGCCCTGAAAACTTGGGTTTCATCAGCCCCGAGGTGTGGCCTTCCTGGTCACTTTGATATCAGATATTGGGCAAAGAGGTGCTCACAGACACCCTTCAACACCCCAGCCCTGGGCTGGGCCCTGGGTCTGAGAACTGCTTGAAAGCACATGGGTTGCGGGGGTGGAATCCAGTCTCACTAGAACATCCACATGAGACTTTGAGCATGATATGGGCAGAGGAGGGAGCTCTCCTTTGCCAGGATATGTTCCTGAAGTCCAGGTGTGGGCTGGCGTGTTTGGTGGGGCCAGCGCTCAACAGCGTAGCATTGTAGAGATGATGAGGGACTGGGAGCCTGAATACCTTCTTTAAGTCCTGGCTCCCACACCCTGACCTCAAGCAAGTGATTTTGCCTCTTTGGGCTTCACCTCACCTCAGTTTCCTTCTCTGTGAAACAGGATTGCCAGTTCTCCCCTTGCCTACCTTCCCAGAGAGTGCTGTGGGACGGTGAAGCCCCACATAGGCGCAGGAGAAGGGGATTGCTTTCCGGGTGGTAAAAGAGCTGCTCTGGGCCTCTCTGGCAGCTCTACTCCCTCTGCCTTCCCCAAAGGTAGGAGCAAATGAGCTGTGTGTAAAGCAAGTGCTGCCTGGGAGCAGCCATTTGAGTCTTCTGTTGGGAATCTTCCCCTACAGCCTGTCTCATCTGCCCCCATAAAACAGAGACATCTGTAGGTAGCAGGGTTGTGTTCCCTTTATAGGTGGAGAAACTTGTACCTAGGGAGGGCAAAAGAGGCTCATCCCCCATCTCTGGGGTCAGTCCTCAGTGATGGGGCTGGTTTTGCCTCCTGCCAGGCAGCCCAGTCTAACTTGGGCATCCAGGCCTATAGCTGCCTCTGAGGCTGCTCTGGATTTGCTTATGGATTTGCTCAGCTATGCAGTAAACCTCTATGAGCCCCTCTTACCACAGATGAATCAGGTACCAAGTCCTGGCACCCATGCGTCACTGGCAGTGGGATGGCCAAGTAAAGTGACATTGGTGCTGTGGGAGTGTGCAGAGAGAGTGCAGATGTGGTGAGGGGGCAGATAGGAGCAGGGACTTGGCTGGATGCTGAGGCTCCCTGGTGGCCCCACCCAGGAGTCAGGAACAGTCAGACTGGGTGTGAAGGTGGTGGCATGTGGTGGCATCTGATTGCAGCATCGGCATCCCCACCAGCTTCTGCTGGACTCCTCCCAGCCACAGCTGGGGCAGAGGAAGTACTGACAGCCAGGTGGCAAGGACTGGCAGTGTTTTGGGGGTGCCCAACTGAACCCTCACTTCCCATCTGCCTGAGCAACGGTACCAGAACTACTGCAAGATGGTAAGCTCTAGGTCCCAAATACCCTGACAGGAGTCCTCAGGAGGGTGGGTGCCAGAGATCACAGACTTCACCCTCCTTACCCCCATTTCATAGATGGGGAAACTGAAGCCCAGAGAGGTGAGGAGACTTAGCATGGGAGTTGGTGGCAGAGCTGGGTCTAGAAACCCAAGTCCTGCTGCCACTCTACCTGCTGTAGAAGATGCCTGCTCCTGACCCACCCCTCTGAAGGAAAACAGATCATTCATTTCTCCCCTTCCCCTTCCAGCTCCCCACCACTGCCCCCTGCTTTGTTGTGGGGAGCAGAGAGAAGGAACTTGGGGACATGCAACATCGGAGCAGATGCAGGCCTGAAGGTTGGGCCTGAATTGGGTTCAGCTTTGCCAGCATCTGGCTGAGTGACCTTGACCCGGTATCACCATCAAAATAGGGTGTTGGTGCCAAACTCACAGGAGTCCAAGTGCCTGTGCAAGGGCATGGAGGGTCTCCCAAAGCTTTATGGGCCTCTTGTGCATCATACCTTTCACTCAGCCCTGCATGGAGGGAACTCCGGGGGCCTGAAGAGTGGCCAGAGCACCTCCTTGGGGCTGGCCTGACAGGGCACTGGGGATCCAGATATGGATCAGACCCAGGCCTGGCCTTCGGGCAGCTTCCAGTGTGATGGAGAATCAGCTTGTAATCAGCAGTTAGAACAAGGCCAGAGGCTGTGGGAACCCTGAGGAGGATGCTCTTTTGTTTCTCCATTGTGCGGGTCTGACTTTATCTTCAAATAGGTTATTTCTGTGGGTGGCAAGATAGCCCCTGGCAATTCCAGGCCTGCATAGACCTTAGTGTTTATCATCCCAGAGAAGGAAAGGCCTTCTCTTTCCAAAGGCTTCCTGGAAGACTGCTGCCTTATCACCATCTCTGGGTTTTGAAGGATGTATTGCTTTATCTCATTATCAGGGAATCATCAGGTAAGCAAAGCAGGGAAGGGCCTCTGCCTAGAATATTTCTGAGGTGGACTGGGGGCTCCCACTGGCCCGGGGTTCAGCATCCATGGCCAGGCCAGCTCCCAGGCCACGGCCTCCATGGTCAGCCAGGTTGGGATTGCCTGAGAGGGCCTGGGCCTGAGAAAGCAGAGGTGCAGTCCTCCCAGCTTCCCTCTCCAGGAGCCTCCCAACTCTAACGCCCACGGAAGCACTTGCCATTTGGTATTTGGGACTTAGAGCTCACCACCTTGCAGCAGTCCCGGTACAGTTGCCCAGGCAGATGGGAAGTGAGGGTTCACTTGGTAGACTGCATTTCCCACTTGTTGGCAGAGCGAGCTGTGGGCGGTAGTTGGGGCTGGATAAGGCAGGGTGAGAACCGAACCAGCAGTGTGGGAAAAGCCTGAGCCTGCAGACCCACCTTGCTGCGGGACTTGGGAGACTCCCGCAGGCCCTCAATTTCCAGTCTGTATAACGGGGTGAGGGTTGAACAAGATGGCGTGCGTTTCCTGCGCTATGACTTTACCTAATTTTAAGACACCTAATAAGCTTAGCAGAGAGATTTGGATTAGGCACGATGAAGAATTTTTAGGTCTTCTCAGTTGTTTCAGTTGGGGATATGTCATCAGTGAAATTTCTATACTCCTCCTCCAAGCTGCATGGGGGCTGGCCCTGGCGTCAAGGTAGGGAGCTAGATAAGTTGACTCCCAGCATGCCTCTTCCCTACGCACCCCTCAAACCACTGGCTTCAGGGGCCTGTCTGCAACGGGAAGCAAGTCAGCCACGAGAAGGCATGCTTTGCCTTTTTTTCCTGCCAAATAGAAGGTGGTGTTCCCCGGTGCTGTGTCTCACCCCAGCCCCTACCTGAGTGTTTGGACTGAAGCATTTATAGTGGTGTTTCTCAGACTTAATCACCTGGGGATCTTGTTAAAATGCAGATTTTGATTCAGTAAATCCAGTCTGGAGCCCAAAGTCCTGCATTTCTAACCCGCTCCCAGGTGATGCTGATGCTGCTGTTCCCAGACCACGCTTTGAGTAGGAAAGTGCTAGAGTACATTTTGTCTTCTGTCTAGCCAGGGCATCCAGCCTGCCTCAGATGGAACAGGAACTCACCTGCCACTTAACCAGCCTCCGGTGGCCATGGCTCCTGCTTCACTTCATCCAGCATGGCTCAGGAGGCAGAGCCAGCTGCTGGAAGATGACTTGTCCAGCCCCAGCCCTTGGATCAAGGGTTCAAGCCTGTGCTTGGACTTCACTTCCCTCCCTTATATACTCACCCAGTCCTGTCCCACTTGTAGGTGAAGGTGAAAGGTTATGAGACCCTCAAGGATAAGCATGTGATGAACTCATCTGGCCAGGTCCCACTGCTGGGCAGGTTGACCAGGCCCTGAGCATGACCCTCCGACTGTGTCCTGTGTACAGAGCCTTTGCACTCAGAGCTGCTCTGGGGAAAGGGGAGGTCCTCTAAGCAGGGTCAGGAATGCTGGGTTTCAGTCCTGGCTCTGCCGCCTACTGCCTGGGTAGCCCTGGGCTAGTCAGTGCCTGTCTCTGGTCCCCAGTCTCCCTGGCTGTCCAATTAGGCTATACTGGATGACCCCAGAGGGCTCTCAGGCTCTAAGATGGGTTGCTGGGCAAGTCTGGAGGTGGGAAAGTCCTATGAAGGTAGGATTTTTGTAAAGGGGGCGAAGGAGCAATTATGAGGCAGACCTCTGGAATGGCTCTATGGCCCAGCCTCTTTATTTGCTTTTGTGAGTTCACATCCTGCCGCCTCCACCCCAGTTATGCCAGTGGTGTTATTAGATGCTACTGAACACCCAATTTGTGCACTGAGGATGTGGCAGTGAACCCTGCAAGCTTGCCTGGGGTCACATAGTGAGTAGAACCAAAGTCTGAACCTAGGTTTGACTCTTCTGCTAAACTAAGCCCTTTCCCTCTGATGCATCACACCAGGGAAAGGGGCCATCTTGAGGCCTAGCATTTCCTTCCTTCCTCCTAAAAGTCAAAGCAGTTGTTAACTTTCAGCTCATAAGGGTAGATATCTTTCTAAACTCTGCTGTGGCTTTGTTGCTTTGCAGATTTTGAAGAAAAGCAAAGGCTTGAGTGTAGGCCCCTAAATCCGTCTTTCTCCCTGCTCCCAGCTTGTAGGCTCAGTTGAAAGGTCATGAGACCCTCAAGGACAAGATTGTGACTAACTCATCTGTGCTCTGGGTCTTTCACAGAGCAGATGGTATGAAGGAATATTTAATGGGCACACAGTAGGTGCTTGGTGAAGATGTGTTGAGCAAAGGGCATGTAGTGGGGGTTCAGCAAAGAGGGGTTTGAGGTGGCCCACTTCTTCAGCTGCCGGAAGGAATGGGGTATGGGTGAGGAACCTTCACCCATGCTCTTCCCCAGTGCTGTCTCCTGCAGTCACCAGGCTTCCTGTCCCTACTGCCCATCAGCTGCTGGAGTCCAGGGTGTCATCCTAGGGGCACCAAGCCAATTAAGTGGGCACATCTCGTCCTAACTTCCAGGCTTGGCACTTGATTGATAGTGAACATAATTACAGCCCTCAGTGTCCTTCAGGCTGCCTGAAGCTCACTGGCTACTGGGCCCTTTGGGGAAGCAAAGGCTCCCACCTTACTCCTTTCTGGGCCCCACGCTTTGGGCACTGAGATGAGGCTGAACATTTACATCTCTCTGAAAGTGGTAGTGGTGTGGGGAATCAGTGGTGTTGGGGGTGGGGGCAAGAGGGTTCAGCTCCTTGGAGAAGGGGTATTAGTCTGGGACATACAGAAGGCAGAGCAGGGATTGGGGATGCTCAAAGTACACTTGGAGAAAAAAAACCATTGCAAATTGGATGTTGAACCTCTGTCCTTGGCCTCACAGACAGATAGCAAAATTAAATATTTGTACTAGATTCAGATAAGGGACAGGAGTTTGACTGGGGTGGAGGGGATGGGAGAGAACTGGCAATTATGAGAGACTTCCCAAGGCCTAGCCCTTGGACTAGCCTCTTTAGATACTTCATGTGGTCTCCAAAATGACCCCGAGTGCGATACCATTCCCATTGTGTATCTATAGAAACCAGGGCACAGGGGAGCATGCAGACAGCCCAGAGTTACAAAGCCATGAGGTGGAGGGCTAGGATCTGAACCCAGGTCTGTCTGATTCTATAGCTGATGCTCTTCTCATATCTAGAAGGGTACCTGTGGGAGGTGAGGTTTGTACTGGGGACCCCATGACTGGAGAGAAGGGTGACAGTGGACTGACATCTTCCCTCTGCTGTAGGCACTGGATCCAGCATCCTCTCCGCCCTCCAGGACCTCTTCTCTGTCACCTGGCTCAATAGGTCCAAGGTGGAAAAGCAGCTACAGGTCATCTCAGTGCTCCAGTGGGTCCTGTCCTTCCTTGTACTGGGTAAGCTGGGCCTTAGAGGGAGGGCAGGTGGGCAGGCAGTGTCCACTTCCCCAAAAGAGGTAGAGCAGGAGCCCTGCTCTACAGGGGTGAGGGAATAAGAGTAACTCTTACACATGCTGCCCCACAGCACCTTTCCACATCTATCTTTTGGGTCCCAGATCAAGTGCTCTACCCCTCAGCATGCATGAAGATTCAGCAAGATTCAGTGGGAGGTGGTGTGATAGTTCCCATTTACAGATGGGAAACCTCAAGTCTTAGAGAAGATAGGTAACTTGCCCAAGGTCACACAGATTTGAATCCCTGTCTACAGGACCCCCAAAGCCTGTGCCTTTCCCACAATGCCACCCTGCCCACCAACAGACATTTTCCAGCAGGTATGTTACTTTGCCTTAAGGTGGTTTGGTGCCAGGTTTAAGTCCTGAATCTCCTGCAGACAAGCTCTGTGACCTTACACAGGTTATTTGAGCTCTCTGAGTGTTAGTTTCCTCATTTTGAGTGTGAGGAAAGTGCCTGCTTCACATGGCTTTTTTGAGGATTGAAGATAAGAAATGAGAGCACCTGGCACAGGGCCTGGTCATGATGGGCCCCCATTACATGGGAATCATCGGGAGGTGCCCTCAGACCCCACTCCCAGCCCACACCCATCCTCAGCTGAGCACATTCCCCAGGTGCTTCCCGAGGCCTGCTCCCTGCTATCTCTCAGCACAGCCCACATCGGTGCTTTGGTTGCTTTTTCTGCAGGTCTGGCTAGATACCCTCACTCCTTAGGTTGCCATCCAGGCCAGGGGCAGGACAACACGAATGTCTGAGGGGAGGGAAGAAGCCTCTTGTTTTTCCCCAGACCCCTGTGCTCTCAGCATAGCAGGTAGCTTCCTCAGCACGTCAAGGCAGATGAACCTGCTCCAGAGCATCACAGAGTGCATTCCAGTGCCTGTGAGCCAGTCCCTCTGGGCAACCCACTCTTCGGGACTGTATAGGCTGGTAGGGGATCATCAGGACTTACCATGTCAGTGCTGAGCAGCTGTCCTTCAGGCAGGTGCATGGGGCGCTCTGAGACTGAGACCATGTTTGCAGGGCCAAGGGATAGAACTTCACAGGTGAGAAAATGCAAATTCACAAAGGTTCATCAACTACCTGCTACTGTGAAGCTCATTAAATGGCAGAGTTGGGATTTTAGCAGAAACTCAGTGCATTCCCCAGGGAGCCCACATTCCTGGAAGCCCAGAATTAGTGAACTGGGGCTGAAACAGCCAGTCTTCACCTTTAGGCCCAAGAACGGGCTTTGAGTGGGGGGATCCATGAACCCTTAAAATTAGATGCAAGATTATATATGAGTATGTGCACATTTTTCTGGGGAGAAGGGCCATAGCTGTCCTCAAAGTCTTACAGGGACAGGTAGCCTCAAGAAGACAAACACTGGTTGGAAGAACTGAGCAAACTAAACAGTCTCCCTCAGGACTCAGACCCCTAACATGGCTTGCATTTGGCCACTTACTAGAATCCTAGAGTAGTGAGCACAGTGTGACCCCTTCTTGTTAAAAAAGGAAGTGGAGGCCTGGCGAGGATGGAGCCTTACTTGGGGTCACATGAGAAGAAAGTACTGGGACCAGGACAAGAACCCAGGGACTCCAGCCTCCCAGACCCCCTGCCTAGTCTGCTACACCAGCTCTCTTTGTTCCCTGTTGCACCCCAAAGCTACCACTATCCCTGTCTTAATGGGTCTGGGCCTGGCTGGTAGGGAGCTGAGCAGCTTGTAGAACACCAGCTCACGCAGCATGTGATGGGGACTGGCCCCAGGCTATAGGTTAATAATTGATCAGACCCAACCACAGCCCAGAAACCGGCCCAGCATCTTCTCAACACCCTCGCCTGGCCTCACCTCGCCTCGCCTCGCATAGGTGGGAACCTGGCCTCGTTGGACAGGCAGATCTCCTGAGCTACTGCTAATTACTGCCCTCAGCAGCCCCAGCCACTCCTTCCCTCTGCCTCTCAAACCTGCTGGCAGAAGCTCACCTGGCAAGCAAAGACCGTGGTGGCCCTGTTGGTCTCTCCCTGGACCAGAGATTTTTCACCACTTTGTGCCATGGAACCCTCTGTCATTTTGATGAGGCCTATGCCCTTTCTCAGTGTTTTAGAGTATTTAATACAAGGTGCATTGGATTTCAAAGGAAACTACTGATAATAAAATATAAATATCTATACATTAAAAAAGCTGATTAGACATGTAGTAACAGGTGCCTTTTTATTACAGTAAATAAAAAGATCTAGCAGCACATGTAATAATTACTATAGTTCTTAAGTAGTGATGAGAAGAAATGATTTTTTTTAAGATATCTGCAACTGCTACAAAGTTATATGAAAATACCTTTGTTATTTATTTGTGTCATAAGTACTGCTGATAATTCTGTGATTTATTATATTGGTAAGTGAAGGAAATGCCACATTTCCATAAGAGATAAGTGAAAATTTAGATGTCATTTGTTTCCCCATCCAAGTCCATGGATATTGTGTGTCAGGCTGAGTAAGTTCAAACATCATATTTAATTTTCCCAATACCCTGTAAGGAAATTAAGGCTTAGGAATGGGGCTTGGCCAGCAAGTGGCAGGGCCAAGGCTCCAGGTCTGTTTGGTCTCAGAGTCCATGCTCTTCACCAGGCCACACTGCTGCCTTCCCTGCCATTGAGCATCCACAGGCTGCCCTGCACCACAGGCCTCGTGGCTTCAGAATTTTGTATCACAAGTGTCTTTGTAGGCCACCATAATGTGCAGGAAGCAGGTGATGTGTGAAAGTGGTCCTGAGCCTTCCATGTGTGGGGCAAAGCAGGGCCTTCTAAGCTTCTCATGAGCTCAGCAACAGTGGTTTTTACTGCAGCCCCACAACCTAAGAGCATGGAACCAGAGCCTGTTGTTCAGAGGACAAGGATTAGGCTCTGAGAAAGGAAGGTCATTTGGTGGATTTAGTTCATCCTTTTGCTCTTCCTGTGTTTGGTTTCTGGGGCTGGAGAGATTAATCTGACCTGGTTTCTGCTCCCAAGGAGCTCGGGCTGAAGGGCTGTCTGTTAGTGGGAGTCCAATGAGGGAGGCAGATGATGAAAGGGATGGTGAGTGGTTTCAGAGAGGGCTGTGGACACATAGGGGAGGGGAGGGAGCCCCCAGCTGAGAAAGGCCAGGCTAGAATTCAGTCTCTGGATACCCCATCAGGCCTCTTCTTCTCCATCCAGGCTGCCTCAGCAGCAGAGTAAGGACAAGTGGGTAGGGTTACCCCCCTTCCCAGAGAGACCAGCCCTCTAAGCAGTGGGGCCTGGAGCTCAGCCCCCTCTGGTCCTTTTACCCCTCAAGAGAGTTAGAGATTTCTGGAAGCTAGGTTTCCAGGATGCTCAGACCATAGCCTAAACCTCATCGTCCCTATCTGGCCCACCTGGAGCATCCACCTAGAGGATGCCACTAGAGGAGCCTGGATGCCTGTAGAGTCTGGGGGGCTAGAGTCTTCCCTTTTCAGGCCCAAGAAAGGGAATCAGGCAGACTGCTGAACAGTAAGTATGACTTTGTAGGCAGCCTTTAGACATAGCTATTCACCAAGCTACCGTAAGCTTTTCACAGTTTGCTTTTAACAGGCTCTTGTAGGCTGCACATGCTTCCCTAGAAACTTGTCTTCCCTTCTGCGATGTCACACCCCTAAGCTGGTCCTGAAAAATTGGACATCTCGTCACTCTGTATTCACTGTTCCTCCCAACAAGAGAGTTGTACCCTGTTTTTAGCTACCCTGGGGAGAGGCTGGCTCAGGAGTCTAGAACAGGGCTAGATTGGGGGGCAACAAGGGGCTACCATTTCCCTCCCTTTAGGCTCATGGAGAGTCTACATCCAGCCTTATCTTCTCCCATGGGAAACCAAAGGAGGCTCAACATGGTGAGAAGAGAGCATGACATCCAGAGCCAGGCAGCCTACAGCACCTGGGACCACCAGGGAATGGGCACACAGCAAGGGTTGGCCTCCCTTCTTGGGCAGTGGAAAAAGTCCTAGAAGGAGTCCATGCTTCTCCCACCAAACATGAGTACCTGCTGCCCTTGCCCTTGTGCTGAATGCCAAGGACCAAAGAAGATGCCTCCCCACCCAGTGTGGGAAATTCACAGGCAAGAGATGATATGTAGATAGTATGATATTGGGGAACACTTCTTGAAGAGCTGAGGTCTGAGATAGGCCTTAAAGGTTGGGTAAAAAATGGAAAGAGAGAAGCCCTGCTGAGGGCAGCTAGTGGCGAGCCATGAGATAAAGCAGGCATGGCACAAGCTCTCCTTCCTTTCTGTGCCAGGCTAGATTAGTCTCTCTTATGACCTACAGGCCCAGAACATGGTGACCAGTGGAAGCCAGCCCCCAGGCAAGTCTTCCAAGTGTGCTGTTAGGGTTTTTTTTTTTTTACTTTTGAGACAGAGATTCCCTCTGTTGCCCAGGTTGCAGTGTAGTGGCGCGATCATGGCTCACTGCAGCTTCAAACTCCTGGCTTAAGGAGTCTTCCCATCTCAGCCTCCTGAGTAGCTGGGACTACAGGCACATGCCACCTTGCCCAGCTAATTTTTTAAATTTTTTTGTAGAGATGGAGTCTCGCTATGTTGCCCAGGCTGGTCTTGAATTTCTGAGCTCAAGCAGTCCACCACCTCAGCTTCCCAAAGTGCTGGGATTACGGGTGTGAGCCACTGTGCCTGGCTGCTGAAGTTTTTGAAGACAGGGAGGCTGATGGGCTCTGCGCTTTGGCCTGGGACTTCCTGGATTGCCGTTATGTTGGAAGGGAGCCAGCCCTCCTCCTGGGCAAGTGTCCCCTCTCCGGTCCCTCTAGTGATGGTCTGGGACTTTGGTGAATTTCTAAAGCCTAATACAGAGAACGGACTGTAGAGTCAGACCTGTGTTTGAATCCTGGCTCTGCCACTGTCCTGCTGGGTGACCTTGGGCAAGTTATCTCCCCCTTGAGCCTCAGTGTTCTTATCTCTAAAATGGGGCAAAGTCACCCTGCCTTACACTTGAGACAGTGGCTCAGCCCCAGTCTTGAGATGCAGAGGCACTGGGTAGGTGTTCCCTCCCCTTATCCACAGTGTCTGGGCTGGGTGCTGGCATGGGGGCGCACACAAGGAGGGGACAGTAAGAGCAGCTTCACAAGAAGCTGAAGCCTATCTCCTTTGGTGCTCCTGTCCAGATAACATGGAGCCCATGGGCCCCTCGATGCCAGGACAGTCCATCAGAGTCTGGGAGATGAGGCTCCTCTTGTCCCAGGAATCTGCTCCTACCTGGGCTGAACATTCCTGTAGCTATTTCTCAGGGTTTGTGGGCCCCATGCCCATGGCCCTGGGTGTGCCTAGCTTAGTGCCACAGTAAACACTCACTCCATCCACCATGGCCCAGAGGGGAGATGAAGCCCAGTAGGACCTGACCTGTGGCCATCTGCCCCCCAGGAGTGGCCTGCAGTGCCATCCTCATGTACATATTCTGCACTGATTGCTGGCTCATCGCTGTGCTCTACTTCACTTGGCTGGTGTTTGACTGGAACACACCCAAGAAAGGTAAGTGCAAGGCCTCCCTTGCCCCACCTCTCATTCTAGGGATGCTCTTCCCCCTGCACAAGCTGAAGGGCCTCATCCTGAGTGCTGTTTCTTTTAACACCCACTTTGTGAAAAGCACTGGACTAGTCCTTTTGGGGGGAGGTTAAAAGCCCCTCAAAGGGCACTGTTCTGGTCCTGACAAGAGTTCACACTCAGTCGAGGGTTTGCATAACATGAAGGAATGAATGTGGAAAGGGGCCTGATGGGAAGGGGGCATGGTGCATGGGGTGATGGTCACCTGCTTGGGTTTCACACTGGCCCTGTCTTGTCTGCCTTGCCCAAATGTACCCCCACCCCCACCAACTCTGTATTTTATTCCCTGGAAGGTGGCAGGAGGTCACAGTGGGTCCGAAACTGGGCTGTGTGGCGCTACTTTCGAGACTACTTTCCCATCCAGGTAAAGTGCTGTGAGTGTTGTTTTGGGAGGGTGGGAATGGATGGGAAATCTGAACTCAGGCCTTAACCCACCCACAGGGAAGCAAGTTTAGACCAAGTTGGTCTCTTCATTTCCTTTCTACTGTGTCACTGGCTGTGCTGGGGACCCCACTGCTCTTCTGAGTATCCATCTTCTTTGGGCCAGCCCTGAGGTCCTGACAGGGAAATGGTGGCTCAGTTTGGCTTTCAGTCTCAGCTCTGTCTGGCCCCTGCCTGGTCTGCAAGCTGGGCTGGTGAGGCACAGCCATCTGGCCCTGATGCATGTGGGCAATCCTGGTGAATTGAGGATAACTCTGGCAGGATCCTGAAGGTTTTCCCCACAGGGGAAAGACCTGTCTGGCCAGCTCACTCCACACCCCAGCTCCAGCACACCCTAGCTGCTGAGTACCCTGCAGAAGGTAGGGGTGCTGAAGAGTGGAGGCAGCACGTGAATGTGAAAGAGTTCTGTGCAGGGTGCAGGGTGGTGTATATTTGCTGTTGTGAGTCAGTGACTGAGATCCTGGTGTGTTGCCTGGGGGCAGTGGCTGGGTAACCCTGCATCCTTCACTGCATTCGGTATTTTGGGGGTGGCAGGGCCAGCTCCTTCTGCTCATCCTTAGCCTAAGCCCAGTCTTCCCGGGACCTTCCTGCTCCTCAGGGTCAGCGTTCCTTCTCCTTTTCCTGACCCCATCTCTCTAACTGCAGAAAATTTGAAGCTGTTTTTGTTGGGAGAAAGTTGCATCATAGGACCCAACCCTCTAATTTTGGAGGTAAAGAAACTGAGCCTCAGAGATGGGCAGGACTTGTCCAGGCTGCATAGTCTAGTATGATGGCAACATTGCAACCACCATCCAGGCTTATTGAATTCAGGGCCCAGGTTCTTTTCCACTGATTTCCTACTGCCTGTTTCTCTGGGAGAGATTCAATCCCTGGATTTCCCCATTGGATTGATTCCAGCTTCCTGGGTCTCCCTCTCCCCCGTTGCTGCTGGAGATCTCAGTTTAAGTTCCTGCCCTGTCACTCCATTTATTAACCTGCCACCATTGCTCCCTGTCCAGTGCAGGGCTGTGCTGGGCATGGGGACACAAGTCAGCCCTGCCCTTGGGGTGTCTATTGCATCCTGATAGACTTTGTCACTTTCTGCCATGGGGCCATGGGCAGACTTTCTCAAGCCTGCTGAGCCTCATCTGCAAAATGGAGCTGTCTGTATGATGAAAAGTAATCAGTTCTGATTGGGTGGGAGTGATGATAGACTGTTCTTTCTGCTTTCTCTCTCACCTCAGGGGCCAGGCTCCAGTGTTCTCTGTTGCCACTGTGGCCTGGTCCTCTGGAAGTCTCCAGGAGGCCAGTAGCCCCATCCACTTAGAACAGGATGACCTGATGATTGTTGGTCAGACCTGGGACAGGCAGGTGTCCTTTGCTATCTGATCTCCACCCTTCCAAAAGAACCAAACAAACCCCTGTGTCCTTCTCACATCTCTGTTCCAAGAAGTCAGCTGGGAGTTGGAGCCTTAGGGCACATACAACCTGGCCCTGTGAGGGCTCCCTGGGGCACTAGGACAAAAGCCAAACTGGGCCCGAGGCAGGCTGGGGTGTTGAGCCTCAACCCGGGGCTTAGGCTGATCAACCCGGGGCTTAGGCTGAGCCTGCCTCTCTCCCTCTGGGCCTCAATCTCCCCTTCACTTGGCCTTGGTGATCTGACATCAGGTCTGACACTCTATGGGGGTGTGTGTGACCCTCCTGTCCCACCCCCTTTTCCTGGCCTCTTGCCAGTAATCATGTAATGAAGATCTGCCGCTGTACCCACCCGCCCACCTACTCCCTTCCTGGTGGGACTCTGGTCTTTGCTGCCAGAACAGCTCATCTGGCCCAGAGTGTATCCCTTCTGTTGGCACAGGTGGGGTTCTTGTGTTAGCAACAGCCACCGAGACCACCAGCCACCTGGAAGAGGAGCAGACAGTGCCCCACATCACCTCTCCCCAAAGTGTAGGCAGAATCCTTGGAGAGGAGACTAGGAAACACTCTCTCTAAGCTTAGAATCACCTGTCCATCTGCCTCATTTCACTGATAGGCTTACTGAGGCACAGAGAGGAGGGACTATCCCAAGGTCACAAAGCTTAAGTAGTAGCAGGACTAGTGTAGGAACCAGGGCTGTCTGCTTTGGGGCCCATGGTCTTACTCCTGTGTTACTTTCACCATCACCATGCCGTGCTGTGTAAACTTAAGCAAGCCTTTGCTCTTCTGTGGGTCTGAATTTTTTCCTCTATGCACTGCTGTGGTGGGACAAGCCTATCTGAGCACCTTGCCTCTCCTGGGAGGGAGGGTATAAAGAGTGACTTGATAGGAATGTGTCCCAGACTGACATTAGCGAGCAGGCCGGGCCTGGGCATCGTGTTGGGCTGGGACTTTGCCACGGGAAACAGGCAGCAAGAGGACACAAGAGCAGGCATGTCAACAGAACCTTCATTGGCGGTATCCTTCCCCTCCTTCCAGAACGGACATTCTCTCCAGCCCTGGGGGAGGGGAGTGTGACATGAAAACAGATCAGAGCTGGTCAGATGCCTACATTCTTCTGGGTCCTACAGCAAGGGCATTGACTTGCACTGTGTCCCAAGGCACCTCATTCAACCAAATGTCCCATCAGAGCCTTGGGGAGGGAGGAAATGATTTAAAGAGCCACCTGGGGCCCACTGGGTGACACATCTTCATCCAGCAGCCCAGGGAAAAGTGCAGCGACTGGCCTGCTCCAGATGTGCAGGATAATTTGCTGTGACCTCCACAGGGGAATTGCAGCTCCCTTTTCTAGGCCTCAGCTTCCCCCCGTCATCCAAGGAATGGCTTAGACCTTTCAGGGCTCTGCCAGCCCATGCAGTGCTGTGGGTTCCTGGTTATCGGCCCAGTGGGAAGGTCGGGGGAGCCATAGGAAGGGGACAAAAAGATGCTGCACGGCGTGATGGTCACCTGCCAGGGTAACTATCCCAGGCCTGGCCATCAGCTCAGGAGCAAGTTTCCAAGTTTCCCACCTGGTATTGGCTGCCCCAGCTCTTCCCTCAATGCCTGCCTGCCTTTTTCATCAAAACTAGCACAAGGAACTTTTTAATTCCAGCTTCACTGAGAGCTAACTTGGTGGGCAGACCTGCTTGTTAGGCAAAACATTGGAACAGCAATCTTAACAGAGCTCATGTAAACGAGATTTTGAGATCTGCTCGCTGCCCCGAGCCCCACTAGCTATGGATTAGACTGCTGCTGTTTCCCATTTATTTGGGGAGTAGCTGAGAGTTGGTTTGGTTTTTGAGCAACTTTAATCTGTTTGCCAAGGGCAAAGCGGGAGAAAGAGCATCAGTGCCCCAAGCAGTGGGGATGAGAGTGAGGGAGTCTTGCTCACATTTGCACAGACTGGCAGCGTCAGAGCTGGGAGTGGTGCCAGCCAGCCTTTTCCATCCCCTCTGTCACCTGAAGATTTGCATTTCAATTTTCCAAGGCCAGCCACCAGCACCCTCTCCCCCAGAGCTGCACACAAGTCCTTCAGCTCTGCCAGGAGGCTCCCAAATCTGGAGTCACAGAAAACCTGGGCTCTTGACATTCTGCTGGTGGCCAGTGACTCTGCTTCCAGCTGGCACCAGTGCAGGGAAGGGGCACTTTGCAGCACTCAGGTGGGAGTGTCATTGATGTCACCTCTTTTGAGGCAGGGCAGCCAAAAAGACCAACGTGTTCATTCCTTGTTATCCAGGAATTGTATTTCTAGAAGTTTGTTTCACAAAAGCAATCAGATATGTGGACAAAGATAAGGTATTTATTGAAGCATTACTTCTAAGAGGGAAATTTTGGAAGCTTTTAAAATGTCCATCAATCAGGGTTTGAGTCAGTGCTGTTACATGCATGAGAGCTGTGCTGTAGAATACAAATGCAGCCACGAGAAGATATGGAACTGAGGGATTTTGATAAGGACAGATAGCTGTATGTTTGGTAGAAAATGATATAAAAATGATATCAACCCATATAACCTCAATTTTGTGGGTTTTGAAAAAGAGCATGTATATTTTTGAGTAGAAAAAGGACTCAATGCGTCAGATGGTTTTATCTGGATGGAAATATTATGGATTTTTTAAATTTTCTTTTTGCTTTCCTATATTTTTAAAATTCTCTAGGAGTTTCTCTTCTTTTCCCTCTCCCCTCCCCTCCCCTCCCCTCCCCCTCCTCCGTTCCTCTCCCCTCTCCTCCGTTCCTCTGCCCTCTCCTCCGTTCCTCTCCCCTCTCCTCTCCTCTCCCTTCTCTCCTTTCTTCCTTTCCTTCTTTCCTTTCTTCTCACTCTGTCACTCAGGCTTGAGTGCAGTGGTGCAATCTCGGTTTACTGCAGCCTCTGCCTCCTGGGCTCAAGCCATCTTTCCACCTCAGCCTCCTGAGTAGCTGGGACCACAGGTGCGTGCCACCATGCCCAGTTAATTTCTGTATTTTTGTAGAGATAAGCGTTTCACCATGTTGCCCAGGCTGGTCTCAAACTCCTGAGCTGAAGCAATCCTCCCACCTTGGCCTCCCAAAGTGTTGGGATAACAGGCATGAGCCACCATGCCTGGCCCTATTATTTTTCTAATCAGAATAAAAATGATGTTTTTATGAGCAGA
Source organism: Homo sapiens (assembly GCF_000001405.40). Classification (NCBI taxonomy): domain Eukaryota; kingdom Metazoa; phylum Chordata; class Mammalia; order Primates; family Hominidae; genus Homo; species Homo sapiens. The sequence goes on from NC_000011.10 coordinate 75,795,371, forward strand.
ATACCCTTACTCATTGTCTCTCTCAGCCTCTTCCACCCCCATCACATTCCTTGTAACACAGGGTAGGTGTCACAGGCTTTGCCTCTCATGACTCAGGGTTTAGGGACACTGCATCACCCACCCCTTCAAGCACCAGCCCCAGGGCAGGAGGTGGGCCCTGAGGAAGCCAATCATCGTTTAGAGCATCCCAGTGTCCTTAGTACCACAGGTCAGGTCCTCAGCTGCTGCAGCCTTACAACTAACCTCTACCCCAGGCTGGCTGGCACAGGGCTGTCGCTTGTCCTGTCTTGTCCTTCCTGCCTTAGAACCTGAACTGAGCCCAGCTGACTGTGGGAAAGTTTCCATTTGGGCCAGCTGCAGTGTCCCTTTTCCAGGCCAGGGGAGTAGGAGGTGGGCTGCCTGTCTCATTCTGTGAGCTGTGGAGGAGCCCACAGAGCACAGGGCCAAGTAAACCCTACCTCCAAGGAGCTCACAGTTTGGAGAGACTGACAGTGGGGGCAGAGCTTGCAGCCAAGGCCCCGGTTGCCAAACTCAGGAACTTGGACTTTACTCACATGAAGCCAGACACACTCTCCAGTCTAAGAGTGACAAGGGTTGGATTTGAGTTTTAGAATAATCACTCTGGCTGTTGCGAAAAGGATGGGCCCAGAGGGAGGGAAGGCAGGAGGCTGGCAGAGTGCAAAGAAGAGCTGCTGTGTGCATGGCTGAAGACTGAGAGGAACAAGGGCAAACATTGCCCACCCCTTCCCAGAGACCCACAGTGCAAATGGTGACTGCCCAACACCAGCACTGTGGCCCTGGGGATGAGAGTCTGAGGTAAGGTGTGGAGATTCATTGCAGCCCTCAGGCCCATGGAGGTCCAGGGGAAATGACACATCCAATCCCTCCCTACCCTCCGGGTATGCCCCGGTATCCCTCTCCCAGCCAGTTTCCTCTGACCCAAGGTCATCCTTGCAGCTGGTGAAGACACACAACCTGCTGACCACCAGGAACTATATCTTTGGATACCACCCCCATGGTATCATGGGCCTGGGTGCCTTCTGCAACTTCAGCACAGAGGCCACAGAAGTGAGCAAGAAGTTCCCAGGCATACGGCCTTACCTGGCTACACTGGCAGGCAACTTCCGAATGCCTGTGTTGAGGGAGTACCTGATGTCTGGAGGTAAGAATCCACCCCCTGTGCTCCTGCTGGGCACTGTTGTCAAGGCCTGAGCCTCTCCATCGGGCAGGGTGACACAGGGAGCCAACACACCATTCCTTGGTGCTGGGCCTGCATTGGGAGATGCAACCTGCTTCAGACATGGTGGGTCAGGGCTGAGGAGGAGAGCTGTCCATATGGTCTTGAGAATTCAACTCGGATAACATCTTCCCTAGGAGGCCTTCTTTGACCCCCTTTTCTGGGGACCCCCAGCCCTTGTGTTGCCTTTTGTACAACCTGATTGTTGTCCATGGCACTGTAATTGTCCACCTGCCTGAGACCTCCCACCAGACTGATGCATTGGGATCCCCAACACCTCGCACCGACTTGGCAGAATTAGGGCCCTGGGAATGTTTGCCAAATGCATGAGTTCCCAAAACAACCTTGTATCATTAGCTGCATTTTACAGATGAGGAAACTGAGGCTCAGAAAAATGAATAGCTTACACAGAACCAGACAACTCCAAAGGGGCTGGGCTAGGTCTGGGGCCCAGGTCCAGGGTTCTTTATGTTTTATACCTGACTGTGTGCCGGGGATGGGGAGTGGATCCATGGGCAACCCTGACTGTTGCGTCCTTCCCTCCCCTCAGGTATCTGCCCTGTCAGCCGGGACACCATAGACTATTTGCTTTCAAAGAATGGGAGTGGCAATGCTATCATCATCGTGGTCGGGGGTGCGGCTGAGTCTCTGAGCTCCATGCCTGGCAAGAATGCAGTCACCCTGCGGAACCGCAAGGGCTTTGTGAAACTGGCCCTGCGTCATGGGTGAGTGCCTCCCTACACACACACACACCCCTCCAGTGCCCCTCAGCCCAGGGCAGCAGACTCCTTGGCCCCTGAAGACAGGACCCAGACCCCAGGAAGGCATGGAAGGGAGTCAGTCATTCTGTTAGGGAGGGGATGTTGGAGCCCAGACTGCACAGTGTGGGCCAAGTTTGCCCATGTGTGTCTGGGTGGGCACAGATGCAACCTGTGGCCTGTGGGCCCTTGCAGGTGGGCCGAGAGTCCAGGCTTATATGCAGGACTGGACCACCTGGGGCCAGAATATATCATTTTGCTGGGAGACCAGGAGGTCAGGAAGGAGGGTGGTGTGGAATGTGGCTGGGGGACAGCAGCTGTTTTCTCTGTCCCCTGGGGACCTTACCTCAGGCTTTGGAAGAAGAGGCTGCCCTGCAGGCTCAGCCCTGGGCCAGCCCCTGGGGACACATTCATATTGGACCCAGTCCCTGCCTTCAGGGAGCACCAAGGGTGGGGGAGGGTAGAGGGATGGACAGTGACAACACAGTGTGCTGAGACTGTGAAACAATGGTGAGTCCAGGGCTGAGAGAGGCCTGGTTTGGTGGAGGGACCAAGAGAACTTCCTGGCAGAGGCAGGCCCTGCAGGAAGAGGTGGAAAACAGGCATTCCAGAGCAGGGCGCTCAGCCTTCCCTTTGCCTGGGGGACCCAGAGCTCTGATATGCTCCCCAGTCCCTAGCAGTGGGGCAGAAGGCCCATCAGAACCTGGTAGAGAGGGATCATGTGAACTTGGGACACCCAGGTAATTCTGGTACACCCAGCTGGGGGAGGGGGATGCTTGGCCAGTGTCCAGGGCCTCTAGGCTGACATAGAAACTGAAGCCAGTAAGTAGGGTATGACAGACCCTGGCCTCTCCCTTCCAGAGCTGACCTGGTTCCCATCTACTCCTTTGGAGAGAATGAAGTGTACAAGCAGGTGATCTTCGAGGAGGGCTCCTGGGGCCGATGGGTCCAGAAGAAGTTCCAGAAATACATTGGTTTCGCCCCATGCATCTTCCATGGTCGAGGCCTCTTCTCCTCCGACACCTGGGGGCTGGTGCCCTACTCCAAGCCCATCACCACTGTTGGTAAGCCCCTAGCCTGCAGACCAAGGGCTGTCCTGAACACAGGGTGCCATACAGCTAATCAGCAGTAGAGACGGGATTCCAATGCAGGCCACCTGGCTCTGATGGCCATGCCCTTAGCCATGAGGACTTTGAAGTGTTGGGTGCTGATATTGGTCAGGAGGGGTAGTAGTAGGAGTCGGGGAATTGAGCCTATGGGATGAACCAAGCTCTGTGATAAGTGAGGAAAGAAAATCTGCAGTCTCTGGGTTTGCAGCACCCACTAGTCTATCAGGGAAGACTATTGCAGCAAAGACTAGTGGGGGAATGTGATGAGGATGCGCAGGTGCTCTAGGGAGTCATAGCGGACCCCAGGGAGGAGGTAACTCTTGCACTGCTAACTGATAGGAATTATCTAGCAAAATAGAGGAGGAAGAGAATTTTTATCAGAAACAATAGCCTACGTGAAGTTCAGAAGCAAGATTGTGTAGTTTTTTTGAAGAACAGAAAGAAAAACATTAATATGACTGCAGCATAGACCTGTCAGAAGAGTGGAAAACACTGGTTGCACTTGGCCCTCGTCTGTGTTGTTTTGGGTGTATTTGGGACCATTTAGAGGATTCTAAAGAATTACCTATTGTAGGTGTGTGTGTGCATGTTAATGGATCCCCCAGGAGCACATGGGCCCTTGGCAGTGGACTTGAGGGGCCAAAGCTCACACAGATCCTTTGCGTTCCTAGGCCAGGTGTCCTGCCTTGTACTTTTAGGTAGAGACAAAGCAACAGGGAGGCAGCAGGAACATTTCCATGCACAGGTGTGGCTGGGGAGGGGCTGGGTCCTGTGGGCAATGTGAAGGAATTTGCTCTTCACCTTGAGAATGGAGAGCCACCAGAGAGTGTTTGGGAGGGGAAGTTCAGATTTGCATTTAAAAATGATCCTTGGAGCTGCTGGATGGAAGATGGGTTAGAAAAATGGAAGCCACGAGACCAGCCCAGAGACTGTTTTGGTAGCCAGTGGCTTGGACCAAGGGAGTAGCAGTGGAGATGGAAGAGATGTGCATGATTTGGGAAAAATTTCAGAAATAGCATTGGCAGGACATAGGAATGGATTGGGTATGGAGATGCAGCAGGATAAGAAAATAAAGCAACGCACAGATCATAAATGCTGGTCTACTCCCTCCTCTCCTGCCCTTAACCACACTTTTTATTTTTTTTTTTTTTATTTTTGAGACAGGGTCTCATTCTGTCATCCAGGCTGGAGTGCAGTGGCGCAATCTCGGCTCACTGTAACCTCTGCCTCCTAGTCTCAAGCGATCCTCCCACCTCAGCCTCCTGAGTAGCTGGGACTACAGGCGTGCACCACCACACCCAGCTAATTTTTTGTATTTTTTTTTGGTAGAGACGATTTTCACCATGTTACCCAGGCTGGTCTTGAACTCATGAGCTCAAGCAATCTGCGGGTCTTTGCCTCTCACAGTGCTGGAATTACAGGCGTGAGCCACCACTCCTGGCCTACACTTTTTAAAGCATGTCACATTCCTTGCAGAATCCTTAGAAAACCCCTATGAGGAAGAATCCCCATGTGACAGATGAGGAAACTGAGGGTCAGAGAGGCAGGAATGGCTTGCCCAGAGCAGAGCAAAAGCAAAGATGTTTACTTGATCCCCTGACTCTCATAGACCCTCCTAGCAGAATGCAGTGGGTTCAACCAGTCTTGATCCCATCTGCAGCTTAGCACCTGGTGGCCTCGGGTGGGTCCCTTCACATGCCCCTGGGCCTCAGTCTTTTCATCTGTAATAGGGGACAACCAGAGATGCAGCACATAAAGCATTTGGCACAGTTCCTTCCACATGGCGGGCCCACAGCCCAGCGTCACCACCTTCAGCATCATGGTGGATGCCCAGGGGAAGGGTGTTGACTAACCAGAAGCCTCTGCCCTGTCCCTGCAGTGGGAGAGCCCATCACCATCCCCAAGCTGGAGCACCCAACCCAGCAAGACATCGACCTGTACCACACCATGTACATGGAGGCCCTGGTGAAGCTCTTCGACAAGCACAAGACCAAGTTCGGCCTCCCGGAGACTGAGGTCCTGGAGGTGAACTGAGCCAGCCTTCGGGGCCAATTCCCTGGAGGAACCAGCTGCAAATCACTTTTTTGCTCTGTAAATTTGGAAGTGTCATGGGTGTCTGTGGGTTATTTAAAAGAAATTATAACAATTTTGCTAAACCATTACAATGTTAGGTCTTTTTTAAGAAGGAAAAAGTCAGTATTTCAAGTTCTTTCACTTCCAGCTTGCCCTGTTCTAGGTGGTGGCTAAATCTGGGCCTAATCTGGGTGGCTCAGCTAACCTCTCTTCTTCCCTTCCTGAAGTGACAAAGGAAACTCAGTCTTCTTGGGGAAGAAGGATTGCCATTAGTGACTTGGACCAGTTAGATGATTCACTTTTTGCCCCTAGGGATGAGAGGCGAAAGCCACTTCTCATACAAGCCCCTTTATTGCCACTACCCCACGCTCGTCTAGTCCTGAAACTGCAGGACCAGTTTCTCTGCCAAGGGGAGGAGTTGGAGAGCACAGTTGCCCCGTTGTGTGAGGGCAGTAGTAGGCATCTGGAATGCTCCAGTTTGATCTCCCTTCTGCCACCCCTACCTCACCCCTAGTCACTCATATCGGAGCCTGGACTGGCCTCCAGGATGAGGATGGGGGTGGCAATGACACCCTGCAGGGGAAAGGACTGCCCCCCATGCACCATTGCAGGGAGGATGCCGCCACCATGAGCTAGGTGGAGTAACTGGTTTTTCTTGGGTGGCTGATGACATGGATGCAGCACAGACTCAGCCTTGGCCTGGAGCACATGCTTACTGGTGGCCTCAGTTTACCTTCCCCAGATCCTAGATTCTGGATGTGAGGAAGAGATCCCTCTTCAGAAGGGGCCTGGCCTTCTGAGCAGCAGATTAGTTCCAAAGCAGGTGGCCCCCGAACCCAAGCCTCACTTTTCTGTGCCTTCCTGAGGGGGTTGGGCCGGGGAGGAAACCCAACCCTCTCCTGTGTGTTCTGTTATCTCTTGATGAGATCATTGCACCATGTCAGACTTTTGTATATGCCTTGAAAATAAATGAAAGTGAGAATCCTCTATGAGTTATTGCTGGGGCTGCATCTGCATCTGCTGCTGACACCTGGGGAAGACTGGGTCCCCAGCTGGCTGCCCTCTGAGCCCTCTAGCCCCTTGCACCTTTGGCCCACATGACCCTGCCATGGTGTGTAAGTTACCTGTCACTGTGTAACAAACTACTTCAGAGCTCAGTGGCTTCCAACAGCATCTGTTGTCTCCCAGTTCCAAGTCACGATTTGAGGCTTGGCTTGGTCCTCCACTCAGGGTTTCTCACAGGGCTGCAGTTGTCTTGGAGCCGGGCTGAGGAAGGATCCACTCCCAAGGCCGTTCCTGCAGTTGTTCGCAGGATTGACTTCCTCACTGGCTGTTGACAGAGGCCACTTTCAGTTCCTTGCCACATGGGCCTTTCCATGGGGTAGCTCACGGCACACCAGCTTACTTAGCAAGAAGAGCCAGTGAGTGGAGTGAAGTGTGCGAGCAAGACGGAAGTCCCAGGCCCTTATAACCTAACCTGGGAAGTGATATCCTGTCACTTTTGCCATATTCTGTTCATTAAATGAACATTGCTCGGTCCAGCTCCCACTGGACGGGAGGGGATTACACCAGGGAATGGATGCCAGGGGGCAGGGGTCATTGGGAGCCACTTGACATGATGCCTACCATGTGGTAAAGGGCTCCTGTCCAGCTGGGGGGCCCTTGGGTGGCTGAGCTGGAAGGCTCCTTATGGGTCACTCAAGCTGTGTTCCCTGCCCCTGGCCTCAGCTCTACCAAAAAGGCAGAGGCCTGGCCTGCTGTCACCCTAGCGATTACAAGATGCCACCTCTTTTCTAATTCCTTTCTGTTCAGTGAGTACTAAGCACCTGGGAACCCTTCCTAGCCGAGACCAAAGGACCTTGTTCTAACTTCCTTACTGCCAGAACTGTCCTGCCTGTCCTTGCTGTTCATCCCCCTCAGGGCCAACTCCTCTGTGCCAGAAACTGTGAGAGAGCTACTTGGGAGCAGAGACAAACATTGGGAACAGCTGAAGATACGCAGGGTGGCCAGAGCTGTGCCAGAAGCCCCAGCCTGCCCGGGGGTGCGTCACTGAGGAAAGAACGCCTGAGCTGGGCCTTGAAGGGCGGCTGAGAGTCGCCAGGAAAGGAAGGCAGTGAAGGGCAGAGCAGTAGGGGAAGGATAGGGAGGCCTGATTGGAAAAACATTGCCGGTTTGAAAGATGGAGGAGGCAGAGACAGCAGTGGGGCTTAGCTTGGAAGGGTGGGGAGCTGGTGTCTCCAGAGTTTCTATGTGGGCAGAAAGGCAGAGCAGTGGGAGGAGTGCTGGGAGGGGACAACAGAGGCTGGCTTCTAGCGCCAGGCAGGCCTCAGGCTAGAGTGCTCAGGTCAGAGGATAGCCATTTCCTTTCGGATGGGGTAAAGGCCTTTTTTCTGGTGAGGGTCTCAGCATCACCCCAGCCCCAGCCTGAGGCTGACCCAAGGCTGGACTGCAACCTCAGTCTCTGGCTTCAAGTCAAGCCCTGGCCCTAACGAAGCTACTCCACCAAGGTAGGCTGTTATTCTCAAGCACTGCTTTTTGTGAAGAGTGAGCACCTTCTGTGTACTGGGGAACTCCGCCATCTGCCTAAGAAGAACAGGGACAATAACTGGGTCCCAAATCTCAGACAGATGCCCTCAGTGGCCTGATCAGAGCTGAGACCACCCTGGTCTTAAGCTGTGCATAGGGCAGGGGGGACTCTGATAGGTTCTGTGAACATTGCCTTGGGATGGGAGTTGTTACCTTGGGAGAAGGAACTGGAACCGCCTTTCCCCCGAAGACCACCTGCCCCTGGGTGTAGTGGTGAGGGCAGCACTTTGAGACTGAAGATGGTCAGTTCCATGATTCTGTCTGTGGTTCCCAGATACAGCCACAAGGGGGCACTGAAGATGGCTCTCAGGCATAGGCCACACTGCGACTTAGGCTTGCTTTCCACATTTTCACATCTCTCCAGCTCCTTACCCAGGCTAAAAGCTAGGGTGTTTCACAGATAAAGATATTTATTAGGTCAAATTGGCTTATCACGTTGTTCAAATATCCTCTTTCTTTGTTGGTCTTCTGCCTAATTGTTCTATCCATTATTCAGAGCAGGGTATTGAATTCTCCAACTGTTGTTATTGATTGATGTCTCCCTCCAGTTCTGTCAGTTCTTGCTTCATGTGTTTTGGGACTCTGCCGTTACCTGCATGCGTGTTTATAACATGTTTATGTTATGTCTTCCTGATGAATCCACGCTTTATCATTATAAAATGCTGCTCTTTGTAGTAACAGTTTCTGTCTCTAAGTTTACTGTGTATAACCTACATTGGTACAGCGACCCCAACACTCTTTTGTTCCTATTTGCATGACATGTCTTTTCTATCCTTTCCCTTTCAACTTATTTGTGTCTTTGAATATAAAGTGCGTTGTAGACATAATAGTGTTGGATATTTTTTATATCCACATTTCTACTCTTTGCCATATGATTGTTTAGTCTCTTTACATTTAATATAATTATAAGGTGGGATTTACATCTGTCATTTTGCTATTTGTTTTCTGTGTGTCTTATTTTTTTATTCCTCACTCTTTCCATTACTGCCTTCTTGTGTGTTAGACAACTGTTTTCTAATATACTATTTTAATTATCTTCTTGTTTCTGTATATTTTTGAGTTATTTTCTTAGTGGTTGGTTGACACTTTAGTCCAGATTAATACAAATTAAGATTAACATCTTAATTTCTCCATCATTTGGACAGGGTAGCTTGAGAGAAAAGAGGGGCAGGCCATATAAGAATGGTGTAGTGGGTTGAATAGTGGCCCACACAATATGTCCACATCCTAATTCCTTGAACCTGTGAATGTAGTCTTATTTGGAAAAAAGGGCCTTTGCAGATAAAATTAAGTTAAAGATTTCAAGATGAGGTAATACTGAATATCTAGGTGGGACCCAAATTCAATGATAGGTGTTCTTAGAAGAACAGGCCAGGCGCAGTGGCTCATCGCTACAATCCCAACGCTTTGGGAGGCCGAGGCAGGAGAATTGCTCAATCCCAGGAGTTCGAGACCAGCCTGGGCAATGTAGTGAGACCAGCCTGGCCAACATGACAAAGCCCCGTCTCTACTAAAAATACAAAAATTAGCCAGGTGTGGTGGTGCACACCTGTAGTCCCAGCTACTTGGGAGGCTGAGGCACAAGAATTGTTTGAATCCAGCTGGGCGCAGTGGCTTACGCCTGTAATCCCAGCACTTTGGGAGGCTGAGGTGGGCAGATCACCTAAGGTCGAGAGTTCCAGACCAGCCTGACCAACATGGAGAAACCCCGTCTCTACTAAAAAATACAAAATTAGCTGGGGTGGTGGTGCATGCCTGTAATCCCAGCTACTCGGGAGGCTGAGGCAGGAGAATCGCTTGAACCCGCTTGAACCTTGGAGGTTGCAGTGAGCCAAGATCACGCCATTGCACGCCAGCCTGGGCAACGAGAGCGAAAGTCCGTCTAAAAAAGAAAAAAAAAAAGAATGTTTGAACCCGGGAGGTGGAGGTTGCAGTGAGTGGAGATTATGCCACTGCACTCCAGCCCGGGCAACAGAGCAATACTCTGTCTCAAAAAAAAAAAAAAAAAAAAAAAATAGAGGCAGAGATTGGGAGTTGTGTAGGCATAAGGCAAGGAACACCTGGAGCCACCAGAATCTGGAAGGGGCATTGAAGGATTCTCTCCTCGAGCCTTCTAAGAGAGCACAGCCTTTGATTTTGGACTTCTGGACTCCAGAACTGTGAGAGAATAAATTTCTGTTTTAAGCCACCCAGTTTGTGTCTTAAACTAATACAGTGACTTTAATATATTTATACCACCTGATAGAGAAGTTGGACCAGAGGATGACAACCTCTAGTCTTCTCACAAATCAAATATTTCACTTTTGTTTCCATGGGGTGGACTGCAAGTTTGGAAGACACTCTTCCCTAGTACTTCTGAGAGGGTGGAATATTTTCCCATTTAAAGAGTTATAATGGGATTATGAGGAGGAGAAAAGTGGAGACTTCCCCGACCCCCTGCTTCCACCACCATTTTTACAGCAAACGCATGCTTCATATATTTATTTCAAACTTCTTTTTCATATTCCTGTTTCCCTTCCTTGCAAACTCTTTTTCAAAATATTTTTTACCACTTTCCGTTTAGGGAGTTTTGTTTCATATATTTTCATCTAATTTTTTAAATCATACATACACATTTTATTTCTTATGTTTTTTATGTATCATTAAATCACACTAACATACATCTTAAAAAGTTTCTTCTCTGAAGTATCAAATGATTTTTGAGATTTATATTTACTTTTGATGAAAACTAATATGTCAAAGTATTTTTCTTCTATTAAACATGAACAGTATATCTTTTCATTCAATGTATATGATATAAAAATATATTCCAAGAAAGTATGACTTCGCTATATAAATGTATTGAAAATATATGCAGTAACACTATTTCATTAGAGGCAGTAAAATGTAGGATTAACAACACTGGAGTTAGACTGCTTTAGAATCCCAGCTCGAAACTCAGAACATGTGACTGCCTTCACTTTCTAATCTCATAGCACTGTTGTGTCGATACACAAAAACTGCTTGTAACAATGCCTGGCACAATCCAAGCACTCAATAAATTATTGTTTTTTAAAATCTAAGCTTTAGGGAGTTGAGCCTGATCTCTCTCTCCTGCTACAGAACTCCACTGTGGTAGCCCCTCTTGAATAAAGTCTGCCCTACTGTTTTTTTTGGTTTTTTTTTTTTTGAGACAGAGTTTCGCTCTCGTTGCCCATGCTGGAGTGCAATGGTGTGATCTTGGCTCAGCACAACTTCCACCTCCCGGGTTCAAGTGATTCTCCTGCTTCAGCCTCCCGAGTAGCTAGGATTACAGGCACACGCCACTACACCTGGCTAATTTTGTATTTTTAGCAGAGACAGGGTTTCTCCATGTTGGTCAGGCTGGTCTCGAACTCCCAACCTCAGGCAATCTGCCTGCCTCGGCCTCCCAAAGTGCTGGGATTACAGGCGTGAGCCACCGCACCTGGCCCCTACTGTTCTTAAATAAACAAATGAATCTAAGCTTTATGAGCAAAATATTAGGATAAAAGTAAAATAAATAATTTTCATTTTGTTTCCGTGAAATAGATTACAATGAACATTACACGATTTTTAAATATTTTTTTAGAAACAATCTCATAAAAATTTTCAAGTACAATATAAATAATTTTTTTCCTAAATTATTTGAGAGTATGTTGTGGACATAACTCATCACTCTCAACAAACAAGAATGTTATTTTTTTTCTTTTTTTGAGAGAGGGTCTTGTGCTGTCACCCAGGCTACAGTGCAATGGCACGATCATAGCTCACTGCAGCCTCCAGCTCCTGGGCTCAAGTGATCCTCCCAGCTCAGTCTCCCAAGTAGCTGGGATTACAGGCATGTGCCACCACGCCTGGCCAATTGTTTTTTATTTTTCATGGAGACGACGTCTCTCTCTTTTTTTTTTTTTTTTTTGAGACAGAGTCTCGCTCTGCTGCCCAGGCTGGAGTGCAGTGGTGCAATCTCGGCTCACTGCAAGCTCTGCCTCCTGTGTTCACACCATTCTCCTGCCTCAGCCTCCTGAGTAGCTGGGACTACAGGCACCCGCCACCGTGCCCAGCTAATTTTTTGTATTTTTAGTAGAGATGGGGTTTCACCATGGTCTCGATCTCCTGACCTTGTGATCCACCCGCCTCGGCCTCCCAAAGTGCTGGGATTACAGGCGTGAGCCAGCACGCCCGGCCCGACGTCTCTCTCTTTCTAGCGGGTCTTGAACTCCTGAGCTCAAGCAATCCTCCTGCCTTGGCCTCCCAAAGTGCTGAGATTACAGGCGTAAGCTACCATGCATGGCCAAGAATGTTATCCTATATAACTACAATGAAACCATGAAGACCAAGAAATTAACGTAAAAACATTACTACGATCTAATCCTCAGGCCCTATTCAAATTTCACCATTTGTCTTAATAGTGTCCATTCTGGCAAAAGGATCAAGTTCAGAGTCACATGTTATTTCGATCTTCTTTTATCTGAAACAGATACTCAGTCTTTCCTTGACCATCATGACTGACAATCTTGAAGATGATGAGCTGGGTACTCTTAGAATGCCATTCAGTTTTGTTTTGCCTATTGTTTCCTTATGATTGGTTCAGGTTATTTATCTTTGGCAGAAATATCACAGATGTGATGATGGGCTCTTCTCATCACATCCTGTCAGGAAGCAGATAATTTGAATTTGTCATATTACTGATGATGGTCATGTTGATCACTCTTTTTTTTTTTTTTTTTTTTGAGACAGAGTCTCGCTCTATCGCCCAGGCTGGAGTGCAGTGGCGCAATCTCGGCTCACTGCAAACTCCGCCTCCCAGGTTCACACCATTCTCCTGCCTCAGCCACCAGAGTAGAGTAGCTGGGACTACAGGCTCCCGCCACCACGCCTGGCTAATATTTTTGTATTTTTAGTAGAGACGGGGTTTCACCGTGTTAGCCAGAATGGACACGATCTCCTGACCTCGTGATCCGCCCGCCTTGGCCTCCCAAAGTGCTGGGATTACAGGCGTGAGCCACCGCGCCTGGCCTCATTGATCACTTTTAAGATGGTGACTTGCCACACTTTTCCACTGTAAAGTTACTCTTTTTTTGGTAGTTTGAGACTTTACAAATATCTCCTTTCTTACTAAACATTTATTATAAAGACTTATGGAACCTATTTTATTCAATGGGTTATAAGCCATTCTAACATTTATTCTGATGCTCAAACTGCCCCAGTTTTGGACAGTGAGAGCCCCTTCGAACTGGCTTCTGTGTCCCTTTGATGTCATTTGTCCCATCATTTTTCTGAGGACTTCCTTACTTTCTGGCACAACTGGATGCCCCAGAATCATCTTTTGCTTTTTTTCTGGCCTAATCCTGGAATCAGCCACTTCTCCAAAGAGTCTTGATTCCTCCTAGTGGAGGACGGTATCTACAAACCAAGATCTGGCCAGTTTTAATTTACGGATAACAGGGTTCATCCTAGTTCTTTTCCTTCTCATATTTATAACCAACTAGTCCTAAATAGTGTATTCTAATGAATGCAGAAGCTATGATGTGGGTGACAAAGTCCTGCCCTGAGGACCTGGGTTCACACCATCAATTTGCCCTAAGAACCATGTGACGGGTCATTTTAATTTCTGATCCTTTTTTTAGGCATCCGTAAAACTGAGACAATAATACCCACTTGAGCCAGGCTCGGTGGCTTATACCTGTAATCTCAGAACTTTGGGAGGCTGAGGTGGGTGGAGCACCTGAGGTGAGGAGTTTGAGACCAGCCTGGCCAACATGGTAAAACCCCATCTCTACAAAAATTACCTGAGCATGGTGGCTAACACCTGTAGTCCCAGCTTCTTGGGAAGGAGAATTGCTTGAACTTGGGAGGTGGAGGTTGCAGTGAGCCGAGATCGTGCCACTGCACTCCAGCCTGGGTGAAAGAGTGAGACTCTGTCTCAAAAAATAAAATAAAACAAATAAATAATACCTACTTCACAGGATCCTGTGGGGATTGACCAGAGTAATAATGTATGTAAAACACTTAGCAAATGTTAGTTCCCTCTAGGTCCTAGGGAAACCTGCAGACTCATAGAGGGGAATTGATTTGTCTAAAATCATGCAATGAATAAGCTAAAGGTTCAGACTGGTCTCCAGATGCTTACCCCTGGCATGGAGTCTTTCAGCAACACTGCTTTGCATCCAGGGTGTACCTTCTCAGAAACTCTGTGATGCTATGCCTGCCTGGGGAGTGGCTCACCAGTCAAAGAATCAGCCTAACAGGGAAATCAGACGTCCCTTGAGTGCCTTTATTACCAGGAACTCAGCACATTTTTGTCCTAACTGTCCTCAAACTCAATGAAGAAATGTCACAATTTATCATCACCATTTTCACTGCTTTGCCCACCCCCGAATCTACTCAACACAGCAGCCAGAGTGACATTTCTGAAGCATAAATGAGAGCATGTAACTCCCCTGCTTAAACCCCTTAATAGTTGTCCATGAGCCTCAAAGAAATCCAAACTCCACTGTGGCCTACAATGCCTGGCAGGACCTGGCCCTGCCAGCATCTCCAGCCTCATTCTATGCCGTCAGGGCTGGATTAGGACTTCAGAAGCTCTAAGCACCAAAGGATAGTGCTGCTTCTACTATATAAAATTACAAATAAGGGCCAGGTGCAGTGATGCACACCTGTAATCTCAGCATTTGGGAAGGCCAAGGCAGACAGATCACTTGAGCCCAGGAGTTCGAGACCAACCTGGGTAACATAGCAAAAGCCATCTCTACAAACAATACAAAAATTAGCCAGGTGTGGCAATGCGCTGTAGTCTCAGCTATTTGGGAGGATCGACTGAGCCTGGGAGGAGGTTGAGGCTGCAGTGAATCATGATCACACCACTGTACTCAAGACTGGGTGACAGAGCAAGACCCTGTCTCAAAAATAAATAAATAAATAAGTAAATAAAATTACCAGTAAGAACAACACTAAACTGTTAAAGAAACTGAAGGTGGTCTTTGGTTTGGTTTTGGTTTTGAAATACCAATTTCTTTCGAAAGTGTTCTCCTCTTCCTCCTTGGCACCAGCTGGCCTTCTCTTTGAGTTGCTGCAATGCTCCATATAGTCCTTCATGGGCTGTTCCTCCTGTTCCTTTATCCAACAGCTTCCCCTGCCCTCACTAGCCTCCTTTGTCCAGTTAACTCCTACTCATCTTTCAGACCTCACTGCAAACATCAGTTCCCAAGGAAAGTTTTCTCTGGACAACTCTCGGTATATCAGCTCCCTGGGTTAGATGTGCTTATTTCCCATACGTGTTACCCTCACTGGCCTGCACATTCACAAGCTCCTGTGTTCACACTGGCACCTTTACAGTCAGTGGCAGTGGGAAAACCACTGGAACTGAGGAAAGAGCATTGGTCTTGGGGACAAAAGGCCCAACTCTTTGTCTTAGCTTTGCTACAAACTTTGTGTGACCTTAGCAAGCTCATTTCCCCTCTCTGGGGGCTGTGTCTAGTCGGGAGGAATGGAGGCCCCCATGTGATCCAAACATTCACTTACTCAAGTATTTGTCCATTCATTCATTGACTTCATTCATTCAGCCATTTGCTCAATGACGCTATGGAGCCTGTCTTCTGTGTTGGGATGCTGGGGACTCAGAGAAATCAAAAGCAGAGGTTCACAGCAGAGTGGGAGGGACAAATGTAGACTGCTCAATATATGACTAGGCACACAGTTACACATACTGAAGAGAGGTCAGACAGCTGCTGTAGGAGCCCAGAGGAAGTAGCAGTTCGTTCAGACCTGGGAAGCCTTTTTTGAGAAAATGACCTTGCCGAGTTGGGAAAGGAGAAGGGAAAATGCTGTCTAGGCACCTGCCTTTCAGGGTTCTTGGGTATGTGCAGTTTCTTTGGGGAATGGCCTTTTTCTTTTACAATTCTCACCTGCTTTCTGCAAGCGTCTCACTCTTCTAGTCCTGCCCCTTCAAAGCTACCCCTCCCCCAAGGCTGCCTGAGCCATCTTTCTAAGTGCTTTCTGTTGCCCACGATGAAACTCATGTTCTTCGGCCTGGTAGTCAGGTTCTTCTCACCCGGCCCTAGCTTCCTCTTCCAATCTTTTTGCCTGTTGCTCTCCCATGCAGCCTTTGTTTCAGCCATGTTAGACTCTGCTGCTGTCACTTCCTCTACCCCTGTGCCTTTGCTCATGCTGTTCCTCCTGCATAGAATACTCTCCTCTCCTAGGAAGCCTTCCTGGACAACACGTGACAGTTAGCACCTTTCTCTTAGTGCTTCCACTGTACTTTATACATCATCTCGATTATTGTACTTACCACTTTGTACCAAATGAGCTGCGATCTCCTTTCAGTTAGGGATTCTATGTGCATCATTTTCTGAAACGTAGTGCCCAGGCTGGACACCTGGCAAAGGTCTGATGGGTGTTTGACTAGACAGGTAAGTGAATGGAAGAAAGAGGGCTCTGTTGAAAGGAAGGGGATAGATTTAACTCAATACAGTTTGAGACACTGAAAGACCCATCTGCCCTATCTTGCTCTTGTTTACCCAATGCATCAGGCCCATGAGGTGGGAGGAGGAAGTGGAGGCAAATGGATTGGGGTAGGCTTAGCTTTTTGGCCCTGGAAACTGAATGTTTGATTTAAATACCCAACATGGTACTAATTAGCTGTTAAAACACTAGCTATTCCCGAGCCAAACAGATCTAAACACCTATTGTTCATCTACTAAACTCCCAATCATCCTTTATAACTTTGGTGAAGCCTGCTCTGACCTTGCCCACCAGCTCCTGAAGAGTTGGTCACTCTTACCACTTGACCTTGGACCCCTTCTATCATTGCATATACATTGCATTTGGCCACCTTATAATCTATGTTCTCTAAACTTGGATATATGTTTCTCTGGGGGATATATAGCACTATGTAAATATTATAATAATTTAATTCTGTGATTTAAAATATTTTTATGTTGAAACAATCAGCCATATTATGAAATAGGATCCCAATAATAAAAGAGTTTTTAGGGCCGGGCGCGGTGGCTCATGCCTGTAATCCCAGCACTTTGGGAGGCTGAGGTGGGTGGATCATTTGAGGTCAGGAGTTCAAGACCACCCTGACCAACATGGTGAAATCCTGTCTCTACTAAAAATACAAAAAAACTTAGCTGGGTGTGGTGGTGCATGCCTGTAGTCCCAGCTACTTGGGAGGCTGAGGCAGGAGAATCACTTGAACCTGGGAGGCAGAGGTAGCAGTGAGCTGAGATCGCACCACTGCACTCCAGCCTGAGTCACAGAGAGAGACTCTGTCTCAAAAACAAGAAAGAAAAGTTTTTAGAATGAAATAGGACATATGAAAATAATGACAGCTAGTATTTATTAAAAATGTACTATCTCCCAGACAGTGTGTTAAATGCTTTACATCATCTTGAATACTTTGCAAGCAGCAGGCTTTTGAGTTCTTCCCAATGCCCCTAGGGATGAGAGTCCTAGTTCTCCTAATGTTTTCGGCATTTGGGAAAAGTGGGAGAAGGGTTGTTTACTTGAGCTCTGCATTTCCAGAACCCAGTAGCTAGCCTGTGCAAAGGTGAACCTCAGTAAAGGCTTGTGGAAAGAATAGATCCTGCTCTCTGCTGGAATGTCCTTTCCTCCCTCTCTCCTGACTTGGTGAACTCTTATTGGCCCTTCAATACCCTGTTTCAATGTCACCTCCACTGTGAAATCTGACTCTCAACTATTTTCTCTGGCTCCCACTGCCTTTGGGCTTCCCTCAGACCCAGCAGTGAGTAACTGGATGATCACTCTTCGTTTGTTTTTGATATGGGGTCTCAGTCTGTTGCCCAAGCTGGAGTACAGTGGCATGATCTTGACTCACTGCAGCCTCAACCTCCCCAGGCTCAGGTAATCCTCCCACCTCAGCCTCCTCAGTAGCTGGGACTATAGGTGAAAACGACATGCTGGGCTAATTTTTGTATTTTTGTAGAGACAAGGTTTTGCCATGTTGCCCAGGCTGGTCCCAAATTCTTGGGCTCAAGCAAGAATTGTGATAATGTGTTATGGCAGCCTCAGAAAACTAATACAGCTTAGAAACAGAAATGTGTTTTCTGTGAAATTCCCCCAGATCTTGGCACCACATGAGTTCAATCAGATAATATTTGGGATTTCCCAGTGACTCCTTTCTCAACAAACACCTGATCAAGCGACTCCTTTCTCAACAAACACCTGACCACACGCCCCAGGCTCCAGCCATGAGGAACCACTCAGTGTGTCAGAACAGGAGACAGTGTGACATCTTTGTGATCCAGCTCTGAGAAAAGATCCAAGGTGTTTTTCAGGCTTCTGAACACCCTGGAAAGATAGTATGCTTACATTTTGTTTAAAAAATTTAAAATGCAACTACTATATGCCAGGTCCTGTGTGGGCACTTTACATATGTTGATTTACTTTAATCCCTACAGCAATCCTATTACTATTTTAAAGCTGAGAGAGGGGAAGTGACTTGCCTTGGGATACATAGCTCAAAGGTGGTAGAGCCAAGATTCCAAAGTGCCTGATTCCTATTGTGTCTGACTCTAAAACACTATGTTCTTTCTGCTATGTTCATCCAGGTGGTGGAAAAATTCAGTCTAGGAGTAAAAAAAGGAAGATCAACATCCTGCAGAATGACTCATGCTATTCATTATAGAAGCAATTGCTGGAGATGCTATCATTGTGGATCACGGAAGTCTTCATGGAAGAGGTGGCATTTGAGCTGGGCCTTCACTGCAAAAAAAAAAAAAAAAAATTTCCTGATTCTCTGTCAGGCACTGGGGATCCAGAGATGAATCAGACAAAGTCCTTTTGCTTGAAGAATTCACAGTATTTTGTGTGTGTGTGGGAAGGAGGGTGGCTGCTTACATGTGTTAAAAGACAATGTGGCCAGGCCTGGTGGCTCATGCCTGTAATCCCAACACTTTGGGAGCCCGAGACTGGAGGATCGCTTGAGCCTGGGAGTTTGAGACTAGTCTGGGAAATATGGCCAGAACCCCATCTTTACAAAAAAATTTTAAAATTAGCTGGGCCTGGTGGCATGTGCCTGTATTCCCAGCTACTTAGGAGGGTGAGGTGGGAGGATCACTTGAGCCCAGGAGGTCGAGGCTGCAATGAGCCGTGATTTTGCCACTGCACTCCAGCCCGGGCGAAAGAATGAGGCACTGTTAAAAAAAATTAATAGAATAATCCAGACCCACGGTAGGGTCAAAATTCCTAACTCAAGGTCCCAGAGAGGCTCAGAGAAGCCTTTTGGAAGAAGGGACTCCTGCCCCAGCTAAGACTGATGGATAAGTAGCAAAGGCTTTCTGGGGACACAGCACAAACAGCCCACCTGAAGCGGTGAATCGGCGTCCTGGGTGCCTGGCACACCTTGTAGCTCAGCTTACTAGCTAGTGGAGTGCGAAGGGGCGTGTACTTGTCGGTTGGAGCTGGTCATGAAAGAGCTCGTGGGACTGCCCGACGGTTCTCAGGTCCCAGTGCATCCTGCGTGGTGGCTCTCTGCTGAACCATAAAGCATTCCTTTTCAATCCCTGCACGCTCACGCCGGGAAAAGACTGCACAAGGGGCCTGCCAAGGCAGACAAGCGATCGCCACCCAGCTGGCTTCCGAGGGTCCCCGCCCTCCACCGGAGGCCTGTTACCACGGCAACCAGTGAGGGCGGAAGTGGCTCAGAAGACCGGTTCTCCCTAATCAGGTGACTCTCCCGCCTCCTGCACGTGACACCGGAGCCCAGAAGCGCGCTCTACCTAATCAAGACCCCACCCCTCTTTCCCTTTACTGACAATTGACAGCGACCTCTTGCAATGGCCCTTCCGCCTCCACCAGGAGACTCTGCCCGTTGGTAGTAAAAGAACCAATTAGACTGGGAAAAAAAGAAGCAACGCCCCAGGTTTCACCCCGGCTTGACAGACGCAATTGAGGCCATCCTTGAGTCCCTCCGCCCCCAAGTCCAGTAATGCCAGCGATGGACAGACCTTCTACCCAATAGCACGCCCCTTTTCTGCCGTTGGGTCCCGCCCCCTTGAGGGCTAAGCCAATGAGCGCTCCGGGTCTCAGCGGGGTGGAGGGGTTGCACTGCGGTAATATGGCTCTTCCTTAGCCAGCGGCGGCAACGGCGGCAGCGGCGGCAGCGGCGGCGGCTACTGTCTGGGCTGAGCAGTAGTGCCTCTCGGGTGGCGGGTTTCTAGGCTGCAGGGGCTTGGTAGGTGGTGGCAAGGGGGCGGCGGCGGATGCCGGAAGAGTGCCCGCCCCGCCGCTTGGCGGCCCCTGGATCGAGATGAGCGCCTCCGCGTCGGTCGGGGGCCCCGTCCCCCAGCCACCCCCGGGCCCGGCCGCTGCTCTGCCTCCCGGTTCTGCCGCGCGGGCCCTGCATGTGGAGCTGCCGTCTCAGCAGGTAAGCCCGCGCGGCTCGCAGCACTCGGGAGGGACCCGGGCAGGCCCGCGTGGAGAGCTTGCTGGCTCCGGGCTGACCCCGCGAGCCGGGACACCCAGAGCAGGGACCCGGAGGGCTCGCGGGACTGAGGAAGACTGTCAGGAGGTTTGTGCGGGGAGGGGTCCAGTGATGGCCGAACCTCCGGGAGATCCCGGAGTCCTAGGAGAATCCCGTTACAGGAGATGGGCTTGTTAAGGGACAAGCAGCCAGCCAGCTCAAGTCCCTGGGGCCCCGGCCCGAGGCCGCCTCCCCCAACGCAGGGAGCCGGGGATTGCCCCGCGCAGACCCTCTCCCTCGTTCCGCCCAGGAAGGGACCCGGGGAACCCCCTGTGTCCCACGGGCCATAGTGAAAGCACTTTTCCTTTCTTTCCCCACCTGGCCATCCCCGCTTACGGAGAAACCAGTTTGTACTCTTCGTGCAAGAGCCCTGGAGGAGACTTTAGGGTGTCTACCATTTGCTTTAATCTCCCCTGATTATTAAGTATTCGGCCTCTTTAGAGAAATGTATTCAAGACTTGGGGGTTTCCTTCCTAATTCTCCGAGTCCCAAGGAACGCATCTTAATAATTAGGAGGACTTTTTCCTTCTTCATTCCCTTCAGTGAGTCTCTGTGGAAGGAGGATTTGATGTATATATTCATGTGTTCCTCCATCCTTTAGGAAGGGCTTTGAGGACTTCTTGGCTCTGCGTTGTAGGAAGATAAGAAGGGGGAAACACTGACTTTGGAGATGTGACAAAACTCTTTGTTTCACTCACATATCTGTAGAGTACTTCCCTCCTTATATCGGTTGCCTTCCTTCTGTCCCCCAAGGGGAGATTTTGCAGGAATCTTAGCATTAAAGAGACCTAAAGAATACCTTTCACCCTCTCCCTTTATTCCTCCTGCCAAGAAGAGGATCTAGAGAAACTGTCATTTACTGAGAACTTACCGTGTTGGATTTGTGCAAAGGGCTCAGTGGCCATTAGTTCACTGAATTTTCACAACTCTGTGAGATAGCTGTTTTTATTACCCCCATTTGGCAGTTGAGGAAACTGAGGCTTGTCCAGAGCCTTCCAGTTAGTAAGTGGTGGGGCTGGGTTGCAGAATCCAGTGTCTGACTCTGCAGCCATGCACGTGCTTGAGACTTGGGCAGCCTTCCTCCACCACCTTTACACAGGACAGAGTGAGTTCTTTCATACACCCCTCCAACTTTCCATCAGCTACCAGTGGGACTTAGGAAGGATTCAGAAAGAGGAAGGGAGAGGTTGTAGGGGAGAGAGTGGTTGAAAAGTGAAATGGATTTGAGTGCAGTAAAGGAGGCGGGGGCTAAAGGGAAGAGAAGAGTTGGAGATAATAACCACTGTGGTTGCCTTTGAATAGGCAGGCAGAAGAGCTTACAGTAGCAACGGCTTTTTGTGTGACTACTACCGAAGAGGATTGAAAAGATACCATGTGCCCTGGTTTTGTGATGCTGTTGGCAGGGAATTTCTGAATAGTGGGAGTTTGAGGGTAGTGGGGGTTTGGATTGTGTTGTGAGATACAGGGAGAGGGTAGAAGTCTGGCTAGGGAGGGAGACACGTCTCTGGAGTGAGCATTAATGTGAGTTTTTGTATGTGTGGGAGGTAGAGTGTGAGAGTGGTTACTGGGAGAGGGAATAGGGAGCACCGTTAGAAACACCCTGGAGAAGTCCTAAGGAGTTCAGGGGCCAAGAAGGTTTTAGTTTGGGGGAGCTTCGAGAGTGTGTGGGATTAGGAAAGAGAAAGCATCATTTACTTCATGGAGCCTATTCTCTGATAACAGTTCACAGTTTAACACTGGGAAAACTAATGCAAACAAACTGTTGATGGAATAATTTCAGCCTCATTTGTTAGTGTTTGTGAAATTTTTGGATTGGTGCCGAGGGATATATAGTGGCTTAAGTGTACAGCTGAATGCTATATGAGTGCCGAGTATGCTATTTACATCTTTCTGGGGGTGTCAACCTTGAATTCTTGGAAGGCAGCCTATATAACAAAGCACTTTTACTTTTGCAGTTGACATCAATTTATCTTTTGGGGTCAAAATGCTCAGATTTTTAGTGTATAAATAATATCAATAAAATTTTGTTGAAGTTTTATCTGTATATAGTAAAGTACACAGATTATCAGTATTCAGTGGATGAATTGTCACCAAGGGAACAGTTATGTAAGTACTACCCAGATTAAGAGATACAAAATTTTGGCTGGGCGCAGTGGCTCACACCTGTAATCCTAGCACTTTTGGAGGCTGAGGTGGGGGGATCACTTGAGGCCAGAAGTTCAAGACCAGCCTGGCCAACATGCTGAAACCCTGTCTCTACTAAAAGTACAAAAAAAAGAAAAAAAAAAAAAAAGCCAGATGTGGTGGCGCACATTTGTAATCCCAGCTACTTGGGAGGCTGAGGCAAGAGAATTGCTTGAACCTGGGAGGCGCAGGTTGCAGTAAGCCGAGATTGCGCCACTGCACTCCAGCCTGGGTGACAGAGTGAGACTCTATCTAAAAACAAACAAACAAACAAACAAACAAAAAACCCCCCAAAAACCCCAAAATTATTAACATCCTGGAAGTCCTCCTATGTTCTCTTCCATCTCTGTTTTTCCTTTTTCTCTAAAGGAACCACTTTTCTGATTTCTAATGTAAAAGATCAGTTTTTGCCTGTTCTTGAGCTTTATATAAATGGAGTTGTGCAAAATGTATTTTTTTGTGTCTGGTTTCTTTTACTCAGTATTGTTTGTGAGAGTCATGGAGTATCTGTGTATGTCTAATGTTTTTTTTTTAAGTATTACTTTGTTGCCTTTTTTTGCTTTTACAAAATTTCAAATATTTAGATAAATTGGAATGTCAGTTGTTAACTTTCCTTTAAATAATACTTTCAAAACCATACATTTTAATACATCCCGTACTAGTTGGCAAGGTATCAATTTTTTTTTTTTTTTGAGATGGAGTCTAGCTCTGTTGCCCAGGCTGGAGTGCAGTGGCGCGATCTTGGCTTATTGCAACCTCTGCCTCCTGGGTTCAAGCGATTCTCCTGCCTCACCCTCCCAAATAGCTGGGATTACAAGCACCTGCCACCACGCCCAGCTAATTTTTGTATTTTTAGTAGAGACGGGGTTTCATTGTGTTGGCCAGGCTGGTCTGGAACCCCTGTCCTTGTGATCCTCCCACCTCGGCCTCCCAAAGTGCTAGAATTACAAGTGTGAGCCATTGCGCCCGGCTGGTATCAATATTTCTAAACAAATAAACAAGCCCGGTTGGTTTAGGATTTTTATGATCAAGTTATCTCAAAACATAGATTCAGTGGCTCCCAACCTTCTTCTAAGATGGGGTTTGTCAACCTTGGGACTGTTGACATTTTGGAGTGAAGATGGGCTGTTACATGTTTAGCCACATCCCAAGATATCAGCAGCACCTCCCCAGTCCTGACAATCAAAAATGAGTTCAGACATGGCCAAATGTTTCTTAGGGGGCAAAATTACCCCTAGTTGAGAACCACCTTACTAAGGTGTATTTTCATTTTAGGATAGAGAGTATCCTTGTTATTATTGACTCATTTATTTCAATCTTCATTAAGTCCTGTTGATTCTAGAAGTGGCTGTAATGTTTAAAAAGTTAACACTGCAAACACCTGAACTTTTCCATGTATGAGTACTAACTATAGTCCATATCAGCCCCTTGACTGTGTCAGATGGGACTACTACTTAATTTTGTCTCCTTTTGCTTCTATGTGATCTTACTTTACTGTAATTTGAGCAAGAACTAGTGACACATTTTTTTTACACTTTTTTTTTGTTTTGTTTTTGATTTTTGAGACAGTTTTACTCTGGTCACCCAGGCTGGAATGCAGTGGTGCAATCTCCTCTCACTGCAACCTGCCCCTCCCGGGTTCAAGCAATCCTCCCACCTCAGCCTTCCGCATAGCTGGGATCACAGGCTGTGCCACCATGCCCAGCTAATTTTTGTATTTTTGGTAGAGATGGGGTTTCACCATGTTGGCAGGCTGGTCTTGAACTCCTGGCCTCAGGTGATCCGCCTGCCTTGGCCTCCCAAAGTGCTGGGACTACAGGTGTGAACCACCGTGCCCGGCCCAAAAACAAACTATTTTTTAGAAAGTTTTATTTCTATTTTTGGCCGAGCACGGTGGCTCATGCCTCTAATACCAGCACTTTGGGAGGCCGAGGCAGGCTGATCACTTGAGGTCAGGAGTTTGAGATCAGCCTGGCCAACATGGTGAAACCCTGTCTCTACTAAAAATAGAAAAATTAGCCAGGTGTGGTGGCAGGTGCCTGTAATCCCAGCTATTTGGAGGCTGAGGCAGGAGAATTGCTTGAACCTGGGAGGCAGAGGTTGCAGTGAGCTGAGATGGCGCCATTGTACTCCAACCTGGGCGACAAGAGCGAAACTGTCTAAAAAAAATTATTTCGTTCTTTTATTTTTATTTTTTTTAGAGACAAGATCTTGCTCTGTTGCCCAGCCTGGAGTGCAGTTGGCTCACTGAGGCCTCAACCTCCTGGGATCAAGTGATTATCTTGCCTCAGCCTCCCTAGTATCTAGGACTACAGGCATGTGCCACCATACCAGTTAATTTTTTTAAGTTTTTCATAGAGATGGGGTCTTGCTGTGTTGCCCAGGCTAGTCTCAAACTCCTGGCCTCAAGATATCCTCCCGCCTTGACCTCCCAAAGTGTTGGGATTATAGGCATAAGCCACTACGCCCAGCCAGAAAATTTTATACTTATAGAAAAATTGAGAAGATAGTACAGAAAGTTCCCATATACTCTATACCTAGTTTCACTTATTCTTTTTTTTTTTTTTTGAGACGGAGTCTCACTCTGTCACCCAAGCTGGAGTGGAGTGGTGCGATCTCCGCTCACCGCAACCTCCGCCTTTCAGGTTCAAGCGATTCTCCTGCCTCAGCCTCCTGAGTAGCTGGGATTACAGGCATGCACCACTGTTCCTGGCTAATTTTTGTATTTTTGGTAGAGATGAGGTTTTGCCATGTTGGCCAGGCTGGTCTTGAACTCCTGAGCTCAGGTGATCCACCTGCCTTGGCCTCCCAAAGTGCTGGGATTACAGGCATGAGCCACCGCACCCGGCCTCACTTATTCTTAACATCTGCCTTGACATATGGTACATTTGTTAGAATTAATGAATCAATATTTATATATTATTGACTAAAAAAGTCCATAGTTCATTTAGATTTTCTTAGTTCTGAACAACTGTGGCCAGGCCTGGTGAGTCATGCCTGTAACCCCAGCACTTTGGGAGGGTGAGGCAGGAGGATTGCTTGAGGCAGGAGGATTGATGTCAAGGCTGCAGTGAGCCCTGATTGCACCACTGCACTCCAGCCTGGAAGACTGTGATTAAATGTGATTAACTATATGTACAACATAAAATTTGCTGTTTAAATAATTTTTAAGTATACAATATAGTGGCATTAAAAACATACTTAATGTTATACAACCATCATCACTGTATATTTCCAGAATGTTTACATCATCCCAAACAGAAAACAACTCCCCATTCTCGCCTCCTACCAGCCCCTGGTAAATTCTGTTCTACTTTCTGTCTCTATGAACTTCACTATTCTGGGTACCTCATATAAGTGGCATTATACAGTATTTGTCCTTTTATGTTTGGCTTATTTCACTTTGCAATGTTTTCAAGGTTCATCCATGTTGCAGGGTATGTTAGAATTTCATTCCTTTTTTAAGGCAGATGGTATTCCGTTGTATGTATATACTACATTTTGTTTATTCATTCATCTCTTGATGGGTCCTTTGTTTGTTTGCTAATTTGTTTTGAGACGGGGTCTCACTCTGTTGCCCAGGCTAAAGTGCAGTGGCATGATCATGGCTCACTGCAGCCTTGACTTCCTGGGGTCAAGTGATCCTCCCACCTCAGCACCCCCGCAAGTAGCTGAGACTACAATGGCATGTGCCTCCACGCCCAGCTAATTTGAAAATTTTTCGTAGAAATGAGTCTCACTCTGGTCTCAAACTCTTGGGCTCAAGAGATCCTCCTGCCTTGGCCAACCAAAGCAGTGTTGAGATTACAGCATGAGCCACCACACCCAGCCAACCCTTAGTTTTTACCTGATGTCCTTCTTCCGTGCCAGGATCCTGTCTGGATACCACATTGTATTTAGTTGTCCTGTCTCTTGCCTCCTCTTAGCTGTGGCAGTTCCTCAGACTTTCCTTGTTTTTGATGGCCTTGACAGTTTTGAGTATTGGTCAGGTGTTTTGTAGGATGCCACTCTTCTGGAATTAGTCTGATGTTTTTTCTTATGATTAGACTAGGGTGGTGGTGTTTTGGGAGCAAGACTTAAGAGGTAAAGTGCCATTTTCATATATTACGTACATATTATTAACATGATTTATCACTGTTTTTTTTTTTTTTTTTTTTGAGACAGAGTTTCGCTCTTGTTGCCCAGGCTGGAGTGCAATGGCACAATGTCAGCTCACTGCAACCTCTACCTCTCAGGTTCAAGCAATTCTTCTGCCTCAACCTCCTGAGTAGCTGGGATTACAGGCACCCGCCACCATGCCCAGCTAATTCTTCTATTTTCAGTAGGACGGGGTTTCACCATGTTGGCCAGGCTGGTCTTGAACTCCTGACCTCAGGTGATCCACCCACCTTGGCCTCCCAAAGTGCTGGTATTACAGGCATGAGCCACCATGCCTGGCTGATTTATCACTGTTGATTCTAACTTTTATCATCACCAGCTGTGGTAGCATATGATAGGAAAGGCAAACTAGCTGTTTTCTCCTATTACACTGTTATACTATCAGCATAACCCTTCTGACATTAGATGTGTGGGGCTTTTTCCCCACACACCAAGCGATCCTCCAGTGAACACCAATATGGTGTCCTATGATTCAATTCAATTCTGCCACAATCTCCTTAGAGTTAGTATCATATTCCACAAGTTAAAGGCTCAGACCCATAAAACTGTCCCCTACTTCACATGCCAGACGTAAGTCTGGGTCTCTGGAACTTCTTACCGACTGGCTATAAATTGGGGGTTCCTATGTTCCCCTCCTCAGGCTCAGTCATTTACTAGAGCAGCTCACGGAACTCAAGAAAGCACCTTGCTTGCACTTACTGTTTTTTTTTTTTTTTTAAATAAACAATATTACACAGGATACAGACGAGCAGCCAGATGGAAGATATCATAGGGAACAGTATGGGGGAAGTGGCCCAGAGCTTTCATGCCCTCTCATGGCAGCTCCACCCTCCACATGTTCAGCAACCCAGAAACTCTCCAAAACCTGTAGTTCTGTGATTTGTATGGAGGCTTCATCATGTAGGCATGATCAATTATTAAGTCAGTCTTCAGCCCCTCTCCCCTTCCTGGAGGATGGGGAGTGGGGCTGAAAGTTCCAAGCTTCTGATCATGGCCTGGTCTTTCTGGTGACCATTCTCCTTCTAGGAGCTCACCAAGAGTTGTCTCATTAGAACAAAGGATGTTCCTCACCTAGGAAACGCTGAGGGACTAGGCGTTGTGTCTGGAACTGGGGTCAAAGACCAAATATGAAAAGTAAAGATTCTCCTAGTACCCCTATGGCACCCAGGGAATGACAGAGGTTTTAAGAGCTCTGCACCAGGAACTGTGTACAAAGACCAAAGTATATATTTATTATTGTAAATTGAAGGGCCACAGGTAGTGTTTGTCAGGTTTCTCTGCTATAAGGTTACTCTTCCTCCCCTTCCCTCTATACTGTAGTCTTTGGAAGGAAGTCACTATGTGTAGTCCACACTTGAGTGAGATCTGTGCTCCCCCTTCTTGAGGGTAGAGTATCTACATAAATTATTTGGAATTTTTCTGTATGGGAGATTAAATCATGGCTCATTTCAGCCTCTAACTCCTGGACTCAAATTATGTGCCTCAGCCTCCCAAGTAGCTGGGACCACAGGTGCACACCACCATGCCTGGTTCATTTTTTAATTTTAATTTTTGTAGAGACAGAGTCTTGCTATATTGCCCAGGCTGGTCTCTACCTCCTGGCTTCGAGCAATCCTCCCGCCTTGGCCTCCCAAAGCATTGGTATTACAGGCATGAGCGACTGCACTGGGCCGGTAACTTAAAGTCACACAGAGTGTCAACAAAGGGACTACAATCTAGGTGTTTCCTGTTTGCCCTAGACACCCATTCTTTGCAGGGTTCTGGTGAAAAGTTTTAAGTACCTCAGAGTTTGGGACCATCAGGCTTTATATTTTATTTCCTACAGCACTTGTGCCTAACACTGTGCTGATGATTTAGTAGGAACTCATGTACAGTTTTTTTGTTTATGAGTCTTTCCCTTGAAGAACTTTACAGCCTAAAGAGAACAAGGAAAGATTGGATTCAGTGGTATTGAAACCCATGCAAAAAAACATGATAGAAGCAGAAAAGTAGATCTAAAGCTTGATTTTGCTGTATAGGATAAATATTTTCCCTTTCTGTGTTTATGTTTATTTGGATACCCTACTTTTGCTAATCTAATTTAATCATTTTTCTATTACTAAAAAAAAAATCAGCTTTATTGGCAAGGCCGTTCATCTTATCAGGAACATGTGCCTCACGCAATGCACTACCATGCCGTGTACATTCATTCCTTCTGCAAATATTTACTAAGCCCCTTGTAACTCGAAGAAAAAATGTAATATATAGTTGAGTATCTAAAAAGTAAAATGATGGCAATTTTTTGTGCTGGTTTGGCTCTTATAAATAAAATGATATGAGGAAGCCTCAGAAACTTAAGATATCAGCATCTTGAAATCATTATTTTTATGTGACAAAATGCTATTAGGAATTTATGTTTTTTGTTTGTTTCTCTTTTTCCTGTGAAAATGAGTTTTTTTTTTTTTGAAAGGAAAAGCTATGTTTATTTAGTGTTTACTTTAAAATGTCTCTACAGGATCACAATTCTTTGTGGTAGAAAATTCAGAAGTGAAACTGACTAGAAATAGAGCACAAGCAGAATTGAAACTAATAAGTTGGGCCTGAAGTGAAACGTATGGTAGAATGAAAAAAAATTAGATTTTCATAGTTTCCAAATGTGTATTTTTGATAAGCTGTGTATTTTTACCTGTCAGACATGTTACTGCTGGGGAGAAAAAGAAGTTTGTCATTTTTTTTTTTTTTTTTTTTTTGAGGCGGAGTCTCACTCTGTCGCCCAGGCTGGAGTGCAGTGGCACGATCTCGGCTCACTGCAAGCTCCGCCTCCCGGGTTCACGCCATTCTCCTGCCTCAGCCTCCCTAGTAGCTGGGACTACAGGCGCCTGCCACCACGCCCGGCTAATTTTTTGTATTTTTAGTAGAGATGGGGTTTCACCGTGTTAGCCAGGATGGTCTCGATCTCCTGACTTCATGATACGCCTGCCTCGGCCTCCCAATGTGCTGGGATTACAGGCGTGAGCCAGCGCGCCCGGCCAAGTTTGTCATTTTCAACGTACTGGAATGTGTACAGCTACAAACTGAAGGTGTTTTAGAAAAAGACATCTGTCTTATGAGAGAGGTTGAAACATTTTAGGTTTATGCTTTGTTTTAGGTTTAATGACATAAGTAATGTCTTTTTTTTTTTTTTGAGACAGCGTTACCCTGTTGTCGCCCAGAATGGAGTGCAATGGCACGATCTCAGCTCACTGCAACCTCTGCCTCCCAGGTTCAAGTAATTCTCCTGCCTCAGCCTCCCGAGTAGCCTCCCGAGTAGCTGGGGTGCCCACCACCCCACCTGGCTAATTTTTGTATTTTTAGTAGAGACGGGTTTCACCACATTGGCCAGACTGATCTCGAACTCCTGACCTCAGGTGATCCACCTGCCTCGACCTCCCAAAGTGCTGGGATTGCAGGCATGAGCCACTGTGCCTGGCCAGTAAAGTCTTATATTGTTAAATTTTTTCAATGCCTTGTACAGTATTTTAGCAGTTGCCTCCTTAGATTATAAAAGTAGACGAGTACACACAGAATGGAAACTTGACATTGGAATTTTACAATTCATAGTATACCTTCTTGATTTAGTATCACATAACCTTGTTTTCCATCTTATTTTAAGATGGAAACATGAATTTTGAATCATGGAATTTTGCAGATGCAAAACCTGAAGCCCTCTGAGGTGAAGCTATTTGCCTGGCCACAGACTTGTTCTAGCTATTTATTCTTGCCCTGGAGTATTTAGTAAAGAGTATTAGTTTAACAGATCTGTCTTGTGTCTTGTTCCTGCTTGTGGCAGAGAAATAAACAGAACCTGGGTCTTGTGAACAGTTCCACTGTTCTTGGCTGGGTGTGTTGAGAAGTTGTTTCTTTTTTTTTTTTGAGATGGAGTTTTGCTCTTGTCACCCAGGCTGGAGTACAGTGGTGTGATCTCGGCTCACTGCAACCTCCACCTCCTGGGTTCAAGCGATTCTCCTGTCTCAGCCTCCTTAGTAGTTGGGATTACAGGCGCCTGCCAGCACGCTCGGCTAATTTTTGTAATTTTAGTAGAGATGGGGTTTCATCACGTTGGCCAGGCTGGTCTCGAACTCCTGACCTTAGGTGATCCACCCACCTTGGCCTCCCAAAGTGCTGGGATTACAGGCGTGAGCCACTGTGCCTGGCCAAGAACTTGTTTCGTTTTCTTTCCTTTTTTTTTCTTTTAAGACGGAGTCTTGCTCTGTCGCTAGGCTGGAGTGCAGTGGCACGATCTTGGCTCACTGCAACCTCTGTCTCCTGGGTTCAAGTGATTCTCCTGCCTCAGCCTCCAGAGTAGCTGATATTACAGGTGCCCACCACCACACCCACCTAATTTTTTGTATCTTTAGTAGAGACGGGGTTTTACCATGTTGGCCAGGCTGGTCTCAAACTCCTGACCTCGTGATCCACCCGCCTCTGCCTCCTAAAGTGCTGGGATTACAGGCGTGAGCCTGGCCGAGAACTTGTTTCTTAAACTTCACTCGGTCCTTTGGCAACATTAGCCTCACAGCTTTGGGGATTTTAGGCTAGAACTGAAATGGAGGAGAGGCTGTATTTTAACGTTCTCTTTAAGGGCAGAGCACTCAGAGTCCACCCTCCCACGTCCCTTTTATGGTGTGAATTAGAGTGAAACTTTGGAATGTCCCTCTGGAGCTTAAATGATCAGTCTTCCTGTTTTGTCCCTGGGTACTTACCATGCCTATCTTTTTTTTTTTTTTTTTTTAAATGTTCTACTTAAGAACTTCTGTTCTCTGCCTCTTTAAGTTTCTGAAAGAGTAACCATCTGGTTTTTTGATGGTTTTATTCTGTGTAATATTTGGTGTTGATTGCTGTAGACCCTATGTGGTAGTAATGTTATTAGGCATTTTACTTATCCATTCTTTGTGAAAACTCCAGTATAGTGTGCTTATTGATTGAGAGGCTGAGACTGATAATGCTGAAGTTGAGCATCAGAACTTACCACTTTGGAGTCTCACTTTGTTGGTCCATTGAAATAGCTGGCGTTTTTTCCTACTGTGGTTTTTATAATGTCCAAAAGATGCAGTCAGACATTTTTGAAAATAATGAGGAACACCAGGAAGCTGAAACTAGCAGCAACCTTTGGCTTTTGTCAGTAGACTCCTGGGAAAGAAAAAAGGGAAGACATAAAAGTAAAAGTGAGAATCAGACTTAATAGATCATAAAAGTAAACATGAGAATCAGGCTTATGATCTGTTTTTTTTTTTTCTCCAGGAAAAATTTTATACTCTTTAACATGAGTGTAGCTTTTGTGATTAAGGGTTTAACAGTGAATACAAGTAATTCGTGTGTTCATATTAGCGTATGTTAAAACTAATTCTGGGCGGGGCGCGGTGGCTCATACCTGTAATCCCAGCACTGGGAGGCTGAGGCAGGTGGATCACCTGAGGTTAGGAGTTCGAGACTAGCCTGCCCAACATGGCGAAACCCCATCTCTACTAAAAATACAAAAAATTAGCTGGGCGTGGTGGCGGGCACCTGTAATCCCAGCTACTCAGGAGGCTGAGGCGGGAGAATTGCTTGAACCCAGGAGGCGGAGGTTGCAGTGAGCCGAGATCACGCCACTGCACTCCAGCCTGGGCGACAAGAGCAAAACTCCGTCTCAAAAACAAACAAACAAACAAACAAAAAACTAATTCTGAGTGCAGGATAGGAAAAACTGAGAGCCATTTATTCAATAGATACTTTTAAAGTGCCTTGTTTGAATTGTTAGGCACAGGATTCGGAACTGTATGTCTTGTGTCTGCCAGCCTACTTACATCTTTCAGGGGATATGAACTATTTCCTTCCTTAATTCCAATCATTCTTTTGTATGAGAGCTAATCCAGAAAACTAAACTTTTAAACAATACAAAATAAAAATAATCTTGCTTAGGATTTTGAAAAACCTTTTTTTTTTTAACGTTGTCTCCTTTTAATGAAAATAAGACTGTCCTCAAGAAAATCAGTATTGCTTTCATCCACTAAGATGTTAATATCTAAGTATACATGAGAAGTAGCAACATGAAGAAAGCTTTCTGGTTTTTTATTCTGAAAATAGATTATGAAGCAAGGTTGGCAGGTAGGCTGTGGGGTGCTCATTACAGGTCTAGGATAATTTACAGGACTATACTCATTACAGGATAGAATTGGTACCATTATAGAATTATATATGTATAGTAGATATTTCAGACTTGTTTTCATGAATTGACTTATTGGAGTTTATTCTACATGGAGTGTGTTTAATATAAATATAAAAATAAAGAGTAGCTGCCCAGGTGCTCTGGAGTGATTGGTTGACTGGTGATAGTCATACACTTCTATCAAAAACGTCAGTATAAATTGGGTGCCGTGCTATGCACCTGTAATCCTAGCCTACCTGGGAGGCTGAGGTGGGAGGATTGCTTGAGGCCAGGAGTTTGATTCCAGCCTAGGCAATATAGTGAGACCCCCATCTCTAAAAAAAAAAAAAAAAAAGACACCAGTCTGATGATGATGATAATGATTAATTAATTTTCGGAGACAAGGTTGCCCAGGTTGGAATGCAGTGGCGCAATCATGGTTCACCTGCAATCTTGACCTCCCTGGGCTTAGGTGATCCTCCTGCCTTAGCCTCCTGAGTAGCTGAGACTACAGGCACGCACCACCATGCCTGGCTAATTTATATGAATATAAATAAATATATAAATATATACACATATACATGTGTGTGTATATATATATATGTGTATATATATGTGTGTGTGTATATATATATATATACACACACATATATATATATATATATATACACACATATATATATATATATATATATATATTTTTTTTTTTTTGTAGAGACAGGGTTTTGCTGCTGGGACTACAGGTGCGCATGGTGCGCGCCACCATGTCTGACTAATTTTTGTAGTTTTTTTTGGTAGAGATAGGGTTTTGCCATGTTGCCCAGGCTGGTCTCAAACTCCTGAGCTCAAGCAATCCGCCCACCTTGGCCTCCCAAAGTGTTGGGGTTACAGGTGTGAGCCACTATGCCCAGCCAGTCTGGTTATTAGATGAGGACACTGTAGAGTTGCAGAATTTCTTTTTGGTTTCTTTTTTTGAGACACTGGGTCTCATTATATTGCCCAACGTCAGGCTGAAGCATAGCGGCTATTCACAGGTAATGCACTACAACCTCGAACTCCTGGGTTCAAATGGATCCTTCTGCCTTAGCCTCTGGAGTAGCTGGGACTATAGATGTGTGCGACTGTACCCAGCTAAATTGCAGAATTTCTTAACTGCAAATTAGTGCATTTTTTAATATTATACAACTACCCAAAAACTACTAAAAAATTAGAAAGCTGCTTCTCATGTATACCCAGACATTAACATTTTAGCAAATGAAAGCAATACCACTTGTCTCAGTGACATTCTTCTCTTCATTAAGGTATCCTGTAAAGATCAGTGTAATTGAAAGACTTTCTTAACTATGACCCATTTTGTTTGGCTTCTTAAAGTTCATTTGAGTAATTCCTCACTTACTTAAAGTTGCACAAATGTGAATGCTTGTAAATGCCAGAGACTGTTTAGGTGCTGGAAGTAAAACAGCAAGCAAGACAGAGACACTGCCTTCATGGACCTAACCTTCTGGTGCATGAGAGACAAGGTGGTTAGCAAGCTTTTCTGTGAAGGACCAGATAGTGAACATGTTTCTGTCTCAGCGGGCCTTCTAGGGTCTTAGTAGCAAGTACTCAACTGGTTGCTGTAGTGCAGAAACAGCCCTATACTATATGTAAACAACTGAGTGTGGTTGTATTCCAGTAAAAGTTTAAGGATACTGAAATTATTAATTTTCATGCCATGAAATATTTGTCTTCTTTTTCTTTTTACTTTTTTGAGACGAAGTCTCACTCTGTTGCCCAGTCTGGAGTGCAGTGGCACAATCTCGGCTCACTGCAGCCTCCACCTGCTGGGTTTAAGCAATTCTCGTGCCTCGGCCTCCCACGTAGCTGGGACTACAGGTGCGTGCCACCATGCCTGGCTAAGTTTTGTATTTTTATTAGAGATGGGGTTTTGACATGTTTGCCAGGTTGGTCTCCAGCTCCTAACCTCAAGTGATCTGCCTGCCTCGTCTTCCCAAAGTGCTGGGATTACAGATGTGAGCCACTGTGCCTGGCCAATTAATTGGTATTAAATTCCTTCTGGGTATCAGATACTGCATTATACTCTAGTGTACTTCTTTCTCCAACTTCTGTTATTCTTGGAATGCCAGAATATCTTTGAATATGGTTTTGAGGCTTCTTACAGCAAGTAAGTATTCTTTTTTTTTTGAGACAGTCTCGCTTTCGGCCAGGCTGGAGTGCAGTGGCGTGATCTTGGCTCACTGCAACCTCTGCCTCTCGGGTTCAAGCGATTCTCCTGCCTCAGCCTGCCGAGTAGCTGGGACTACAGGCGCATGCCACCATGCCCGGCTAACTTTTTTTGTATTTTTAGTAGAGACTGGGTTTTACCATGTTAGCCAGGATGGTGTCCATCTCCTGACCTTGTGATCCACCCGCCTCCGCCTCCCAAAGTGTTGGGATTACAGGTGTGAGCCACTGCGCCCGGCCGTAAGTATTCTTTAATATGGTGTCATAAGAAGACTTGTTATAAGGCTGGTCCTGGGTATAACTAAGGTAACTTTGGAAAAAGTGCTTTGTTCTAGTCCTCAGGTTCTTAAGCTTTACAGTGAGAAGACTAGGTTATCTGTAGCTCTGTGCACATTTTTAACCTCTGTGTGCCTCCATTTCCTCAATTGCCAAATGCTTTTGTCTCGAATACTTTCATTCTACAAATACTGTGTTCAGCTCTGTTCTACAACATTATTAATTCAACAGTTAATTTTTGAGTTTCTACCATGTATCCCACAGTGGTTAAGAATATGGACACTAGAGCCTGACTGCTTGTGTTCAAATCCTGGTCCAGCTATTTTCTACGTGCCTAAACTAAGTTAGGCAACCTAGAAGTTATTTAATCTCTGTGTGCCTCAGGGAGACTCAGGTAAAATGGGCATAATAATAGCCTACCTTGTAGGGTTGTTGAGAGGATTAAGTGTGTCATAAATTTCCCTAAAAAGGTGCTTGGTTTATAGTAAGTGTTCAAAAAATGTTAGCTGTTGCTACTGTCATTGCTATTCCCATTTGTCAGGCACTGAAGATACAGGATAAGCGTGTCCTTGCCCTGGAGGGACTCATAATCTAGTGGGTGGCCGGGAACGGTGGCTCACACCTGTAATCCCAGCACTTTGGGAGGCTGAGGCGGGCAGATCACGAGGTCAAGAGAGTGAGACCATCCTGGTCAACATGGTGAAACCCAGTCTCTACTAAAAATACAAAAAATTAGCCGGGTGTGGTGGCAGGCGCCTGTAATCCCAGCTACTTGGGAGGCCGAGGCAGGAGAATCACTTGAACCCGGGAGGCGGAGATTGCAGTTAGCCAAGATCGCACCATTGCACTACAGTCTGGGCAAAAAGAGTGAAACTCCTTCTCAAAAAACAAACAAACAAAAAAAAAAAACAAAACTAGTGGGTAAGACAAATATGTCACTAGGCCATTTTAGTGTAATATAAGAGATGATTCGAAAAAAGTACTGAGATGGGAAAGATGGGAAATGCATGCTAGCAGAGGGACCAGCTTGAGCAAAATGGTAAGAAGGTGTAAAAAGGAATGGCAGATAATTGAGGCCAGAGTTTAAGGAGCTTAGAGGAGGACGGTGGAAACAAGGAGCTGGAGAGTACAAATGCCTTTTGATTTATGATGGGGTTATGTCCTGATGAACCCACTGTAAATTGAAAATATCGCTAAGTCAAAAGTGCATTTAATACACCTAACCTCTCGAACACCGTAGCTTAGCCTAGCCTGTGTTCTCAGACACTTTCCATTAGCCTATAGTTGGGCAAAATCGTCTGACACAAAGCTGATTTTTAAAAAAGCATTGAATATCTCATGTAATTTACTCATGTAATTTATTGAATGCTGACCTGAAGGTGAAAAACAGGATGGCTGTATGGGCACTCCATGTACGATTTCTACTGAATGCATATTACTTTCACACCATCATAAAGTAAAAACATCATTAAGTCAAACCGTCCTAAGTCAGGGACTGTCTGTACCTAGGACAGTCTGTGCTGTTCCACTTACAACACTTCTGACAACAAATATGTTGGGTTTTCCCCCCAACATCAACCAATTCTTTTACACCAGCTGGGTATCCTTGTGTTCAGTTCAATTCTGATGCTATTTACCCGGAGTTATGACCTACAAGTTAAGGGCCCAGTCCCACAAGGCTGCTCCCACAGACGTCAGTCCCAAGTCCCGGTCGCAGGCCTCCTGTACTTCTCAGCTATCAGCTATAAACTGAAGGTTACCATGACCTTCTCCTTGTGTTCAGTAATTTGTTAGAATGGCTCACAGAACTCAAGAAAACATTTTATGTATTATTATAGGTTTAGGATAAAGGATACAACCTGGGAACAGCCAATGGAAGAGATAAATAGGGCAAGGTATGGGGGAAGGGACGTGGAGCTTCCATGCCCTCTCTGGGTGTGCCAGCCTCCTAGCACTTCAATGTATCCACCATTTCAGAAGCTCTCCAAGCTCTGTTTAGGGTTTCAGGGAGGTTCTATTAGGTAGCCATGATTGATTATATCATTGGCTGTTGGTGATTAACACAATCTCCAGCCTGTCTCCCCTCCCTGGAGGTCAGGGGGTAGAGCTAAAAGTTTTAACCCTCTAATCATGCCTCAGTGTTTCTGCCCTGAAGCTCTCTGAGGGACTCCCAGCCACCAGTTATCTCATTAGCATGCAAAAGACACTTATCACTCCAGAGATTCCAAGGGTCTTAGAAACTCTTGTGTCAGGAACTGGAAACTACCAATTATTACATTATAACAAAAGATGCTTCTGTCCCCCTATACCAAGGGTTTTAGGAGCTGTGTGCTAGAAACCAGGGCTGAAGACATACATTTCTTATCATACCAGTGTCACAGAGAAGTTGTACTAATAGTTTGGAGTTAGATTGTAAAGGGTCACGTATGCCGTGATTTGGAATTTGGAATTTGGACATTATCCTGTAGGTAGAGAGAACAGTCTTTATTTTATTTATTTTTATTTTTATTTGGAAAGAATTTCAAGCTTATGGAAAAATGGCACCTTTTATTTTATAAATTTCTGTTTTTCAGAACACCTGTATACCTGTTACTTAGATTTGTCTGTTAACATTTTGTGTTCAAATCCTGGTCCAGCCATTTCCTATGTGCCTAAACTAAGTTAGGCAATCTGGAAGTTATTTATCTCTGTATGCTTCAGGGAGACTCAGGTAAAATGGGCATAATAATAGCCCATTTTGCTACATTTGCAAGCTTGCTCTCTTTCTCTCTTTCTGAATATGTGTAGATAAGGATATATAATTTTATGTGAATCATTTAAAGTTGTTACATACATCATGACCCTTTACCCTTAAATACTTGAGTATGTATTTCCCGGAATAGGGATATTCTATTTCATATCCATAGCATAGTTATCTGCCGAGACCAGCTCGGTCAGGGAGACCCTAACCCAGCGGCGCTAGAGGAATTAAAGACACACACATAGAGAAATATAGAGGTGTGGAGCTGGAAATCAGGGGTCTCACAGCCTTCAGAGCTGGGAGCCTCGGAACAGAGATTTACCCACGTATTTATTAACAGCAAGCCAGTGATAAGCATTGTTTCTATAGATTATAGATTAACTAAAAGTATTCCTTACGGGAAACAAAGGGATGGGCCAAAATAAAGGGATGGATTGGGCTAGTTATCTGCAGCAGGAGCATGTCCTTAAGGCACAGATCGCTCATGTTATTGTTTGTGGTTTAAGAACGTCTTTAAGTGGTTTTCCACCCTGGGTGGGCCAGGTGTTCCTTGCCTTCATTCCAGTAAACCTACAACCTTCCAGCATGGGCATCATGGCCATCACGAACATGTCACTAGTGCTGCAGAGATTTTGTTTATGGCCAGTTTTGGGGCCAGTTAATGGCCAGATTTTGGGGGGCCTGTTCCCAACAGTTATCAACATCAGTAAATTTAACATCGATACTTTAATCTAAGGTTCATCAGTTGATTCTATAATGTCCTTTATAGAAATTTTCCTCCTCCAGTTCAGGATATAGTCTAGGGTAGGTATTACATTTAGCCGTTGTGTCTCTAATGTAGAACATTTCCAAAGCTTTTCTTTGTCTTATTTTTAAATGTCACTAGCATAATACAGACCCTGCTCCCTTAAAAAAAAAATAGGACATTCCTCATTTTCTGTTTATCTGATGTTTCCTCATGATTAGATTCAGATTACACATTTTCAGTTGGAATATTGCATGGGTGGTAATATGTCCTTCATAAGGTATCACTTCTGGATGTTCATTTGTCCCTCATTGGTAATGTTAATTTTGGTCACCCGGTCAAGGTGTCGTCTGATTTTTCAACTCTAATTCTTTGTGTGTGTGTACATGCATGCCCTTGCAACTAATAGTCTA
Organism: Homo sapiens; assembly: GCF_000001405.40. NCBI lineage: Eukaryota > Metazoa > Chordata > Mammalia > Primates > Hominidae > Homo > Homo sapiens. The sequence goes on from NC_000011.10 coordinate 75,834,505, forward strand.
TAGGGAAACACTTTAAGACCATGCATGGGGCCGGGCGCAGTGGCTCACACCTGCAATCCCAGCACTTTGGTAGGCCGAGGCGGGTGGATCATGAGGTCAGGAGATCGAGACTGTCCTGGCTAACATGGTGAAACCCTGTCTGTACTAAAAATACAAAAAATTAGCCGGGTGTGGTGGCACGTGCCTGTAGTCCTGGTTACTTGAGAGGCTGAGGCAGGAGAATTGCTTGAACCTGGGAGGTGGAGGTTGTGGTGAGCCGGGATTGTGCCACTGCATTCCAGCTTGGGCAACAGAGTGAGACTCTGTCTCAAAAAAAACAAAAAACAAACCAACAAAAAAACCAAAAATACTTTTTGTAGCAAAGGGTCTCACTATGTTGCCCAGCCTGGTCTGGAACTCCTGGCCTCAAGATATCTTCCCTCCTCAGCCTCTTAAATTGCTGGGATTATGTGAGCCACCATGCCCGACCTCATTTGTGTTTAATAGGGAAAAAAAGAATATGTAATTATTGGAGAGCCATAAACTATAACTGATAACACTGGTTGCCCCAGGGGAAAGGAAATGGGTATTTGGGGCACACAGTAGTACGGAGACTGTTCACTATATCCTCTTATATACTGTGCCTTTTGAATTGTGAATCATATGAATTTTTGTGTGTATCATGTGTATTTTTAAAAATAACATTAAGGATACTTTTTACTTCTTATTTTTTAAGACTAGTCAAGTGTAGTAGTGAGAAGCGGGAAAGAGTTGAGCAAATTTGATCTGTAACTGACTGTGAACACTAAATTGAGAAAACTCATTACCTTTGGATCAGCTTAAGTTTATATTTCAAAAAAAACAGAGATGGCAACCAACCTTTAAACACAGGTATGCAGATGACAATTTCCCGAAGCAATGTGACACAGTGGGAAGAACTCAAGTTAGAGCTTCAGCTCAACTCTAGGTGGTTCTACCACTCATTAGTGAGCAAGCCACTTACTGTTTCTGAGCCTGTTTCCCCTTCCATAAAATGGAGATATTTCCACCTGCCTACTTCTGTGGGTTACTGCAATGATCAAATGAAATAATGGATATAGAAGCTCTCTAAAAAAGTGTAAAGTACTTTATAATATATATTTAAATATAAAGTATTACAAAAATAGAGATGTCAAGAGAGGAATGTGGTTATCAGTGAAAGATGATGAATTTAGGCCATTCTTATTTGAAGTAAAGAGACACAGATTTAGAATTCATCTCTCTAAATAGAGGTAATTATAAGTCACAAAAGTATAACAGATCTCTGAAGGATAAACATTCAACAAATAGGCCGGGCATGGTGGCTCACGCCTGTAATCCCAGCACTTTGGGAGGCGGTGGTGGGCAGATCACAAGGTCAGGAGATGGAGACCATCCTGGCCAACATGGTGAAACCCTGTCTCTACTTAAAAAAAATATATACAAAAAATTAACTGGGCGTGGTGGTGTGCGCCTGTAGTCCCAGCTACTTGGGAGGCTGAGGCAGGAGAATCGCTTGAACCCGGGAGGCGGAGGTTGCAGTGAGCCTAGATCATGCCACTGCACTCCAGCCTGGAGACAGTGAGACTCTGTCTTAAAAAAAAAAACAAAAAAACCCACCTTCAACAAATAGAAGTATAATACTGCAGAACCAGAAAGGACCTTGAAGGTCATCTAAGCCTTTGCTACTCTGCATCACTTGTAGTGAAAATGCTGAGAATCTCAGGTCCCACCATAGACCTAGTCAATCAGAATTGTACTTCAACAAGATTCCCTAGGTAATTCATATAGACATTTTAAGTTTAAGAAGCACTGATCTAGGCCATCTTCCTTATTTTTCAGATAATAAAACTGAGGCCCTAAGTAAAGGGATTTACCCATGTTCACATTGTTAATAAGTAGCAAAATCAAGATTTGGACACAGGCTTGATCTCCTGGGCTGGGTACACCATGTATTCGCTTCCCAGACACCCTGTTTCAAAACCTTTGAGACATCTTTGCATTTCAAACTTCCCATGTTCTCACCCCCATTTCTTATTGGCCATCTAGATCCATCAATTCTTTCTTCACAATTTCTTTGGCATACGCTGCTTCTTTTCCACCCACTTCATTCACTGCCCTAAAGCTACTGTTCATACCACGAAAAAGCAGCTTCCCTCTCCTGTGCATGTATCAACTTCCTCTTCTGCAAACAAGAGTGCACTTTCAAATAGTAAGCTCTATATAATTCCTTAAGAAGGTGCAAGTCATTAAAAAGCATTAAACTTTAACATGCTAACTTCAGGCAGAATTTGTATTTGAAACCCACCAAGATTAGCAGCTATAACTGTAATTCTAACTCAAAATCTTCATGTCTTCACTTCCATTATTTCTTTCCTATTACCTCCTTTTCTTTGCCCTAGAACTAGCTTTTATGTAACAAGGCCCTCCCATTCTAATCAAGCTTTTCTAAAATATAGTTCATCATCCCTCAGTATCCTCAGGTGATTCACTCCAGGAACAGCCACCACCCTAATCCCCCACCACCACAGATAAAAAAATCTGCTGGCCAGGAGCGGTGGCTCACGCCTGTAATCCCAGCACTTTGGGAGGCCAAGGTGGGTGGATCCTGAGGTCAGGAGATCAAGACCATCCTGGCTAACAGGGTGAAACCCCATCCACTAAAAATACAAAAAATTAGCCGAGCGTGGTGGCAGGCACCTGTAGTCCCAGCTACTCAGGAGGCTGAGGCAGGAGAATCGTGTGACCTCGGGAGTCAGAGCTTGCAGTGAGCTGAGATCACGCCACTGCACTCCGGCCTGGGCGACAGAGTGAGACTCTGTCTCAAAAAAAAAAAAAAAAAAAAAAGTCTGCAGATGCTCAAGTCCCTGATATAAAATGGCATAGTATGCATATAACCCATGCAACATCTTCCTGTAGACTTTAAATCATCTCTAGATTACTTATAATATCTAATGCAAGGTAAATGCTATGTAAATAGTTGTTACGCTGTATTGAGTTTTTTTGTACTTTTTAAAAATTGTTTTGTTTTGGTTTGTTTTTTTCAGGCTAGTCAAGTGAGGAACTGGGAGTGGAGAAGGAACAAAGAAATCTCTAACTGGTTCTGATCAACTAGTTGTGAACACAACTGCATTTGGACTAGCCTATTGAGATTTTTTTTTTCTGAATATTTTCTATCTGTAATTGGTTGAATCCAGAATCCTCAGATGCAGAGGGCCTGCTGTAGATTCAAAGTATCATCTTCTGAATTTATAGCTCTTACCATCTACATTCTCATGCCTTTATAATTCTCTCCTATATATTCCATTCTAAGAAACCAAATTATTTCAGCATTTCTTGAATACCTATTAAAAAGTTTTAAAAAATTAGGCAGGCATGGTGGCATTGGCCTGGAGTCCTAGTTACTTTGGAGGCTGAAGCAGGAGGGTTGCTTGAGCCTGAGAGTTTGAGGCTGCAGTGGGCTGTGATTGTGCCACCACTCGCCAGCCTGGGTGATAGAGTGAGACCTTGTCTCTACATACCACCACCGCTGCAATCCAAGAAAAGCCACAAATGCTAAACACACTGACTGTATAAACTGTACTTAAAAAAAAACCCTACAAACTAATAGTAGATCTTGGAAATTATTCCATATCAGTGATCAAAGAGCTGCCATGTTATGTATTCTTTATGGTCACATAGCATTTCACTGTAGGATATATCATAATTTAGTCCCCTATTGATGTACATTTCAGTTATTTCTAGTTCTTTTTGCTAATAAGCAACACTCTATTACTTACATCATATTGCTGAATCAAAGAATATGTGCATTTGTAATTTTTTTAAATTTTAGGGTTTTTTTTGTTTTTGTTTTTGAGACAGAATCTTACCCTGCTGCCCAGGCTGGAGTGCAGTGGCTTGATCATGGCTCACTGAAGCCTCAACCTCCTGGGCTCAATCGATCCTCCCACCTCAGCCTCCCAAGTAGGTGGGTCTACAGGCATGCACCACCACACCCAGCTAATTTCTAAGTTTTTCATAGAGACTCTCTCTCTATATATAGAGTCTTCCTATGTTGCCCAGGCTGGTCTTGAACTCCTGGGCTCAAGTGATCCTCCCACATTGGCCTCCCAAAGTGCTGGGATTACAGGTATGGGCCACCGTACCCAGCCTGCATTTGTAATTTTGATAGATGTTGTCAGATTGCCATCTGTTATGGATGTCTGTTTGAATATCTGTTGGAATATTTGTCCTCTCCAAAACTCATGTTGAAATTTAGTCCCCAGTATGGCAGTATTGAGAGGTAGGGTCTTTAAGAGGTGATACCATGATACCATACCTCTGCCCTGATGAGTGGATTAATCCATTTATGTATTAACGGGTTAATGGGTTAGTGGGTTAAGGGGTTATCATGGGGGAAGAACTGGTGGCTTTATAAGAACAGAGGCCTGAGCTAGCACCTTAGTGCTCAGCTCCCTTGCCATGCGATACCCTGCAAGTCCTCACCAGCAAAAAGGCTCTCACCAGAGGCTGCCCCTCGGCCTGTGTTATCAGATTTTTTGGTCTGTGCCAATTTTAGTGTAGTTTTAACTTGCATTTCTCTTATGAGTGAGATTGAGAATCTTTTCATGTTTAAGAGCTATTTGTGTTTATTTTTCTGTGAATTATCTGTTAATGTTCTTTGCCATTTTTTTCTGTTGGGTTGTTGGACTTTTGATTTCTAGGAATTCTTTATGTTTTAGTGAAATTGTCTTTTTTATATTAATTAAAATTTTTTCTTAGGTTTTTTCCTTTGACTCTGCATAAGGTAGTTTTTGCCATGCCTAATTTTAAAGTGTTTTATGTAGTAATTTTTTTCTTTTATAGCTTCTGAATATCATTTTTAGACCTTTGTGTTTATAAAATAATTGTTCATGGTTTCTTTGGGTACTTTCTGCTTTATGTACATTAAATATTTTTAAGCCTTCTGGAATTTAATGTAAGGCATAGGATGTGTGTGTGTGTGTATTTTTGATGGCTACCCTATTGCCCTAACACCTTTATTGATTAGTTCTCTTTTCCCTAGAGGTTATCTTTGACTTGTTTGTCTCTTTTTTCAATTTTCTCTTCATCCCTAACCACATCCATTATCTAATTAGTTATCCCAGTAAGCTCAGTTTTTCTTTAGGCTCCTATATGTTCTTATATTTTCTTTCTGTTCCTATTGATAATACTTTAAACCATTTTTATTGTGGAAATTTCAATGTCTATTGAAATGTATATTTTATATATGAATATATTCATCAGTATATCAATGTATATTGAAATGCAAGTAGTGTATGTGTGTGTGTTTTTGTGTGTGTGTGTATATATATATATACACACCCCCACACATATATATATAGAGAGAGAGAGAGAGAGAAAGAGATTGAGAGAGGAATATAATGAACTCCCAGGTACCTGTTACCCCACTTCAATAACTATTAACTCATGTTGGATCTTGTTTGATCTATATGCCTACCTCCTTGTCCTCCTTTCCTCCCTCCAATTATTTTGAAGCAAATCACAGGCATGCTATTACTCAACATCTGGACCTCTGTCAGCTATTTTCTGTCTTCAATTTTTATCTTCTGTAGGTCATCCTGGGTAACTGTGTGTTTCTTCATTGGTCTTATATTTCTTTTTTTTTAAATTTTGATCTTATGTTTCTAAATGCTGAAATTTACCTGAAAATTTACCAGAAATTTGCCCTTTTCATGTGTACAAACTCTAGTTCTTTAGTAAGATCATATACTCTGAAATTAGGTAGTAATTCCTAATAATAGTCTGTAAAGGCAATACTAAGCTAGAATAGAAGAAAGAAGGAAATGAGGGGTGGGGGAAAGAGACACTTACAGAGGGCGGTAGCGGATCTACCTGTTTCTTAGAGTAACACTACCTGGCAGAAGAATGGGGCGGGGGAAGGCAAGTTTTGGGGCCTTTCACCAAGTTTGGGGGTAAATAGGGTAGAAATAAGAAACCCACAGCCAAAATGTATAAGAAATGTAGAAAGTTCAGAGTCGCAGTTTGTTTTTTCCTGTTGAGAAGCCTGTTTTATAATTTAGTGCTTAGTAAATGACTGCATTAAATTCAGACTGATTTGAACTTGGTGGGAGAGCAGAGTTAATTTCAGAATAAAGGCTTTAGTTCCAAGGTTGTGTAATTTGTGCCAGAGAAAGCTCTCAATTAGCGACCAGAACTATGAAGTGTTTCATGAGAGATTAGGGTTGTTGGGTTGTTTGTTTAAATCTGTAACTTGGTTGGCACCATTTGCTTATAGCCAGTAGCCCCAGGCACTAGTTTTAAAGCATTCTTGTGTTCTTTCAAAATTTTCATAGTGAGGCTTTCAGGTTGGATCAAAGGATTAGGAAAATATAGGTGATTGAGAGTGCTATAATATAGAGAGCTCCTTTCTGTTTTTTGTTTTTTTGTTTTTAAACTGACTTGAATTTATCAAGCTTAAATTCTTAGTTCAGTAGTTGAGTATCTTTACCTTCTGTGGAAATGTGGAAAACCAGTTTCCCACAGGTTTATATTTGTTACCTCTCAAAAAGTTATAACAAAGTAACAGTAATATAAATTTGCCCGAAATAATCTGGGCCTTAATTCTTGCCTGCCATTGAGCCTGGTCTCAGGCTGAGAGGAAATGTCTGACCTGAGAAAGAAATGGAACCAGGAGTTGAGAGTGGGAATGAAATAAGGTGTACAGGACAAGCTTGACTACATTTCCAAAGGCAAATACTATTTTAAGAAATTATCTCATAATATCTGTGTTTATCTAAATCAGGGGTCAGCAAACTGTGACTAACTGGCTGGTTTTTGTAACAACCAATAAGCTAAGAATGGTTATTATATTGTTAAAAGATTGTTAACTAAAAAAGAAGAGTATGTAGACAGACAGGGTGTGCACTGAAAAGCGTAAAAGATTTACTCCCTGATCTACATTATTCAAGGTATATAGTAATATTTCTTTACGTAAACATTAAACATTTCTTGCTCTTTTGTTTGTTTTATATCATCATTTTCAATGACCTTTAAAAAAAAACTGGTAATATGGTTTTCCATTGCATTTTTACATTGTACCACAATGTAAGAGTGTTACTCAGTTTTTGCTTTTATAGCAATACTGGAATAAACATATTTGAACACAATTTTATGACTTGTGAAATGCTTGGTAAAATTTTATATGAACTTTAAAATTTGATAATTTTTTGCTAAATTGCCCTTGCTCCAAAGCAGACCAGTTTTATGTTTTCCCCACTTTGTTGTCCTTACCCGTGTCAACCCCAGTAGAGACTAAAATGGTTAGACTCTTTAATCAGATAGGTCCCTTTAATTATCTATTACTCCATAACAAACAAAACCTGAGTGGCTTAAAATAACATCATCATCATTAATTTTGCTCAGAAATCTGCAGTTTGGTCTGAGCTTGGTGGGAACAACTTGTCTCTGCTTATTATCTTGATGTCATTTCTGGAGGCTCCGAGCCTCAGGACATGGTCACTTACATGTCTGGCTGCCTGCTGGAATCTCAGCTGGGGCTGTGGAGAACACCTATGAAGCCCATGTGACTGGTTGGCTTCCTCACAGTATAGTCACTGGGTTCCAAGGAAGAATATCCCAAAAGGACCAGGTGGAAGCCATGTCACCTTTCATGATTTAGCCTCAGAAGTCACATAGCTTCATATCTGCCCACATTTAAGGGGGAGGAGACATAGACCTCACTTCTTAATGGATGACAGGGGTGGCAGCATTACACTGTAAGAGAGCATGTCAGATGGGATGTATTGGGGCAACCAAGTTTGGAAACTGCAGTCGGTCACAAGGTGGAATATTTATTTTGATGTGCGTATTTTAAAATTGTGGGTGTGATTATACATCTTTTCACATGTTCATTGACTAGTTCCATTACTTTTCCTTTTACTGTGACCTGCCTTTTCTTTCTTTTTTTTTTTTTTTTTGAGACGGAGTCTCACCCTGTCACCCAGGCTGGAGTGCAATGGCGTGATCACGGCTCACTGCAACCTCCCCCTCCTGGGTTCAAACGATTCTCCTGCCTCAGCCTCCCGAGTACTTGGGATTACAGGCGCCCGCCATCATTCCCAGCTAATTTTTGTATTTTTAGTAGAGACAGGGTTTCACCATGTTGCCCAGGCTGGTCTTGAACTCCTGACCTTGTGATCTGCTCGCCTCAGCCTCCCAAAGTGCCGGGATTACCGGCATGAGCCACCGTACCTGGCCTGACCTGCCTTTTCATATCCTTTGCCCCTTTTTCGTTGGTCTCTAGGTTATTGATTATTGGTTACATTATTGATGTGTAATAACTCTTATAGATTAAGCAAATCAAACTCAAACTCGATTTAGAAGTTACTTCCTTGTGGCCCTGGGAGTTGTGAAAGTTGTGTGTGGGATGGTTTAGTTTGGTGATGGTGGGGATTTATGGAGTAATTATTTTAAGAACCATACTACTTTTGTTTTTTAAGCAAGTGATCCAGCAAGGGAGGGTGAATGGGAGCCATTTCCTTGTCTTTGGTTATCAGCCTCTCTGAATCACTCTCTAATGCTTGATGCAGAACAAGATTAAGGGCACATCAGTTCTCTTTGGTCATTAATATACCTCAGAAGCCAGAGAATTTTAGATGCATGCAAGGGAAAGGTAAAATATTTCACTACTGAAAATGGCTTTGAGTTCTGTCAGTTCTGGTGTGTGATCTGACCGGGTTTTTTAAGACTTGCTTTCCGCTGTATTAAGGTTCAAAACTGTATCAACAAATATAGATTGACCCTACAGAAATGATCATTTTCTAAAATACGGGTATGTTTAATAAAGTGAAACATTTCTTTTATCTTGCCACTAAGTTAGAATGTTACTCTTCATCTACTAACCTGCCATGGGATAAATCCTTAATAAACCTTACAGTATAAGTTCTTTCCCTAGTTGTAATCTTTGACAGTTTTAAAGGGATGGGCTGATGTTTGTCATCATAGTACTCATTTTAAGTATAGTTTGATCCAGGCTTGGACTGTGTCAGCAGGATCTGAATCCCACATCTCTTGACTCTGCTCTCTTCCTTGTTGGTTTCATTCCCTGGTTTCACTGTGATAGAAAGATGGCTGACAGGATCTCTAGCCCTATGTCCTTCTAGGTTCAGGGCCAGTAGGGGCAAAAAAGAACTCATGGCCGGCTCAGTGGCTCATGCCTGTAATCCCAGCACTTTGGGAGGCCGAGGTGGGTGGATCATTTGAGGTCAGGAGTACGAGACCAGCCTGGCCAAAATGGCAAAACCCCGTCTATACAAAAGATACAAAAATTACCTGGGTGTGGTGGCAGGCGCCTGTAGTTCCAGCAACTCAGGAGGCTGAGGCAGGAGAATCTCTTGAGCCCAGGAGGCAGAGGTTGCAGTGAGCTGAGATTGCGCCACTGCACTCCAGCCTGGGTGACAGAGCAAGACGCCATCTAAAAAAAAAAAAAAAAAAAGAACTCTCAACAGTTTAATTTCTGGGTCTTTCGTTAGCCCTAATTGGATCATATGTTATGATCGGGAGAATATAATGTGCTGATTGATTGGCCTGAGCTGAATTGTGTGAACATCCCTGATGCTGCAGGTAGAGTTAACTCTACTGAACTGTGGATCTACAAGGCCATAAACAAAACAAACAAAAATATAAAAACAAAATAAAAAAGTTGTTTGTATTCTACCGTTAAGTTTTAAAGCAGATTTCTTTTTCTTTTTTTCTTTTTTTTTTGAGGCAGAGTCTCACTCTGTCGCCCAGGCTGGAGTGCAGTGGCACTATCTCGGCTCACTGCAAGTTCCGCCTCCTGGGTTCACGCCATTCTCCTGCCTCAGCCTCCCAGTAGCTGGGACTACAGGTGCCCGCCACCACGCCTGGCTAATTTTTTGTATTTTTAGTAGAGATGGGGTTTCACTGTGTTAGCCAGATGGTCTTGATCTCCTGACCTCGTGATCTGCCTGCCTCGGCCTCCCAAAATGCTGGGATTACAGGGGTGAGCCACCGTGCCCGGCCTAAAGCAGCTTTCTAAGAAAATTACTGGTATTAAGAAGAAAAACAGCTATTCTGGGTTTTTTGGAAGCACTGGTTTACAGTCATACTAATGAGTATGATTGTGATACTAATATTTTTATTTTTTTACTAAAGCAGATGTTTCTCTTTTCTTTTCTTTTTTTTTTTTGAGACAAGGCCTCACTGTGTTGCCCAGTCTGGAGTACAGTGGTGCCATCATGGCTCACTGCAGCCTTGGCTCATTTGGGCTCGGGTGATTCTTGCACCTCAGCCTCCTGGGTAGCTGGAACTACATTCATGTGCCACCATGCCCAACTAATTTTTGTGGAGATGGAGTTTTGCCATGTTGCCCAGGCTGGTCTTAAAACTCCTGGGCTCAAGCGATGTGCCCTCCTTGGCCTCCCAAAGTGCTGGGATTGCAGGTGTAAACCATCATGACCAGCCAGATGTTTCAAATTTACTATGCATACCACTTAAGTCTTGCGTTAGAATTTGTATTTGAAAGATTTATAAAAAGTTAAGGAATTTAGGGTCATATTGCTCTTTTGCCCACTCCCAACATTTCAGGTAGTTGAATTGTGCCCTATAATCTGTCTGTCTCCCAGATGAAAGCTGAATAGGTTTTGATTTTGTATGTTAGTGAATGTTTTTAACCTTTATATAAGGATGTGATAGGTAGTGTTTCAAATATTTTAAAGCCATGTTAATTTAAAAATTAAAATCCCCTATTCAGCTCTGGGGATGGATATTACTAGAGCACAACTCAGCCACCTGAAGCTACCACTGTAGTATAATGCACAAAGAGCATTTTATAACTGTGAAAGTATAAAGTAGAGCATTTGAGGAAGTTTCTGGAGATTGCTTGACCACATGACTATTCACAATAGCAAAGACATGGAATCAACCTAGATGCCCATCAATGGTGGACTGGTTAAAGAAAATGTGATACATATACACCATGGAATACTACACAGCCAGAAAAAAGAATGAGATCATGGCCTTTGCAGCAACATGGTTGGAGCTGGATTCTATTATCCTAAGTGAATTAATGCAGGAGCAGAAAACCAAAAACTTCATGTTCTCCCTTATAAGTAGGAGCAGAAAACCAAAAACCTCATGTTCTCCTTTATAAGTACACATGGACACAAAGAAGGGAACAGTAGATACTGGGGCCTATTTGAGGGGTGGAGCATGGGAAGAGGGTGAGGATTTAAAAACTAGCTATTGGGCATTATGCTGATTACCTGGGTGAGAAAATTATCTGTACCCCAAACCCTGAGACATGCAGTTTACCCATATAACAAAACCTGTATATGTACCTCTTGAGCCTAAAGGTTGCCCAAAAAAAAAAAGTTAGCAGATCTTAGGAAGTTATGTCACAGACATGAAAGAAAAAGAAAACTGCATAGAATGTTATCTTAAAGAGTGATTCCAAAGTTTGTGTAAATTTTAATTTTTTTGTGTAAATTTACATTTTAATTACTCCGAATGTTTTTACTTTCCTGAGATATTTGAACCGATTTAGATCATAAAAATGTTTGGCTTAAATATCTGTAGCTGGACCATTAATTCTAAACAGACCAGTAATTCTGTTTAGAAAAGATCAAAGCATTGATATTTATGCTAGATGGTGCCTCTAGGATGTGAAGTACCACTAGACCTTATACTCGAGAGCAGTTGAAGGATGAGCCTTGAGGATTTCCAATAGGCTAAAAGTGTTATTAAGACTTACCGCGTTTCAGTCATTAGACAAGTTCTTAGATGTGAAGTGCGCTGTGTTCTCCATCTGGTGGGTGGGCATCAGAATCAGGTAAGGGTTTCAGACCACTCAGAACCATTGCAAAGCCTAAGAAAAACCAAGTTTTAAATTTTAATTAAGTCCCATTTATCAGTTTCATCTTTTATGAATTATGCCTTTGGTGTTGTATCTAGAAAGTCCTCACAAACCCAAGATCACCAAAATTTTTTCCTATGTTATCTTCTAGGACTTTTATAGTTTTGCATTTTCACTGAGGTCTCCGATTCATTTTAAGTTAATTTTTGTGAAAAGTATAAATCTGTGTCTACATTCATTTTTTTTTTTTTGCATGTGAATGTCCACTTTCAGCACCATTTGTTGAAAAGACTTGGCTGTTGTCTTTGAATTGTGTTTGAGCCTTTATCAAAGAATAGTTGACTGTATTTGTGTAAGTGTATTTCTAGGCTCTCTATTCTGTTCTCGTCTGTTTGTCTCTTCTTTTGCCAATACCATCCTGCCTTGATTACTGTAGCTTTATAGTAATGTCAGTTCTCTGACTTTGTTCTTTCATTTTTTTTTTTTGAGACGGAGTCTTGCTCTGTCGCATAGGCTATAGTGCAGTGACATGATCTCAGCTCACTGCAACCTCTGCCTCCCTTGTTCAGGCGATTCTCCTGCCTTAGCCTCCTGAGTAGCTGTGATTACAGGTGTGTGCCACCACGCCCGGCTAATTTTTTGTATTTTTAGTAGAGATGGGGTTTTGCCATGTTAGCCAGGCTACTCTCGAACTCCTGACCTCAGGTGATCCACCCACCTCGGCCTCCCAAAATGCTGGGATTACAGGTATGGGCCACCGTGCCTGGCCTGTTCTTTTGTTTTCTTGAGATGGAGTCTCACTCATTCTGTTACCCAGGCTGGAGTGCAGTGGCGTGATCTCGGCTTACTGCAACGTCCAACTCCGGGGTTCAAGTGAGTCTCCTGCCTCAGCCTGTCAAGTAGCTGAGATTACAGGTGTGTGCCACCACGCCTGGCTAACTTTTGTATCTTTAGTAGAGACGGGTTTCACCATATTGGCCAGGCTGGTCTTGAACTCTTGACCTCAAATGATCCACCCGCCTCGGCCTCCCAAAGTGCTAGTATTACAGGTATGAGCCACTGTGCCCAGCCCAGCTAATTTATTTTTATTTTTTCTAGAGATAGGGTCTCACTATGTTGTTGCCTAGGCTGATCTTGAACTCCTGGGCTCAAGTGATCCTCTTGCTTTGGCCTCCCAAAGTGCTGGGATTACAGTTATGAGCCACTGTGCCTGGCTCTGGAATGAACGTTATTAAAAAAGAAGGCCAGACCTAGGGCACAAGAGGGTTTACATGTACACTTACTGCCTTTTACCAAGATTGCATCAGTAATTTACCCATAAAGAGTTTATTAGCGACTGGGCACGGTGGCTCACGCCTGTAATCCCAGCACTTTTGGGAGGCTGAGGTGGGCGGATCACGAGGTCAGGAGATCGAGACCATCCTGGCCAACATGGTGAAACCCCGTCTCCACTAAAATACAAAAAATTAGCTGGGTGTGGTGGTATGCGCCTACAGTCCCAGCTACTCAGGAGGCTGAGGCTGGGGAAATGCTTGAACCCGGGAGGCGGAGATTGCAGTGAGCCGAGATCGCACCACTGCACTCCAGCCTGGCAACAGAGTGAGACTGTGTCTCAAAAAAAAAAAAAAGAAAAAAGGATTTATTAGCACGGGCAACATAGGGAGACTCTGTCTCTAAAAAAAAAAAAAAAAATTTAGCTGGGCATGGTGGCATATGCCTGTGGTCCCAGCTACTTGGGAGACTGAGGTGGGAGGATTGCTTGAGCCTGGGAGGTTGAGGCTGCAGTGAGCTACGATCTACCACTGTACTCCAGCCTGGGGGACAGAGAGAGACCCTGTCTCAAAAAAAAAAAAAAAGTTTCTTTCCTTTGTCCATTCCAGTTGCTGGAAGTATCTTGGATTTTAATTAATTATGGTATAATGAGAATACTTACCCTAATGCTTTTGAAATAAGTAAAATAAAGGAAAAGGGCAAAAAGTCATACAGCCCACAGTCAGTGCTTTAATTATAGTTGGTCAGTTTATGGAGTTTGTTTTTTGTAAACCTTTTTATAAAATGGTCTGAATGTGGTTTGTTCTGTTTATTCGCATTAATGGATTACACTGGTAATCACCCAGATGAAAATCATAGAGTTTAGAATCAGAAGGTATCTTGGAGGTGGTCGTGCTAATTTCCCACAGTTGCTACATAATGCAGAGATCTCTTTGATAATAATATCCATGCATCTATTATAGATTCGATCTCCGTCCAAGCCCTGCACACTGCTTTGTAAGGCAGTCAATTCCATGGTAATTGCATGTGTCATAAAGTTATTCTTTTGAGTTGAAGAATTGGTTATTTCCTTGTGTTCTGTAGTAATAAAGGAGTATGAAGACAAATTATATCTTTTAGGTATATGTAGTATTTAGATGGAGATACATATCCACGTATATAGGATGTAATCCTTGGCTTTCTTTCTGCATTCTTTCCTTCTTTTGAGATATCTCCTGTCATTTATTATTTTCTTTGTTTTATATTTGGTTACTTAGAAATGTAAGACTAGGCTGGGTGTGGTGGCTCACAACTGTAATCTCAGCACTTTGGGGAGCTGAGGCAGGTCGATCACCTGAGGTCAGGAGTTCGAGACCAGCCTGGCCAACATGGTGAAACCCTGTCTTTACTAAAAATACAAAATTAGCCAAGTGTGGTGGCACATGCCTGTAGTCGCAGCTACTTGGGAGCGTGAGACAGGAGAATCACTTGAACCCAGGATGCGGAGGCTGCAGTGAGCCGACATGGCGCCATTGCACTCCAGCCTGGGCGAGACAGAGCGAGACTCCCTCTCAAAAGAAAAAAAAAATGTTGAGATAAAGAAATGAATAATGATGGACGGGCGGGTGGTGGCTCACACCTGTAATCCCAGCACTTTGGGAGGCCAAGGCGGGCGGATCACGAGGTCAGAAGATTGAGACCATCCTGGCTAACACAGTGAAACCCCCTCTCTACTAAAAATACAAAAAAATTAGCCGGGTGCCTGTAGTCCCAGCTACTTGGGAGGCTGAGGCAGGAGAATGGCATGAACCTGGGAGGCGGAGCTTGCAGAGAGCCGAGATTGCGCCACTGCACTCCAGCCTGGGCGACAGAGCGAGACTCCATCTCAAAAAAAAAAAAAAATTAATGATAATGAGTAATAGTTAACCTTGTAGGGTTGTTATGAGAATTAAATGTTCACATGTATGAAGCACATATTTAGCACAGTACATGACACAAGGTAAACATTTAATAAATGCTGACAGTACAGTGATGGTTGTGGTTTCTATCAAGCCTTTTAATGCTAGATTAATAGGGAAGATAACGGTAAACAATTAACTATAATAAAGGCCGAACAAAATAAGTGCTATAGTAGAGATAGAAGCAAAGTTCTTACTTGTCCTAATAAGGGAGCAACTAATTTTGTTACTGGTAGCGGGTCTTGACTGAAAGTTCTCCAGGTTCTAGGTGTTTTGAACAAAGAATTGGACAAAATTAACAGCAAAGCAAGCAAAGAGTGAAGCAATGAAAGCAGAGATTTATTGAGAATGAAAGTACATTCAGCAAGGTGGGAGTGGGCCTTGCAGCCCCTGGAGAGCCCCCTTACAGAATCTTCTAGGACCCACATACCCCCAGAGGTTTCCCATTGGCCACTTGGTGTTCACACCATGCAAATGAAGTGGTGGCCTGCAATCAGTCTGATTGGTTGCAGAAAGCAGCCAATCAGAGGCTGAAGTTACAAAGTTACACTCCTATGCAAGCATCTGATTGGTTATGGAAAGCACCCAGCCAGAATGGGGAGTTTGCAAAGGGTGTAGCCTTTGGTCCTTTTGTTATTTAGGCATGGAAAGTTGGGGTTTTCCTTTAGATTTAGTTCTAGGGTTGCCTTAGGTCCCTGGAGACCCTATTCTCCTGCCTCAATTTCAATTGGAAAATCAGGAAGGGCAGGAATCTTCTTTCCTAAACTTTGAAATATGCATAGGATCTCCTTAAAGAGCGGGATGGCATTGAGGTCTACCATCAGCAAATGCATGGAGCTAGGAAAGTTCATGGTCTTTTTGATGGACTTTAAGCAGTCATGTGTGACTGAGGGGTTGGGTATGTGGAAGAGCTGGTGGGAAGTAAGGATGGTATATAGAGAAGTTAGACTGTAGAGGGCTTTGAACACAATGATGGGATGTTTTTGTACATTATCCTAGATATTCCAGATGTTTTCAGGTCTTTGAACAGAGGAGCAGGATTGTAATCTTATAGCAAAATAGATGTGATTATTGTATGCAGATAATTAGTGGTTCCTGTTTTTAAAGTTTTGACTGAAAGGGCTAATGAAAAGTGTGTAGCAGGAGAAAATTGTTGCTGTAATCCAGGGTGTGAAATGGAAACCATTGGCAGATTGTGGAAAAATGAGTCTTTTAGAGTAAGCCCAGGAAACTTTTTGTAAATACATTTGAGGCTTTTCATACTTAGAGGATTAAACAAATTTATTAGACAATAACCTTCTCTCTCAAAGAATCTTAATCTCTAGATTGGGAGAAAGGATTGGGTTGGTATGTGCACGGGAAAAAGACCTGGGCTCTTTTGGCTGACTGTGCCTGTAATTGAAAGTGGACTTACCTCAGGAGAGTGAACTGGCTTTCAGCCTGCGGGAGAGCTTTAAGCACATTTTAAGTGTGAGCACTTGGTTTCTATTTTTAAGTCTCTGAAGATAATGATCTGACATAGGGAACTAGCTTTTGGGGATGAATCTGCTGTGCCCAGACTTCAGCGTTGCCAACATTCTCTTTTTGATATATGAGTTGATTTGGCTATCCCTTAAGCTTATTTTGTATTTTTGTTGATTTCTACTATTGCTTATGAAGCTTTTCCATTTCTAAACTTATGATTTCAAATCATTAAAGAGTCTGGTTGGAGAAATTGTTAGGAAGGAGGCCTGATTATGAAATTGAGACTGGTGAAATGAGAATCGAATGGAAGCTCACAGCAGTTGCTTTATTGGCTGGATGGGGTGGATGGAGTGACCAGTGAGTCACTATTTTTATTTTTTGGCTGTGGCCTTGTTTTCCTGCTTGTATAGATAATCTGGCATCTAGACTGAACTAGCATCAGGGGTGAGTGTATGTGTTAACTGGTGATTATCTGTTGGTATGAGATGGATTTTATATGTCTATCAGAATCCCTCTGTGGAGAAAACCAAATTACTACTTAGTTTATGTTCCAGGGAATACTAATGCTATTATGCGGGTATATAGCACTTACATAACGTTGGTCCTTTTCAAAAATATTTCATGTCTGTTGTCACTTCATTCTCCAACCACCTTGTAAATGAGATAGGGCAGGTATAATTCCTGTTTGACAGAGGGGATGCTGAGGCATAAATAAGAGACTGGGTTATGGTTTCTGGCTCAATAAATAAATGACTGAGACAACTTATTACATTTCATTTTTGAACTGCAACTTCCAGAAAATTTTATAGGAGGAAAAATCTGAATGCCTTCTCTTTTTTGTTGTTATTTTTCAGCGGCGTCTTCGACATCTTCGGAACATTGCTGCCCGGAACATTGTTAATAGAAATGGCCATCAGCTCCTTGATACCTACTTTACACTTCACTTGTGTAGTACTGAAAAGATATATAAAGGTAAGGGGATCTGTGGCCTTACTACCCACAGATTGTTATATTTTTATTTTTTTTGTAACACAAGTGATTCTCAGTGCCTCCTGCTTTTGTGGCTTCTCGGAAACCTAAATTGTTATGCTGTCTGAAAATATCTCATGAGCAGTTGGGATGTATACTAAAGAAAGATGGCAGTTGGATAGTTCTTTCAGATAACTGAGCCTTACATTGATACGTTTATCATTCCTTTATGAATGTTAGCTATTAATGGTCTAGCAGCTAGCATTTCAAGTAGATTGAATCCAGTATCCTGTAGTAATTTTACTTTTATAAAAATGTAATAAATTTCTTTTCTTTAATATTATGGTAAAATAGGGACCTAGTTTATATCTTCTCGTATCTGTAATTCCCTGTATATATGGGATCTTTTTCAGAAGAATGGCATGGTTTTCTCTAATTCAGTTTTATATATTGTACTGTGGATTCTTCTGTAAGTGAAAAATTCTAAGAGTAGACCAAATATTTGATTAAAAATGGCAACCACCTTCAGAATGCATATTAGATGAGAGGCACTGAGACATAATCCGTTGGCTTAGGTGGGATGGTGTAAGAGAGGAAGCATGGTAAAATGATAGGAATGTTGGATTATGATGGAAAATACTTCCGTACTAGTTCTAGCCCAGCTACTCACTAGCTTCGTGACTTTTGATAAAGATCACGGTTTTTGGAACTTCACTCTCCCCATTTGTAAAGTAGAGATAATGATGTCTTATGAAGTAGGCAAGACAGATTTTTATGAGGATCATAAAAATCTCAGTAAGATGTGATTAAAGATCTATTTATGCTAACAAAAGGTGACATCATTTTAACAAAAGGTACTGAGACTTATTTGAATCTTGTCCTGTGGCAAAGATGAAAAATTCAAGTGATATTTATTTATTTATTTATTTTCGAGATAGGATCTCACCCTGTCAGCCAGGCTAGAGTACAGTGGCACAATCATGGCTCACTGCAGCTTTGACCTCACAGACTCAAATGATCCTCCTGCCTCCATCTCCCAAGTAGCTGGGACTACAGGTGTGAGACGCCACTCCAGGCTAACTTTGAAAAAATTTTTGTAGAAATGGGGTCCTACTATGTTTTTTGGGCTGGTCTCCAACTCCTGGACTCAAGCTATGCTCCTCCCCCAGCCTCCCAAAGTGCTGGGATTATAGGTATGAGCCACTGTCCCTAACCTCTTTTTAGTTTTAATGATTATTTAAAGCAGTGATTGTTTAACAACTTTTTTTAATGTCAATTCCAGTATCTGCTCATTAAAAAATTGAGTCAAGAAATATACAGTGAAGAAACCCCTTCAGAGTAAATAGCCTTAAAATAATTCCCGCCCACCCCACCCTGAGACGGAGTTTCGCTGTGTCACCCAGCCAGCCTGGAGTGCAATGGCGTGATCTCAGCTCACTGCAACCTCCGCCTCCCTGGATTCTAGTGATTCTGCTGCCTCAGCCTCCCAATTAGCTGGGATTACGGGCACATGCCACCACGCCTGGCTAACTTTTGTATTTTTGGTAGAGATGGGGTTTCACCATGTTGGCCAGGCTGGTCTCGAACTCCTGACCTCTGCCTGCCTTGGCCTTCCAAAGTGCTGGGATTACAGGTGTGAGCCACTGTGCCTGGCAATAATTTTTAAGGATGGGAAAAGGACTCTAAATTCCACTATCCTCATGTAATTTTATTTCATTCTCACTTTTCAGTCTAACCATTGCATGGATTTATTTATTTATTTGTTTATTTATTTATTTATTTATTTATTTTTTGAGGCAGAGTCTCGCTCCGTTGCCCAGGCTGGTGTGCAGTGGTGCAATCTTGGCTCATTGCAACCTCTGCCTCCTGGGTTCAAGCAATTCTCCTGCCTCAGCCTCCTGAGTAGCTGGGATTACAGGTGCCTGCCACCACGTCCAGCTGATATTTGTATTTTTAGTAGAGACAGGGTTTCGTCATGTTGGCCAGGCTGGTCTTGAACTCCTGACCTCAGGTGATCCCACACCTGCCTCAGCCTCCCAACGTGCTGGGATTACAGGTGTGAGCTACTGTGCCCAGTCCATTCCATATTTTTGAAACAATTGTATTCATCTGAATGATTAATGCTAGCTATTGTAACAAATACCACAACTCTTAGTGGCTTACCATAATACATGTCTTATACTAAGTCCAGTGTAGGTGTTCTTTATCAGGTTCTGTCTTGGCAGCTGTCCTTTAAGTGATGACTCAGGTATGCAGGTTCCTTCTAGTTTGGGCTGCTGGTGTCCTCAATACATGGCCTCTGGCATGGCCAGAGATAGAAGGATTACTTGTGGGAGATTTTTAAATGGAAATGGTCCATATCAATTTCATTACATTCTATTGGCCATAAATCAGTTACATTGTCCTTTTTATTTTTTATTTTATTTATTTATTTTTGAGATGGAGTCTCAGTCTGTTTGCCCAGGCTGGAGTGCAGTGGTGCCATCTCGGTTCACTGCAACCTCCGCCTCCCACGTTCAAGCGATTCTCCTGCCTCAGCCTCCCAAGAAGGTGGCATTACAGGCATGCGCCACCACACCCAGCTAATTTTTGTATTTTTTGTAGAGATGGGGTTTCACCATGTTGGCCAGGCTGGTCTTGAGCTACTGACCTCAAGTGACCTGCCCATCTTAGTCTCCCAAAATGCTGGGATTATAGATGTGAGCCACTGTGCTTGGCCTGAATTGTCCTTTTTAGATGGAAAGGGGACTGGGAAATGCAGTCTTACTATGTGTCCAGAAAGAAAATGAAACAATTTGGCTACTATTTGGTTTAAGGGTTTAAGCATTTTTGTAGGCCTTAAAACATTTAGTCTACTGCTCACTAATTGGTTATATCACTAGCAATGTATGACAGTGCCAGAGTATTTTAAATTTTTGATGAGTGTCTATATAATCAGTCCTGGTTACCTTAACAAAACTTCTGTGTTCTTGCCCCAGTGTTACCTCTGATAATAGTAATTAACACCAGTACTTAGCGCATTTTGGGAATTTGGAAAATGATAGCAATTATTATTAGAATTATAATAATCATAATAGTATTTTCTAAAAAGAATAGTCATGGGGCTGGTTGAAGATCATGTTAAAAAACTTGTCTAGAGATATGATGAAAGCAAAGTGCCTTTTTTGTTTTTGTTTTTTCTCTCTTCCAGCTCAGATTATATCTTGAATTTAGGAGTTGTCATTGACTGTTTTTTGAAGTTATCTCAATGAGATATCTCAATCCAATCCTCAACACAGTTAGGGAATAGCTGGTGACAGAGCACGGGGAAGTCCGGGGTCTGGTGTTGCTGTTGAATCTGGCACTAGCTGTCAAGCCTCTTGAGGGCATTTACTCCCTCTTGCGGGCTTCAGTTAATTTATCATTAAAATGAAGGGATTGGTGATTTCTGAGCATTCCTCCCATTCCAAAATGTCATGGTTGAGTGAAGCCTATTCATGAACTTTGTTGGGCTTTACAAACTTTTAACTACCATAGGAGGAGCTGGGAAGCCCTTTCTTTAGTAATTCTAGTTAGTGCTGTCGTATCTTGTTGGTCGGACCTATTATGACAAACGTGAATATTTGATGATCATTGTTTGGTCCTTGGTATAGAACAACCATCATAAGAGACCAATTGACTCTTCTTGATGAACCACCCATACCACCTGTTTAGTGGTAACATTTCTTAGTGTCAGAAGACAGTTTTTTATTGGAAGAATATCCGAAATGCTGGTTTCTAAGTTTTTCTTTTATTTCAGCTAAATTTACAGCAGATCCAAAGAAGATATGTGTAAAATTTAAGAAGAGATGTGTGAAATTTTTTGACTTTTGACATTCTTGTAGTGCTTTTAGGAGATTGTTTACTTATTTCCAATCAAATACTAGTTATTATATCCCCAGAGAACAAAGCCTTGTGTTAATGGATGGATAGATTCTAAACTTGGTTCTTGTTAAAATTGGAAATTTTTATTTTTTATTTTTTATTTTTTTGAGACGGAGTCTCACTCTGTCGCCCAGGCTGGAGTGCAGTGGCGCGATTCCAGCTCACTGCAAGCTCCGCCTCCTGGGTTCAGACCATTCTCCTGCCTCACCCTCCCGAGTAGCTGGGACTACAGGCATCCGCCACCACGCCCAGCTAATTTTTTGTATTTTTAGTAGAGACGGGGTTTCACTGTGTTTGTTTCACCGTGTTAGCCAGGATAGTCTCGATCTCCTGACCTCGTGATCCGCCTGCCTCGGCCTCCAAAAGTGCTGAGATTACAGGCGTGAGCCACCGTGCCCGGCCCTTAAGTTTGTTTTTCATAGTTATTTTCTTACCCATGAAATGTAAATGCCTGCCCTCTCCTGGAATACCGACTGTCTTGAATACATCAGAAGATGAACTCTATATTACTTAATTTGGTGATCTTACCCAAGTCTCATAGTTTTATTTATTTTTATTTATTTTTTATGAGACAGAGTCTGACTCTGTCAACCAGGCTGGAGTGCAGAATCACAGCTCACTATAGCCTCAACCTTTTGGGCTCAGGTGATTCTCCCGCCTCAGCCTCCCGAGTAGCTGGGACTATAGGCACACACCACCATGCCTGGCTAATTTTTTGTTGTTGTTTGTAGAGCCGAGTTTTGCCATGTTGTCTAGGCTGGTCCCAAACTTCTGGGTTCAAGCAATCCACCTGCCTTGGTTCCCAAAGTGCTGGGATTATAGGCAGAAGCCACCAAGCCTGGGTCAAGTCTTCAAGTTTTAAATGTCACCTGTTGACCTTTCCTCTGAACTCATACCCCTGTAATCCAGTTGCCTACTCTACAGCTCCATTTGGGGTCTAGTAGGTAACTTAAACTTGATATGTTCAAAACTGAGCTTCTGATGTTCCAGCTGTGATCCATCTCCTGTATTCTTCCTTATATCAGAAAATGGCAACTCCATTTCCTTGGCCAAAAACTTGGAGTTATCCTGGATTGTCTTCTTTCTCTTACATTTCACATCCAGTCTTTCAGCGTATACTTTTGGCTCTTACTATCAAAATATATCCATAACCTAATCACTTCTTGCTATCTTCAAACCACAGTCATCTTTTAACTACATTGTTGAAGTAGACGTTTAACAGGTTTGTCTGCTCATGCAACTCCGTCAGTCTGTTCTCAACTGAGATCCTGTTAAAATGAAAGTCACATCCCTTTATTTCTCTCCTCAAAACCCTCCCATGGCTTCCCATCTCATTCACAGAAAAGGCTAAAATCCTTATGGTTTCCTAGAAGGCCTTTCATGATCTGGTTCTTGGTTACCTCTCTGAACTCATTTTCTGCTACTCTTCCAGCTGTCTGTGTTCCAGCTAGCTGAAATTGTAGCTGTTGCTTGAATGCATTGGTTTTAACTAACTTAAAGACCTCTGCATTTGCCATTTGACTTGGATACTTTTCCTTCACTTATTCACGTGACTAGTGCTTCCACCTTCTTGCAGATCTTTCTTTTTCCCCCCCCCTTTTTTTTTTGAGATGGAGTCTCGCTCTGTTGCCCAGGCTGGAGTGCAGTGGTGCAGTCTCAGCTCACTGCAGCCTCTACCTCCCAGGTTCAAACGATTCGTCTGCCTTAGCCTCCCGAATAGCTAGGACTACAGGTGTATGCCACCACGCCCAGCTAATTTTTGTAGTTTTAGTAGAGATGGGGATTCACCATGTTGGCCAGTATGGTCTTGATCTCTTGACCTCGTGATCCACCCGTCTTGGCTTCCCTAAGTGCTGGGATTACAGGCCTGAGCCACTGTACTCAGCCTTTTTTTTTTTTTCCTTTCAATTCTGCTCCTTCTGAATTGCAGGTCTTTATTCCACATGTTTCTCAGAGAAAGTCTCCTTGATCACTGACTAACCCTTTTATAAATTGTGATTATTCTCCTCTGTCTTCTGTGCTTTATTTTTCTCTGTGGTACTTAAGATCACTTGACATACTATATGTTTAATTATTTGATTATTGTATGTCTCTTCCCACTAGAATGTAAACTCTATGAAGGCAGAGATTTTCAGGTCACTTTTGCTTATTGCTCTGTCCCCAATATGCAGAACTGCAGAACCATGCTTGACACATACTAGGCCTTCAAATATTTTTGTCTTTTTAATTTAATTTTTTAATAGGTAAAAAAAAATATATATGTGTATATATATATAAAGATACAAAGGTTCATATTAAGGCCTCCCTTTCACCAGCCTTCTGTCACCCTAGTTTTCTACCCCACCCTGATAACCACTGTTACTCATTTCTTGTTTGTCTTTCCTGAGATTCTTTATGCAAATACAAGTACAAATACAAATATTCTTATTCCTTTCTCTCCTCTTTTTTACACAAAGTGTACCATACTATTTATGTTTCTGTACCTTGCATTTTTCACTTACTGTCTTAGGGTTTTCTCCATATTGGTTCATAGACAGCATCCCTGTATTTTGTTTTTTTCTGCATAGTTTTGCATTGAATAGATACACCATAATTTATTTACTGGCTCCTATTGGTGGACACTTAGGTTGTTCCAGTCTTTTGCTATACACACAGTATTGCATTGAATAACTTTATAATACATTGTTTTGTATGAGTGACAGTATATTGATAGGGTAAATTTCATAAAGTGGAATTACTAGGACAAAGAGAATGTGTACTTGAAGTTTTGGTAGATATTGCGAAATTGCCCTCCGTGGGAGTTGTTTTATGTGTGAGTGCTTTTCTCCCCACAGCTTCAACCACCAAGCCTATGCAAACTTTTGAATTTTTGCCACCCTGTTAGGTGAAAAATAATTTTGCAGTATAGCTTAAGTTTGTATTTCTCCTATTATGAGTCCACATTCATAGTAGGAGATAGTTTTGCTTTGAATAGATACACCATATCTATGAGTATTAGGATGAGGCACTTAAGCATTTGTTGAATGAATGGAATGCTGCAGAACAGCCAAAATATGCCACTTGAAACATACTCTGCAATCTGTGATTGCTTTGTTTCTTTCCGTCTTAGCATGGCTACATAGAGAAATATTTATATTTAATGGTCTTTTTCATGTAGAAGTAGGTCTTGAATGATATCTTTTTGAAAATTTAGGCTGGGTGTGGTGGCTCACGCCTGTAATCCCAGCACTTTGGGAGGCCGAGGCGTGTGGATCATTTGAGGTCAGGAGTTCAAGACGAGCCTGGCCAACATGGCGAAACCTCTTCTCTACTAAAAATACAAAAATTAGCCGGGCGGTGGTGGTGTGCACCTGCAATCCCAGCTACTCAGGAGGTTGGGGCTGGAGAATCACTTGAACCCGGGAGGCGGAGGTTGCGGTGAGCCGAGATCACGCCACTGCACTCCAGCCTGGGTGACAGAGTGAGACCCTGTCTCAAAAAAAAAAAAAGAAAATTTCCTTGTATGATTTTACTCACATTGAATGGAAAAAAACTAAACAATTTTATTAATAAAATTTTATTAATTTTGTTTTAAATAATTTTAGGTTTTGTTTTAAGCAATAAAACTTAAACAATAACAATAAAAATTATAAAATATTTTAAATACATTATTTTATTTCAGCCTCGTAACAACCCTATTATATTCCAGGTGTCATTCTCCTTTGAAAGATGAAGAAATTGTGGGCCATAAAGGTTAATTGACCTATCCAGGGTCACAAAGATTGAGGTAGATTGAGGACTGGAACTATTTTTTTTTAACTCTACATTCACTCATTTTTTTATATTGTGCTATAAATTTTATTGATAATATTTTAGATGCAATAGAATGCTACACAGTGTAGGTTCATGTTTGTCATATTAGAAATAACCTCATACTCAGCAATTTCTTTCCAAATTGTATGGCTCCTTTGTTAAACTCTCTTCATTTACATTGGCATGTTCATTTTGAGGGTCTGCTGGAGAAGGCGAATTGTTTTGTTTGATTTATTCAGCCAGGTAACAAAGTTTTATTTATTTATTTATTTTGAGATGGAGTTTTGCTCTCGCTCAGGCTGAAGTGCAATGTGCAATCTCAGCTCACTGCAACCTCCACCTTCTGGGTTCAAGTGATTGTACTGCCTCAGCCTCCCCAGTAGCTGGGATTACAGGCACCCACCACCACACCTGGCTAATTTTTGTATTTTTAGTAGAGACAGGATTTCACCATGTTGGCCAGACTGGTCTTGAACTGCTGACTTCAGGTGATCTGCCCGCCTCAGCCTCCCAAAGTGCTGGGATTACAGGCGTGAGCCACCACACCCAGCCCCCAAGTTAACAAAGTTTTGGAAGAAGGAATGATACCACTCATCTTAGAGCTAGAAATATGTATTGCAAAAACTGTTTAATTTAGACACTTTGCAGATTAAGCTAAGGAATTCGCTTTCTCAAAAGAAAAAGGGATTATCTTTCTTGTGTTTTTCACTGACTTAACAGTAATATATACTTTAATTCAAACAACACAAGAATATATACAGTATTATGTAAAAATACCCTGTAATAAAAAACAATAGTTTTAAATCCCTTATGCTTTTGTTTTTTGAAAAATGTATGGTGCGTGTATGTTAGGATATATGTATATGTATACATAAATACATACATTTCTAAGTTTGTATTGTCAGTTAATGGTTGGAATAATTGGTTAACCATTTGAGGATAAAATGAAAAGAACAATACTTACGGTTTCATAGTGTTGGAGAAACAGACTTTTTCATAAGTGGTATTGTAAATTAGTATAATATTTGTATGTAACAATTTGGCAATATCTATCAAAGTCAAATTGTTCTTTGAGCGTGCAATTTCTTTTCTTTTCTTTTCTTTTTTTTTTTTAGATGGAGTCTCACTCTGTCACCCAGGCTGGAGTGCAGTAGTGCAATTCTACCCACTGCAGCCTCTGTCTCCTGGGTTCAAGCAATTCTCCTGCTTCAGCCTCCCAAGTAGCAGGGATTACAAGCATGTGCCACCACACCTAATTTTTGTATTTTTAGTAGAGATGGGGTTTCATCCTGTTGGCCATAAGAGCAGCATGGAGATGACTTGGGCAGGATAAGCAGAGGGAATATTGGAAGGTTTTCAGGAGTGTCTGAACTTCTGACACATTTTGATTGCATCTTTGAGTTTTGTGACCTTTTCCAACATACATGAAGGCTTGTAGAGTCATGAAATTTTAATGCTTACCAAGGACCTTCAATTATCTGTTCAATTCTCTAAGTTGTCTTAGAGCAATAATGAGCCCAGGGGAATTAAAGAGACATAGTGTTAGTGACAGAGGTAGAAGTAGGACTTAAGTCACCCGGTTGCTAGTGTTTTAACCAAAACTGTCAACCAGTTAACCTAGATTAAAACACTAGCAACCAGGTAACCTACATCAGTATTCACTCCACAGTACTGCAATGGGTAATCATTCGAGATGTTTGAGAAAAACAGAGCGGATGGAGTCAGTTGTGAGGGTGGAAGCGGGGAAGGAAGAAGGTTGGAGCTTTTAAGGGCTCAAATTAGAATTGGAGGAAAAAGGAGTCAGTAAGGTAATAATCACTAAAGCAAATCTGAAAGGTTTTATCCTTCTTTACTGAATTTTTTTCCCTTTAAAACACTTTCATTGAATTTTTACTTTTTTTTTTAACAGATAAAGATATAGAGAGAATAAATCCCTTGAAAATATTTTAAATGTTTTACTGCAACATATGTTAAAAAAATTAGAGGATTAACAGTTGGTTAATGGGCTTATTTTCTTTCATATCACTTATTGTTCTTTTTTCTTCTTTTCCAGAATTTTATAGAAGTGAAGTGATTAAGAATTCCTTGGTAAGTTTGCTTTCTGACGGGTACATATGACTAAGTATATACACCTGTTTTCAGAAAATGCAGAAATGTAAAATAAGTTGAGGTTCAGCTCTGGTTTTATGATACTTTAACGGATCTGCTCAATTGTTAAATCATCATTGTTTTGTTCATTGCTGTATCTCTAGTGCTTATGTAGTAGGTGCTTGATAAATATTTACTGAATGAAATGACAAGTTAATGGGTGTAGCACACCGACATGGCACATGTATACGTATGTAACAAACTGGCACGTTGTGTACATGTACCCTAAAACTTACAGTATAATAATAATAAAATAAAAAAAGAAAAAAATATTTACTGAATGAACTGATTTTTCTGTTAAGAACTTTAAATGATAAAAACTCAAATTCTATAGTTTTCTCACTTCCATTTCCTATAAATAAGTTTCTGATTATTTCACTCGCCATATGTCATAATAAATGATATCTTTGTTCAGATATAGTTCTTAAGAATTTTATGCCTCGGGCTTTTGTATAGGATACTCCTACTTGTTTCTTGGCAGTGGCATTGCTCAGTTGGAAAGTTGTAAATATCCTACTTTTGATAATGTATACACTGGATATTTGCATAAATGGCTCAATTTATTAGGCTGTGTTGAAAACAAAGAAGACCTTTCTGGTAATGAAAATATCTTAGTAATGGTCCAGTACCATCTTGGATTTGGCCCTTGTCTGCTTTTCCACCTCATCTCCTCCTCTTTTCCGCACTCATTGTGTTCCAGGTGTACCTCTTTCAGTGCTTCAAACACACAAAGCTTATCTTGTTCCTTATGTCTAGAACACTTGTTTCCTCAGCTGTTCGCTTGACTGAAGAGGTCTTCAAGGTCTCAGCTATGTCACTTCAGCAAGACCTTCTATGGCTATCTCATCTAGAGCAGTTCTCTTTCCCCAGTCATGCTTTTTCATGACCCTGTTTTATTTTCTTTAAAGTGTTCATCACTGTTGGAAACTCTTGCTTGCTTACTTGTTTGTGTTTATGAACTGCCTCCCACCTGCTAGAACATAAGTTCCATGAAAGCACGGGCCCTGCCAATCTCGCTGCTCCTGTTACCCTGGAGTCTAGAATAGTATAGATGCTCAGTAACTACTTGTTAAATGAATAAAGGGTTATCAATGATGTGTTGTATTTACATGTTATCCCATTTTGATCCTTAGAACAACCTGTAAAGTAGATGGGGCAGATCTTAGGAAGCTGGTACCCAGAGAGTTCCAACAACTTTTGCAGAGTCAGAGGACTGCAGGACCAGAACCCCAATCTAGACCTTCTGTCTTTGTCTCTACTCTTTCCTCTTCATCAAGCTGTCTTTGAAATGTCTCTAAAATATCAATAGATTTGGATTCTAGGCCAGACAGTTCCTTGAGTCCATCTCTGGGGAGGTCCCATCACCAGTAAAGCTCTGGTTCTACGTATATTATATGATATAAAATAAGTGCCTAGCATCATGCTTGATGTATAATAGTTACTGAGTAAATATTAGTTTTTCCTCCTCTCCTTGCTCAGGTGGAAACAGAAATAGTTTGCAGACAGTTAAGAGCTAGGAGTGATTATGGGGAAGATAGAACAGAATTTTGTGTTCATTTATTCTGTTCTCTTTTCCATAGTCAAATGTTGGGGATGGTTTTTTAATATCCATTGCTTTTCCCCCAGATTTGTGTTATAATAGACCCTATGTCATAATAATAGACCCTATGTCATAATGGCACTTTAGTGTATTGTTCTGCATTATTAGTATTGGATTTATTAGATCTTCCCTTGGCTCCCAAATCCATATTTCTAAAGATCTCTGAATGTTAACTCCTATCTTCAACTCCTTTTGGCCTCCATCTTCAATTGCTTTGGAGCTATCTGTGAGGTCATGATACCTTCATCCTTTGTGCACTTAGGTGGAATATTGTCTCCAAAGAATACTGTAGAATGGATTCAAGACAAGGGGGAGGATTGGACTAAAACACTTGTAGGTCCCTTTCAACTCACAGTTTATACTATAATTGTTTTCCGAATGTACCTCATACAGTGTTTGCTTGCATTGTGATTTCATGGACATTCTGTTTCACAAAGTAGATCAAATCTCCTGGAGGTCACAGACTGTATGTCTTTATATCCCCTTAGTTCCTAGTGTATTTCTATTGGGTAGTTGTTTGACAAATATTAATTTTTTGATGTTCCTTTTAAAGGTATTCTTTGAGATTTTGGCAAGGATTCTTTTTTTTTCTTTTATATCTTAATAAAGGTTCTATTAACTTTTTTTTTTTTTTTGAGACAGGGTCTCTCTATCACCCAGGCTGGAGTGCAGTAGCATGATCTCAGCTCACTGCAACCTCCACCTTGTGAGCTGAGGCGATCCTCTTACCTCAGCCTCCCAAGGAGCTGGGACTACAGGCATGAACCACCATGCCTGACTAATTTTTGTATTTTTTGTAGAGACAGGGTTTCACCATGTTACCCAGGCTGGCCTGGAACTCCTGACCTCAAGCAATCCGCCTAACTCAGCCTCCCAAAGTGCTGGGATTACAGGCATGAGCCACTGTGCCCAGCCTAATTAACTCTTTCTTTCTGAGGGAGCTCTTTTTTCTTAGCTTTTTGCTAATTCATTGTGATTGGTTCAGATTGATGGGCATTGGGCAGTACAGGAGTCAACAACCCTCAGAGAATATGCCAGAGATGGCACGTTGTTACTGCCCTTCTTGCTGCCTCTGAAGAAGCACTGCCAGGTCAACAGCAGAATTGGTTGGTTTCTTTCCTGTTTAGGATTTTGCGATTTTTAAGCTATTGTGATATTTGCTGAATAGTTAGTCGTTTAAATGCTTTTGTATTTATTTGTTACCATTGTGCTTGGCACACAGAAGACGCTCAGCAAATGTTTCTTGAATAAATGAATTCTTCCCTAAGGATATTTATTAACTTCGAAGTTATATCCTGAAACTGCAAATCTTCAATTAGATACTAAAGGATTAGGCAAAGATTTGAATACTTTATTTCTAATTAAGGCTTTGAGTAAATTTTCACTCTGGTGAACTAAGTTGGACTTTGATAAGCTTGTAAGTATCTTTTTCACTCATGTAACTTTGAGATACAGAATGTTGTTCCTTGTTTATATTCTGAGCTTGGTTCTTAGACCAGAGTGGCTTGGTTTCATCACTCTGACGTCAAAGGAGACATGGAAAAATGGACTCAAGATTAAAAAGAGGCCGAGTGTGGTGGCCTACGCCTGTAATCCCAGCACTTTGGGAGGCTGAGGCGGGCGGATCATCTGAGGTCAGAAGTTTGAGACCAGCCTGACCAACATGGAGAATCCCCATCTCTACTAAAAATATAAAATTAGCTGGGCGTGGTGGCACATGCCTGTAATCTCAGCTACTCGGGAGGCTGAGGCAGGAGAATTGCTTGAACCTGAGAGGCGGAGGTTGCGGTGAGCCGAGATCGTGCTGTTGCACTCCAGCCTGGGCAACAAGAGTGAAACTCCATCTCAAAAAAAAAAAAAAAAAAAAAAGATAAAAAAGAGTGTTTTCCCCCAAATATTAGATAAACTGTTCTTATGCCCTTATTCTGTGCTTCTTTCTAACTCTTGAATACTCCAGATCACCTGTCCAATAAAACTTTCTGCAATGATGGTAATGTTCTACGTATTGTTCAGTACAGTTGCCACTGGCCACATGTGGCCATTGAGCACTTGAAATGTGGTTCAGTCCTACTGCAGAACTGAATTTTAAATTTTGTTTAATTTTAATTTAAATAGCCACATGAGGCTAGTAGATATCATATTAGACAGCACAGTTCTAGATGCTTCTGAAAAGCTTTCTTTTTTTTTTTTTGAGATGTTGTCTTGCTCTTGTCGCCCAGGCTGGGGTGCAGTGGCACGATCTCGGCTCATTTTAACCTCCGCCTCCCGGGTTCAAATGATTCTCTTGCTTCAGCCTCCTGAGTAGCTGGGACTACAGGTGCCCGCCAGCATGCCCGGCTAATTTTTGTATTTTTAGTAGAGACAGGATTTCGCCATGTTGGCCAGGCTGGTGTTGAACTCCTGATCTCCGGTGATCTGCCCACCTCAGCTTCCCAAAGTGCTGGGATTACAGGCGTGAGCCACCACGCCTGGCCAGGGCTTATAATCATTAACAGGAAGAAATTTCACCTTTTTGTTTTTTTAAAAGTAGTTTGGCCCAGGTGCAGTGGCTCATGCCTATAATCTTAGCACTTTGGGAGACCAAGGTGGGCGGATTGCTTGAGCCTAGGAGTTCAAGACCAGCCTGGGCAACATGGCAAAACCCCATCTCTACCAAAAAATGCAAAAATTACCCGGGAAGTTGAGGCGAGAGGATTGCTTAAGTCTCAGAGGCGGAGGTTTCAGTCAGCCAAGATTGTGCCACTCCAGCTTGGGTGACAGAGTGAGACCCTGTCTCAAAGGAAAAACAAATTACTTCGAGCTGAGCGTGGTGGCTCACACCTATATCCCAGTACTTTAGGAGGCTGAGGCAGGAGGATCATGTAAGCCCAGGAGCTTGAGATCAGCCTGGGCAAGATGACGAGACTCCCATCTCTACAATAAATAAATAAATAAATAAATAAAATAAAATAAAATAATTAGCTGGGCATGGTGGTGCATACGTGTAGTTCCCTGCTAGCTGGGAGGCTGAGGCAGGGGGATCCCTTGAGCCCAGGAATTTGAGATTGTGGTGAACTATGATTGCACCACTGCACTCCAGCTTGGGCGACACAGTGAGAACCCATCTCAAAACAACAGCAACAGCAACAAAAACTAAATAAAAAACTTTGTGCTTTTTTTTTTAATACCACTAGTCTCATTTATAAATCCATATAATAGCTTTTTGTATGGTTGTCTTAGCTTCTTTGGTATGTAATAATAAACTTCAGAAAGCAGGGACCTCATGTGGTTCATGTTTTAATCTCCATAGTCATTGTATCGTGATTTGCTTTGACTTGGCAAACAAACAAAATATGTTTAGTATGTCATATATGTATGTATCCAAATCTAAGTTTCTGGCTGTAAGACTCACTGTTATTTTACATTTACAAAAAATAGTTAAACATTCTAATTAAACTGAACATAAGGCCTGAGCAATAGTCTTATGAGTTGTGATTCAATTTTACTAACCTGTTGTTACTTTGGAGTTTCTTCAATCCATTCCAAGATATTTAGCAGTCTTTCCTTTTTTCATTATTTGACTTATGATAAGGAATCCTATTAGCAATAAAATATTTACTTCCTTAAGTCCTTTAAAGAGGTTGGATGCAGTCATTTCTCCAGTGACAGATATTTGCTTCTCTAATACCAAATTCATGCCTCATTGCTCTGTTTCTGTGCTTTCTGCCTACACAAAATCTTAATACTTTTTATTGAAGTTTGGCATTTATAGAAGAGTTTATAGTTCATAAGTATACAGCATGATGAATTATCTCAAACTGAATACACCCATATATCCAGCATCCAGATCAACAAATAGAATATTTTCAGCTCTTAAAAAGCCCTCTCCTCCCCTCTCCAGTCGCTGTTACTTTCCTGACTTTTAACACCATAGGTTAATTTTACCTGCTTTTGTATGAATGAAATAATATCGTATGCACTCTTTTGTGTCCGATTGCCATGTTTCAACTTTATGTAGTAAGATTCATTTATTTTTTGGGACGTATTTGTGGTTTGTTTGCTCTATAATATTCCATTATGTGAAATCACAGAATTGACTCATTTTTTCTGTGGATAGGCATTTGGTTAGGTTCTAGTTTTGAGCTAACATAAATAGTGCTGCTATAAACACTCTCCTATATGTCTTTTGGTAAATGTATGGATGTATTTCTGTTGAGTATACATCTAGGAGTGGAATTGCTAGGAATATGCATATGGTCAGCTAAAGCTGCCAAATAGTTTTCCAAAATTATTGTTTGATTTATACTCTCACCCCCAGTCTGCAAGAGTTCTGTTTACATGGTTGTGAACACTTGATTTTTAAAAAACCTTTTGAATTTAAATTGTTAAATATTACAAAATTTTTTGTTTCAGTATAAATCAAGAGAAATATTTTAAATGGCAATTAAACTTAGCAGCACATGTAGTGCTAACATTGTGCCTAACTTAATATCAAACACGGCTACTTTTAAGGGTGTGCGTGTAGATACAATGACACTGGATGACTGCCACCTGGTGGTCAAAGATTGTAGGACTTTATTGATTTTACTATTTCTAAAATCAGAATTCATCTTACAATGTGAAAAAATACGCACGTTAGAACTGGTGAGTGGGACTATGTTGGATGGTAATAAATAGAATGGAGTAGACTGAAGCAGAATAAGGGAGTACCTGCCAGGGGAGATTGCAGTTTTTCTGCAGCAGTCACATGGGAGATGTCACTTGAGCAGACGCCTGACAGAAGTGAGGGAACAAGCTATATAGCTATTTCAGGAATACTGTTACGGGACAAGAAACAGGAAAGTAGAAAGACAGGAGTGTACTTGAGGTGTTCAAGAAATGGCTAAGAAGTTAGTAAGGCTGGAGTGCAGTGAGCAGAGGTGGTTTGAGGTGTTGCTAGGCACATAAGACAGAGAGACAGGTGCAAGAGAATTGAGGATCAGGACAGCAGAGGGAATGGCCTGGAGCAATAGGAGATGATGGTCAAGGGCTAAGGAGCATGAGAATGAGATTTTGGAAGGCATAGCATTACAATTAATGCAAAATGGGGCACATCTGGTGGACCAGGACCCTCACCTTATCCATGATATATTTAGCATAGAACAATTCATGGTGAATGTATAGTTCAGTGTTAAGGTCTCTGGCTTCAGCTAGCTGTGCCCTCCATATCATCTCTTCTTGTGTTCAGGGAGAGGTTAGATCCTTGATATTATTGAAAGGTCATTGGGTTAATAAGTAAAATTATTGAAGCAATAACAATATAAGTGACTAAATTCTCTGAAGTTGGTTTCTCATGTTTATAAAAGAGATTAATTATATTGCAAACCCACATCTGCCTTTAACAGTTACAAAGTTAATCTACTCATTGGTTATTTTCCCAAAAACAAGTTTTAAACTTTTATTAGAATATTAAAAATCTCATGGTGGGAGTATACTGATAGCTAATTTGTGTGTGTTTTGAAATGTCTCTGTACCTGGATTTTTTAAATGAAGAAGAGGTATCAATTATAAGTACCCACCTATGATTGAAGTAGCATGTTGGACATGTCATATACATTATTTCTCATCCTGATAATAGCATTCCAAGCTAAGAGATATGCTTGTTTTACAGCTGAGGAACCAGGTTCAGCAGGCTGAGGAACTTGATCTAGGTCACACCGCTAATAACTAGTAAAACCAGTGTTCCAGAGCCCTGCTGTTTTGCAGCCTCCCTTATATCCCACTTCCTTCCACTGATTAAGTCTGCTAGAGGGCTAACAGAGGTCACTGATAGGCTTTATCATTGAATAAACAATTTCTAGAGCATGCATTTTAGGGAAAGCATGTGGCATAATTTATCAGAACTATAAAGTTCTGTTGAGATTGTGACTGAGGAGCTGTTTTTAAATCTTTGGGAAAAAAACTGGCTAAACAGTACAAATACTTTTTATGAGTTACTGGTCTGAGTGATTCTCAAACCAACTTTATGTTTCAGTTGAATTATGATTGAATGAATTAACATTGAGTGTGTGTGTGTGTAGCTTATGTCAGATTATGTTACTGTCTTTTAAACTGCATCATCTTCAAGGTTTTCCAACTTCTGTCTGTTTAACTACATGATTTGAAGGGAGACAGAGATAATCAACAAATCAACACATGGAATTATATGTAGTACCAGGGAAGAACAGGATGCCATGAAAACATGTAAAAGTGTTATTTATGTTAGTTTGGAGGGAGAAGTTAGGAAAGGTTTCTAACAATTAGTAATTTCTAAATTGAGATAGGAAGTCTGAATAAAAGTGAATGAGACAGGGAAAGAGAGTTTATTGTGTTAATAGTAATGATAAAATCAGTATGCTATTCCAGTGAGATGTGTTGTATGGTTTCAGAAAGTTAGAACACATTTTATGAGTTCTTGGTTGTGTTCTTGTAACCATACATTTGTTATCAAGCAACAGTAATAAATAATGGTTTTATGTCCTCTTGTGGGTGTGTGGTAGACAGTGAACTTTTCAGAGCTTATAAATATCCTGATATTCTACTTTTCAGTGAATGTGGTGGTACAGGTCCCTGGATGATATTAGTACTTGATTAATTTGTTCCATGTAGAAATTGGGCGGGTATGTATAGGTTAAATATAAATAAAAAAATCATCTGGGTCTATATAGTAAAAATAGTAGGCTATAAAATCTTTGAATGTGTGGCAGGCTGTATCTGCCTGTATCTGAATGTACCAACTTAGGAATTATTGCTCATTGTCTGGCAACTGTTTTGTAATAGTATAAAGGAAAGTCTTTGTAATCAGAAGATTGACAATAGCTCTACTGTATCAGTGTTGTATTGGCTTAGAAAGAACACCCAGGTCATCTATTCAACCACATGAAATAACTTCAAAAAACTTCCCTGTCCTCCAGAGGCATTTGATTTTGAATGAAGTATTTAAGAATATTTGCTACAACAACCCCCAAGAGTATCTATCCCTCTTCCTTGCCATGCATTATGCCCCTTCAGATACATTCACCAAGTGTCATTTTTTCACTTTGAAAGGAGGTATTATTTTCTGCTTTTTCTGATACTTTATCACTCTAATAGTAATAGGAAATTATGCTACTTCATATTTTAGTATATATTTACTCTTATTGAAAGGTGGTCTTAAACAAAGGGGAGTAAATGACTACCTTTTAGGGTGGTATAATTTGAAGACCAGGAGGGTTTAGGCTTTAGGACATACATCAGGAAGAGATGACTTCATTTGATTTATTTCAGTGGGGCACCTGTTGTTTTTTCCCTTGTTGGATCTTTAAAAAAAATAGTTTAATTACTTTTTATTGAGATATTGTACACATCTAGTAAATGCACAAATAATAGCCTTATGACTTTTCAAAAGGAACTGATCAATGAAACACGATCATCTTTTGCTTTTCTTTGCTTTATTTTATTTTTTTTTTTGATACGGAGTTTCACTCTTGTTGCCCAGGCTGGAGTGCAATGGCGCGATCCCGGCTCACTGCAACCTCCGCCTCCAAGGTACAAGCGATTCTCCTGTCTCAGCCTCCCAAGTAGCTCAGATTACAGGCATGTGCCACCATGCCTGGCTATTTTTTTATATTTAGTAGAGATGGGGTTTCATCATAACATGTTAGTCAGGCTGGTCACGAACCCCAGACCTCAGGTGATTCGCCCACCTCGGCCTCCCAAAGTGCTGGGATTACAAGCATGCGCCCCTGCGCCCGGCCTATCTCTTGCTTTTCAGTCACTACCTTTTCCCAGAGAGAACCTCTCTTCTGACTTCTAACACCATAGCTTAGTTCTGCCTGGTTATGAACTTTTACATGGCATATGCCCTTTTTTTTTTTTTTTTTTTTTGAGGCAGAGTCTCGCTCTTGTTGCCCAGGCTGGAGTGCAATGGTGGGATCTTGGCTCACTGCAACCTCTGCCTCCCAGGTTCAAGTGATTATCCCACCTCAGCCTCCCAAGTAGGTGAAGTGTGCACCACCATACCAGGCTAATTTTTTTTTGTATTTTTAGTAGAGACAGGGTTTCACCATGTTGGCCAGATTGGTCTCGAACTCCTGATCTCAAGTGATCCGCCCACCTTGGCCTCCCAAAGTGCTCGGATTACAGGCACGAGCCACCGCGCCCGGACTGCATCTGCTCTTTTGCTCAGCATAATATTTGTGAGATTCGTTCATGTTGTATATAGTAGTTCACTAATTCTAATGAACATATCCTTTGCTGAACATATGTGTGCCTTTCTCTGAGGTAGGTACTTAGAAGTGGAATTAAGTGCTGGGTTGTAGGTTATGTTCAGCTTTAGTAGATATTGCCAAATAATTTTCCCAAGCATTTGTACCAGTTACATCTTACCAGCAGTGTGAGATTTTTAGTTGCTCTATCCTTGCCCAAACTTGGTATTATCTATCTTTCAAGTTTTAGCCATTCTGGTGGGATTATGGTATTATGTTGTGGTTTTAGTTTAGTTTAATATGGTATTATGATATTTATGTTGTGGAGCACTTGTTCTGGAAAATCATACCAGTTAATGCCAATTAGGAATAAACAAATCCCGAACAAGTATTGGAGTCTTTTTAAAAAAATTGATGGGATATATTTGATCTAACTTGATAGTTAACAAGCTCTTTTTCATCTTCTTTTTGACTGTTCAAGGATAAGTGGAGTTGGTGGTCTGTTGAATTCCAGTTTAGTAAAATATTACCATTTGAGTTTTTCATATCCATATTACCTTTTAATGGATTTCCTTCCTCTCCCCTTTCTTAAATAGGGGAAGATTATTCAACCTTTTCTCAACAAGTCAAGGTTATCATGAGGAACATTAATGATTATATTATATTCGAACTTCAGGGGCTGCCTGGGACATAAGGCTCCATTATTCTTACTTTAGACAGTCCCCACAACATGGCCTTCCTCGTATACAAAAGTGATCTAATGCTGCCTTTTTTTTTTTTTTTTAGACGGAGGCTCACTCTGTCGCCCAGGCTAGAGTGCAGTAGTGCGATCTCGGCTCCCTGCAACCTCTGCCTCCCAGGTTCAAGCGATTCTCCTGCCTCAGCCTCCTGAGTAGCTGAGATACAGGCGCGCCCCACCACGCCCGGCTAATTTTTGTATTTTTTAGTAGAGGTGGGGTTTCACCATATTGGCCAGGCTGGTCTCAATCTCCTGACCTTGTGATCTGCCTGCCTCAGCCTCCCAAAGTGCTGGGATTACAGGTGTGAGCCACCACTCCCGGCCTGCTGGCATGATTTTAGAGTCAGTGTCAGATATTGACTTTGTCTTCCTGTTCCAGATATAACCAACCATATGACGTTAGACAAGTGACTTAATAATTCTTAGCATCAGCTTCTCCTGAAAAATTGGGATAGTGCTGTCTGTTTCACAGGACTCTTGAGTTTCATGAAGATTAAGTAAGAATATATAGTCAAATTAGTAGTATAGTACCTGGCACACTGAACCTTTGGTAATGGTGCTGGATATTGTAGAGGATAAATACGCTAGTAGAAATCCCTGCCTTTGAGGAGCTCACGTTCTGGAGGGGAAGACAGGCAAAAAAATCAGTGATGGTGATGTGTCATGCCAGGTGCCGTAAGAAAGTTAACCACTCACAGGTTCCTATGGGAGCATAGAGGAGCGGCAGCCAGCCCCATGGACATCAGTGAACACACAGCTTTCATTGTTCCCCCTTTCTTGTAATAATTATACCAGTAGTAAAAATGAGTAAAATGGTTTTTATTCTCTATTTATAAAGCATGATTCATATTAGGTGAGAAAGCGAATCACTTTTTCCAAATGAATCTTAAGCTATGCTTTCTGGTCTTGGCCTTAAATTTAATATTTTTGACCCCAAAGTGATTAGGTCTTGTTGCAGCAAAGTGCCAGGAATAGTTTTTTTTTTTTAATTCTGCAAATATTTGAATACTTACTTTGTCTCCAGGTTACTGTATTATCTACTTGGGAAAACAATAGCAAAAAAAGCCCCATCCTCGCAGTCGGTGGCAGGCAGAGAAGGCTGACAGTTAAAGAGAATTGGGAAGGCTTCTGAGGAAGAGATGTTTGAACTGAAACCTAGTGGTCAGAGAAACGTTAACCAGGAAAAGAATGGGTGGGGGTAGAGGCAGGGAGGGGGTCCCACCAGAGGCTCTCAGCTTCCTCATTTCAGAACTTGAGGTGGACTAGGCAAATTCAAAGGTCCCTTTTATTGCTTTCATTCCTAGCATATGTAAGCTAGAGGAAGCCCTCATTTTGTCTCTTTCTATGTTGTACGCAGCTTGCTTGTTTGTCCTGTAGTTCATGTTAAATTAAATCCGGTATAGTGCTCAGCATGTAGTAAATGGCTCACAAATGATTGCCATTACTCATGTAAGGTAGAGTTGGTGAAGGGTACTCAGTTCCAGGGGAGCAGGCACATCCTCAGGCTGCAGGCTAGAAGGCTTTTCCCCAGCATTCCTAGCTACAGTTTTCTCAGCGTCCTCGGTGGACAGTTGGGTGAACCAGTGAAGGGCCAGTTCCTTCTTAGCTAATCTGTAATGAATGCTTCATTCTTGTAGTAGTGGTCTAGGCTTTGCTATTATGTTTAGTCGTTTGTTTTGTCTCAGCTCTAGTCAGCTGTAGAGTCTGGTGATGGAGCAGCAAGAGCAAGTGTGAGACCTGTGGAGTCTCCCCAGTTCTTTCTCTCAGAGAATAGGGCATAGGCAGAGGGCAGAGTTCTTTCTTCCTTTTCTGCCTCTGGCTGTGAGATATAAAATAAGGAAATTGTTGACATTCTCTTTAGCCCGCCTTTGTTCTAAATTCTGTCTTTTGTAATTTGGTAGAAAGAGAAAAAAAAAACAACAACACACACACACAAAATGAACATGAGACAAATTCTAGAGAACTAGATTCAAATTCTGATACTGTTTTTACTAAGTGACCTTAGGCAAGAAGACTCAGTTTCTGTGTTTTATTGATTTTTAATTTTTCACAATTTAACATTCCTGCACAATCTAGATGCATCTTAAAACCAGTTCTTTTTGGTTGTATATACAATTATGATGCATTTTATGATTGGTGATGTCTTGGATTTGATGAAATATGGTATTTCGTCTTAACTATTAGAATTAACAAATTGTCTTATTTACTTCATGTGGATTTATTGTTAGGATTAACAAGGCTTATTCAGCAGATTAAATATTTGTATGTGCTAGAATAAGCATTCTCTATGCCCTTTTTATCTATTATTAATACTTTATATAGTGACTGTCACTAGTAAGTATTAAAATAGTAGCTATTGCTGTAATTAGTTTTTTATTACTATTCTGTTCAAGCTTCATAAAAACCCTGTGAGGTGATAGTTTTATAACTGAAGATTCTGAGACACAGGGAATTATGCAGTTCAACAACGTGGCTTCATTATAGCACTTTCCTCTCTACCACTCTGCCTGTCAGCTCTCTTCATTTTTCAGAGGAAAGGCTGAAGCTACGTGATTCTTTAAAGCCATTCCACAAGCCAGTGGTTCTGTTTGGGTGACGGTCTGCTGCTGTTCCCAAGCCCATCCACGTTTCTAGTGATTACTCCTATGTCTGCATAGCTTAGTGGTCACCCAGTGATTCGTGACTTTATGCTTAGATACCTCAAGCCAGTAACTTCTGCCAGTGGATTGTGAATTTTGTCCAGTTTTACTGTTGCTTTTTGGGGGAAAAATTTGCTGAGCTACTCATTTTATCATGTCAGACATCATACCCCTTCTTTAGATTTACTCTTATAGGTACCATTTATTTGCTATTCATTCATTCTTGCAGCAAAAATGTTCTGAGTTCACTTTGCCTAAAGTGCATCCTTTAGGATTTTCTTTAGTGAGCATATGTTAGTGTCACACTCCCAAGTTTTTTTGTCTGAAAATGTATTCATTTTACTCTGATTTGTGAAGAGTATTTTCATTGGGTGGATTTCTTGGTTGTCAGTTACTTGGTTTTATGTGTTCTGATATGGTTTTATTTATCTTGCTTAGGACCTGTTACGTATTTAAACCTGTGAATTAGTTTTTTTTTTTTTTTAATCAGTCTAGGAAATTGCTACTTATCTCTTTAAATAATTCCTTGCCTCCTTCCTTAATCCATTTTCTCTCTCTGGACTGCTTGCTAAATGCGTATCAGATCTTTTTACTCTGTCATCCATGTTTTTAAACCTTTTTTTTTTTTTTCATATTGGTCTTTTTATCTCTGCTGCATTCTGTGTAATTTCTTCTTCCAAGGAAGGTTCTCCTCTCATCTGTCATGGCAACTTTCCCTACAGACATCTGTGTGTAGGGATTTGGTGGATTTAGTTTAGTTTCACTTATGCTGTTTAGGGGTATAGCCCTTTTGTGGTCCTCAGTGTGGAGAGGGACATTTTTTAGTCATGGATGGGACCTGGGCCTGGCTCTTGAATTATGTCCTTGCTTCCTTTAAGAATGCCAAAACTGGCCACGTGCAGTGGCTTACCCCTGTAATCCTAGCACTTTGGGACGCTGAGGTGGGAGCATTGCTTGAGCCCATGACTTAGAGACCAGTGTGGGCAACATGGTGAGACCCTGTCTCTACCCCAAAAAGAAAAAAAGAAAAAGAATGTGAAAACCAAAGCCCCGGCTTTGTATAGATCCGTCATGGCTTCACGACAAAGACCTCTAGATCTCCACTTACCTCTCTGGGTTCTTTCTTCCTTGGTTTGGAAATTCTTTGATGTTAATGGTGATTATTATTATTATTTAAAAAATATTTTACCTGACATTTTAGTTGTTTTCAGTGAGAGGATTGTCTCATCAGTCATTATCAGAAATGGATGGCTCCCTTCCATTCACCCATTCACCCTTGGGCCATATAGTCTTTTATATTTACCCACATGTTTACAATTGCCAGTGCTCTCCATTCTTTTGCCTAGATCCAAGTCTATATCCAGTGTTGTTTCCCTTTAGCCTGAAGAACTTTGTAAGCATTTCTTGTAGTGTGGATCAGCATAGTTACTCCCAGACCTTATTGTTGTCTTCACATTTAATTGAAACTCTGCCCCTATTTAGCAGGGCTGCTAAAACAGTTATAGTGAGATACAGACTGGAGGTCATTTAAGAGTGGAATTCTGTTGATCTTAGACTGAAATTCTTGCATGGCTAGCATTTAGTTTTTATACAATCCAGTATAAAACTGACTGCATAAATGTGTGTGCTAGGTTATCATCATGTTATTTGTGGTAGTATTTCAGTGTCCTCTCCCACCTTACACTTTGGTCAGGAAAAAAAAAAAAACTGCCACAAAGCCAAGAACAGTTAGTTACCCTTATCTGAAGACCCTTTGATTTACTGATTTACATAATATGAAAATTGGTAATAGGTTGATTTTGTTTACATTCAGCAGTGAAAGCCCTTATGTTTTTTTTTTATTTTTTATTTTTTATTTTTATTTTTATTGATCATTCTTGGGTGTTTCTCACAGAGGGGGATTTGGCAGGGTCATGGGACAATAGTGGAGGGAAGGTCAGCAGATAAACAAGTGAACAAAGGTCTCTGGTTTTCCTAGGCAGAGGACCCTGCGGCCTTCCGCAGTGTTTGTGTCCCTGGGTACTTGAGATTAGGGAGTGGTGATGACTCTTAACGAGCATGCTGCCTTCAAGCATCTGTTTAACAAAGCACATCTTGCACCGCCCTTAATCCATTTAACCCTGAGTGGACACAGCACATGTTTCAGAGAGCACAGGGTTGGGGGGTAAGGTCACAGATCAACAGGATCCCAAGACAGAAGAATTTTTCTTAGTACAGAACAAAATCAAAAGTCTCCCATGTCTACTTCTTTCCACACAGACACGGCAACCATCTGATTTCTCAATCTTTTCCCCACCTTTCCCCGCTTTCTATTCCACAAAACCGCCATTGTCATCATGGCCCGTTCTCAATGAGCTGTTGGGCACACCTCCCAGACGGGGTGGTGGCTGGGCAGAGGGGCTCCTCACTTCCCAGTAGGGGCGGCCGGGCAGAGGTGCCCCTCACCTCCCGGACGGGGGGTGACCCCCCCACCTCCCTCCCGGACGGGGCGGCTGGCTGGGCGGGGGGTGACCCCCCCCACCTCCCTCCCGGACGGGGTGGCTGGCCGGGCGGGGGGCTGACCCCCCCCACCTCCCTCCCGTACGGGTCGGCTGGCCGGGCGGGGGGCTGACCCCCCCACCTCCCTCCCGGACGGAGCGGCTGGCCAGGCAGAGGGGCTCCTCACTTCCCAGTAGGGGCGGCTGGGCAGAGGCGCCCCTCACCTCCTGGACGGGGCGGCTGGCCGGGCGGGGGGCTGACCCCCCCACTTCCCTCCCGGACGGAGCGGCTGGCCAGGCAGAGGGGCTCCTCACTTCCCAGTAGGGGCGGCTGGGCAGAGGCGCCCCTCACCTCCCGGACGGGGCGGCTGGCCGGGCGGGGGGCTGACCCCCCCACCTCCCTCCCGGACGGGGCGGCTGGCCTGGCGGGGGGCTGACCCCCCCACCTCCCTCCTGGACGGGGCGGCTGGCCTGGTGGGGGCTGACCCCCACCTCCCTCCCAGACGGGGCGGCTGCCGGGCGGAGACGCTCCTCACTTCCCAGACGGGGTGGCTGCCGGGCGGAGGGGCTCCTCACTTCTCCAGACGGGGCGGCTGCCGGGCGGAGGGGCTCCTCACTTCTCAGATGGGGCGGTTGCCGGGCGGAGGGTCTCCTCCCTTCTCAGATGGGGCGGCTGGGCAGAGACGCTCCTCACCTCCCAGACGGGGTCACGGCCGGGCAGAGGCGCTCCTTACATCCCAGACGGGGCGGCGGGGCAAAGGTGCTCCCCACATCTCAGACGATGGGCGGCCGGGCAGAGACGCTCCTCACTTCGTAGATGGGATGGTGGCCGGGAAGAGGCGCTCCTCACTTCCTAGATGGGATGGCGGCCGGGCAGAGACGCTCCTCACTTTCCAGACTGGGCAGCCAGGCAGAGGGGCTCCTCACATCCCAGACGATGGGCGGCCAGGCAGAGACGCTCCTCACTTCCTAGACGGGGTGGCGGCCGGGCAGAGGCTGCACTCTGGGCACTTTGGGAGGCCAAGGCTGGCGGCTGGGAGGTGGAGGTTGTAGCGAGCCGAGATCACGCCACTGCACTCCAGCCTGGGCACCATTGAGCACTGAGTGAACCAGACACCGTCTGCAATCCCGGCACCTCCGGAGGCCGAGGCTGGCGGATCACTCGCGGTTAGGAGCTGGAGACCAGCCCGGCTAACACAGGGAAACCCAGTCTCCACCAAAAAAATATGAAAACCAGTCAGGCGTGGCGGCGCGCGCCTGCAATCGCAGGCACTCGGCAGGCTGAGGCAGGAGAATCAGGCAGGGAGGTTGCAGTGAGCCGAGATGGCAGCAGTACAGTCCAGCTTCAGCTCGGCATCAGAGGGAGACCATGGAAAGAGAGAGAGAGAGAGACCGTGGGGAGACGGGACAGGGACAGGGACAGGGAGGGGGAGGGGGAGGGAGAGGGAGAGGGAGAGGGAGACCCCCTTATGTTTAATGTAGGGGAAATAAGCAAAAGTAGTTGATGTATTACATTGTAGTTCATTCCTTTGATGTTATGAAAGCTCCTTAACATTTTCACTTTTCAGAGAGGGTTTCGACTCCCTGGACGGTTCTCTTAATGAGAAATAATGTTCTTTCAGAGCATAAAGCTGACCTTGTTATTTTCAACTTGAAAACATTTCAATGGCCCCACTGTTGTACAGAGTAAAGTATTCCCTCCTAGCAAAAGGCATAAAAGATCCTTCAGTTCAGTTCCTTGTGTGTCTGTCCAGCTTTGTGTCCTGCCACTTTTGTATTGTGTGCTCCAGCAGTA
Source organism: Homo sapiens (assembly GCF_000001405.40). Classification (NCBI taxonomy): domain Eukaryota; kingdom Metazoa; phylum Chordata; class Mammalia; order Primates; family Hominidae; genus Homo; species Homo sapiens. The sequence goes on from NC_000011.10 coordinate 75,879,274, forward strand.
GTCCTGAGTGCCCTGACCACACCTTGGCATTTTACACCTCTGAGCCCTTTTCATATTGTGTTCCTCTTTGCCTGAAATTACTTATTTTAATCTGGTGAAAGCCCACTTATCTGTTAAAAGCCAGGTTTCACAGCCTTTGTGATGTCTTCCCCTGTTCATCAGTTTATTTTTCCTTTCTCTTCTGCTGTGTAGCCTTATGCATAATTCTGTTATTGAACTTTGCACAAAACAGTGTAATTATTTAAATGGAGGTTTGAATCCAACAGTAAGTTGGAGCCTCTTTGAGGGCATTGTTTATGTGTTGGCTGTTAATAATCACGTATTAAGTGTCGAATAAATGAATGAATTACCGTATGAAACCATGTAAGTGAGTGATAGGAATATACGCTTCTTCTAATGACTATAATAAGTAAGCAGAGAAATTCAAAAGTACCATTATCACCCCTTTTGTGTTAATTGTAATGTCTTCTTGGCTTACTTAAGTTTGCAATTTAATGTATTTATGAGGTCTTTTGGTTTTGAAAAACAAAATGATTTGTCACCTAATTGAAATAATCGTAAACAAATAGAGTTGTCCTAAAGCGTGTTTTCATTTTCATGAGCAGAATCCCACGTGGCGAAGTCTCGATTTTGGAATTATGCCAGACCGTCTTGATACATCTGTGTCTTGTTTCGTGGTGAAGATATGGGGTGGAAAGGAGAACATCTACCAGCTGTTGATTGAATGGAAAGTCTGTTTGGATGGGCTGAAATACTTGGGTCAGCAGGTAATTTTTAGACTGTAGTTTCAAGTAGTTGTCATCTCCAAATTAACGTGTCTAACCTTTCTGTTGATTCTTCTGATTCTGCGTTTCCTATTATAAAGAGAGACTTTTATGACTGTTTACTTATATCACTAAGAGAGACCTTGATGATCATTTACATATGTTATTATTTACTTATATTACTTACATTGTTATGTTTGAATCATTGCCTAGTTTAACAAACACCTTTGTCTGAAGAAATTTATGAAGATGGATTTGTGTGTGTGTTTAGGAAAGAATGTGCTTTCTCATAGCATTTTGCTTTTTCTGTCTTACTGGATGTCCTCACCTAGAATCTGAAAATTAAGTTGAAATAAGGAATATCACGTTAAATACCTCTCTTTTGACCAGTAGCGTTATTCCAGGAATAAGAAGAGCTACTATTTATTGAGCACAGGATGACACCTGCTTGGATTATTTGCTGCCACTGGTTCTCCATCTCTGCTGTACCCATGACTGATGTAGCTAGTAGATTACAGTTCTCTTTTTTTTTGAGACGAAGTTTCACTCTTGTTGCCCAGACTGGAGTGCAATGGCGCGCAATCTCGGCTCACCACAGCCTCCGCCTCCCAAGTTCAAGCGATTCTCCTGCCTCAGCCTCACAAGTAGCTGGGATTACAGGCATGTGCCACCATGCCCAGCTAATTTTTTGTATTTTAGTAGAGACAGGGTTTCTCCATGTTGGCCAGGCTGGTCTCGAACTCCTGAGCTCAGGTAATACACCCGCCTCGGCCTCCCAAAGTGCTGGGATTACAGGTGTGAGCCACTGTGCCTGGCCTCTACAGTTCTCTTTTAACTGGGCTCAAAAGTAGCTCCATAATATTTTCTTTCTTCCTTTCTTTTATTTACTTCTTTTTTTTTTTTTTTTTTTTTTTTTTTAAATTAAAGACAGGGTCTTGCCCTGGTGCCTAGGCTGGAGTGCAGTGGTGTGATCATAGCTCACTGTAGCCTCAAACTCCTGGGTTCAAGTGATCCTTTCCGCCTCAGCCTCAATCCCTCAATACCTCCTGCCTCAGCAAGTAGCTGGGACTACAGGCAGGCGCCATCATGCCCAGCTAATTTTTATTTTTATTTTTGTAGAGATGGGTGTAAACATGTGAGACAGGTCTCAGTTAATTTAGAAAGTTTATTTTGCCAAGATAGGATGTGCCTGTCACACCGCCCCAGAAAGACGTGCCCAAGGTGGTTGGGGCACAGCTTGGTTTTATACATTTTAAGGAAACATGAGACATCAATCAATACATGTAAGAAGTACATTGGTTCAGTCTGGAAAGGCAGGACAACTTGAAACAAAAGCAGGAAGACTCGAAGCAGGGAGGGAGCTTCCAGGTTACAGACAGGTGATACACAAACGGTTGCATTCTTCTGAGTTTCTGATTAGCCATTCCAAAGGCGGCAAATCAGATATGCATCTATCTCAGTGAGCAGAGGGGTGACTTTGAATAGAATGGGAGGAAGGGCCCCCAAGCAGTTTCCAGCTTGAGTTTTCCTTAATGATTTTGGGGGCCCAAGATGTTTTCCTTTCACATTGGGTTTTGCTATGTTGCCCTGGCTGGTTGTGAACCCCTAGGCTCAAGCAGTCCTCCTGCCTTGGCCTCCCGAAGAACTGGGATTACAGGCATGAGCCATGGCACCAGGCCTTCAGAATCCTTTCTAACAGTGTTCCAGGACAAAACTAGGAATCTGTTAGAATTGTAAATGAAATGAAACCTATTTGCTATCATCAGATATAGATTATTATAATTAATATTTATAGCAACCTTGTGAAGTTTGATATTATTGCCCTTATTTTCCAGATGAAAAAAATTGAGCCTCAGAAACTTTAGGAAATGATTCAAGATCACACAGCTGGAGCTAAGATTTAAATTCAGGCCTGGCTGATTTAAAAATTCATTCTCTTTGTCCTATACTGCACTGGTATATACATGTGGTCCTTGGTAACCCCCCACCCCACCTTGGAATGAATCTCATTTCTATTTTGTGATGCCTATGGTACTACTATTAAAGGTAACCATAAAATATTAGTCATAGATTATCTATAAACATCTTGATGCTTTCTTCATATTTATTCAATATAATACTTTCTGAGATGTTTCTTATTAAAGAAACAACTTAATTCTGCATTTTTTCAGGTTAAAAATCTGAAAATCTGGGCCAGGTGTGGTGGCTCATGCCTGTAACCTTGGGAGCAGTTTGGGAGGCTGAGGCGGGAGGATCACTTGAAGCCAGGAGTTTGATACCAGCCTGGCCAACATGGCAAACCCTGTCTCTACTAAAAATACAAAAATTAACTGGGCACAGCGGCATGTGCCTGTAATCCCAGCTACTCAGGAGGCTGAGGTGGGAGAATTGCTTGAACCGGGGAGGTGGAGGTTGTAATGAACCGAGATGGCGCCACTGCACTCCAGCCTGGGTGACAGAGTGAGACTCTATCTCAAAAAAAAAAAAAAATTTTTTTTGAAAATCTAAAAAAAACTAAAAATCTCTGTGCTCATTTTGCTTACCATACTTTTTATTTTTAAATTTTTTACCTGTAGTCACCATGCTGTAGTCTCGTGAACTTATTCCTCCTATTTAACTGAAATTTTGTATCCTTTGACCAGCATCTTCCCAAGCCTCCTCCCCTCCACGCAGCTCCTGCTAACCACCATTCTACTCTCTACTTCTATGAGTTCAACTTTTTTAGATTCCACGGACAAGTGAGATCATGCTTTTAACATATTTTTTTTATTTTGTGTCCTATAGTGACCAGAACAGTGCATATAATATATATGTTCTTTAAACTACATTCTAAACTACAATTTAAACATTTTTTAAAAAATCTTAATTTTTTTCTCTGTTTTAGGGATTATCTTAATTAAAACTTAGAAAATAATGACTTTTGGTTTAGGCCAGGGCCTTTGTTTTCTTTTTTGCTACCAGGTACTTGTTGCCTTTAGACTGACCAACCAGATCCCTGCACTGGGGTATATATCCCATCTATCTTCCCACATACCATACTTGGCTCTCTTTGGATAGACTCTGATATTAAGTACTTGTTTCTCTTCTACTTGAAAGTATCTATATTTCATGGAGGATGGTGCTTCTTAACGTTCTGGTTGCAGGGCTCTAGGCCTGAAGGGCTTTTTTGGCTAGTGAAGATGGGTTTCATCATGTTTTTCAAGTCACACTTTCCTTCGGTGGTGGTCTTGTTGCCATACCCAGCTGAGCTTATATCTAACCAGCCCTACTTTCAGAGAGTTGGCATTCAGGTGTCTTCATATAAAGTCAGTTATGCTGGAGTAACAGAGAACAAAAAAAAAAAAAGAAAAGAAAAAAAAAAAAGAAAAAACATGTTTCTTAAAGCCAGATAGAAACTTAAGATCATTGTAGAAAGTCAAAACTTATCTATAAAATAGCTATAACAAGTAACATACTGCTAAAAATAAGATTAAATAGAGTTATAAAGTTTTGGAGGAACATGAGGCTAAGATGTTTTAGGATAATAGCCAGAATCAGTTAGGTTCATTGATAGATCATATACTTTCTACCAGGCATTGTTCTTTGTGTTAAGGATCCAGAGATTTGTAGGACAAGGTTCTTAGACCCGGTGTACTGATGATTGATGAATACCTTCATAGAGAGCTGTGAGAGTCGTACGGGGAAGAGATATTTAGACCAGCTTGTATAGAATCAGGGAGGAATGACTTCTGAATAAAGTATTTTTTTTAAGTTAGGTTTATTGAGGTACAATTTACATGTCATAAAATCCACCCTTTTTAAAGTGTGCAATTCAATGAATTTGAAAAACCGATAGAGTTGAGTAACCACCACCATAATAAATAAAGCTACTATGAATATTTAAATATAGGTCTTTGTGTTTCTTTTGGGTAAATCTCCAGGAATGGAATTGATGGGTCTAATGGTAAATGTATGTTGAAATTTATAAGAAACTGCCAGTTTTCCAAAGTGACTATAACATCCTGCATTCCCATCAGCAATGTATAATAGTTCTGTTTGTTTCACATCTTTGCTATCACTTGTGATTGCCAGTCTTTTTAAATTTTGAGGTGGTATCTCATTGTAGTTTTAATTTGAATTTTCCTAATGACAAAATTAAATTGAGCCTTGTAAGCAAAAAGTCTATTTGAGATCAGTCTCTCTCTCTCTCTCTCTCTCTCTCTTTCTCTCTCTCTCTCTGTGTGAAGTGTTCAGATCTTTTGCTCATTTTTAATTGGGTTGTTTGAATTATTGAGTTGTAAAGTTCTTTATGTATTCTGGATATAAATCAGTCCTTTATAAGATATGTATTTTCCAATATTTTCTGCCAGTTTGTGGCTTGTCTTTTCATTTTTTAATGTTGGTGAAGTCCACTATGTCAGTTTTTGCTGTTGTGTTACATGCTTTTTGTGTCTTATCTTTGCCTAACCCAAGGTCACAAAGACTTTTTCCTTTGTTTTCTTTTGTAAGTTTTCTTCTAGAAGTTTTATAGTTTTAGGTTTTACATTTACATCAATGATCCATTTTGAATTTTCTATATAAAGTGCAAGGTTCATTGTTTTGCAGATGGATGAACAATTGTTCCTGTACTCTTTGTTGCAAAGGCTATTATTTCTCCATTGAATTACCTTGTCATCTTTGTTGAAAATCAGTAGTTGAGAATCATTTGTGTGGTTCTGTTTCATTGATCTGTATTTCTGTCTTAATGCCAATACCAAATTGTCTTGATTACTGTAGTTTTAAAATGTGTCTAGAATTCAGTCAATGAGTTCTTCAACTTTGTTCTTTTTTCAAAAAATTTCTGGCTATTCTAGGTCTTTGGCCTTTCCATATACACTTTAGAACAGTTTGTCCATTTCTATAAAAATCCTGGGATTTTGATAGATGTTGAATCTAAGAAAATTTGGGGAGAATTAACTTCTTAATAGTATTGAGTCTTTCAGTCTATAGATATGTCTCTCCATTTATAAAAATTTTCTTGTAGTTTTCAGCATACAGATCTTGCACATATTTTGTTAGATTTATACCTATAGATTTTTATGCTAATTTAAATGGTATTTCTTTTTTAATATTTCTGTTTTCAATTTTTTTTGCTAGTATATGTAGAAATATATATCTCTGTACTGAGCTTGTATTCTACACCCTTGCTAAACTCAAAAATCAAATCTGGTACTTTTTTTTGGTAGATTTCTTTTGTAGATTGCTTACATGGGTCATGTATCATCCTAACTTGCGTGTTATGGAAGAAATTCTTGTGCTTAGTTTAAGTGGTTAGAACTTTGTATTAATAACAACAACAATTGTATACCTCTTCAGTGTTTGGGTATCTTTTTACATACATACAATGACCTGAAGCTTTTTGAAGATCATGTGAACAAGTATTGTTTTCTTCCTCAGTATTTAAGAAAACAGAAGCTCAGAAAGATTCAGTGATTTGCCAAAGATCGCGCAGTGTTTGGTGGATTTAGGCCATTAGTTGTTTCATTGCTCAGACTGTATGTATTATTCATTTCACTAATCCTAGCAGCTGTCTTAAAAAGTATGCTGTTTTTCGTAAAGATATCAAAATACGAGGTTGTGGTTAAGTTCTAAGTTCTATAGTTTCCATATTAGGATTCTAATACAATTATTGTTAGGCCATTAACCTATAATTGATAAGTAAAGGATAGTACACATTACGCTTATTAGCATAATTTAGCAGTTCGGAAATGTGCACAGTAGTGTGCAATATGATACAGCCAGTTTTGTTAAGCATATTTATTAGTCAGGAACAAAGGGATCTTTCTGAGTTTTATGGTTGCCTTATTCCTAATACATTATTAGATTTTTTAATCAATGTTTTTTACATCTAATTTCCAAAAATACTTTCATATCTTATTATCTCACCGTTTTTATGACACTCATGCAAGGTAGGGCAGGAAATGTTTTCTGGTTTTTGGCTGATGAAGGAATTAAAGTATATACCATTAACATTGATAAACTACTATATGTTGGATAGAGTAGGGGTACCAGGGCTGTAAAACAAGTCAGAGTTCCCTTCTCTGAAGAGTTCCTTAAGAAACAGTTAAAGTTGGAATTAGAACTCAGGTTACTTACTTTTTAACCCCGTATCTTTTCAAGTACTAGTACTATATTGTTTCTTATTTTTCAACAAACTATTTTAATGCACGTCTTCATGAAGTTTACACTTTGAGAACTTTACCTTCATGTTAGATTTGTTTCTCCCCATACTCTCCCATCCCTTTCTTTAAGTGTATATTTTTATTTTCTTCTAATTTTGTTTGTGGACAATTTGGAAAATTTAGAAAAGCACAGAAAAGAGAATAAAAAATTACACGTAATTCTTCTGCCCAGCTGTAACCATTGTTAACATTTTGGTGAATATAATTTTAATCTTTTTTTCCCCAGGTATATATGTGTAAAAATGTTTTATGTTTATTAAATTTCAGGATCCTTCTAATCTTGAGACTGCTTTCATAATGTTTTCTCTTTTCCAAGGTGAAAAACTCCTTGAGATTGATTTATAGTTTTTATTTTAAACTTATGATTGCAGACTTATCTTTTGGTATTGTATTCAGTTCAGTAAATGATGTGGATAAACAGGGAGTATGTGATTAATTTTGCTTTGGTGATAGAGGTAGGAGATACAGAAGTCAGGGAAGTGTTCACAGGAATCTTCTGCTGCTGGCTTTGACTATTTTCCATCTCTAGGTAGAGAAAGGAGAGATTCTGTTCTGGTAGTCCCTCTTGTCTTTCCCCCACTTGAACTTTCACTTAAAACCTTCACGGCAGAAGAATTTTTTTTTTTTTTGCCACAACTCTTTCTGATGAAGTAACTAAAGCTATTTATATATTTCATAGTTGGACACTTTATACTACTTCGAGTTTTTTTTTTAATCTGAGTTCCTTAATTTTGTTTTTTTTTTTTGAGACGGAGTCTCGCTCTGTCGCCCAGGCTGGAGTGCAGTGGCGTGATCTCGGCTCACTGCAAGCTCCGCCTCCCGGGTTCAAACAATTCTCCTGCCTCACTCAGCCTCCCTAGTAGCTGGAATTACAGATGTGCACTGCCACGCCCAGCTAATTTCTTTTTCTTTCTTTCTTTTTTTTTGAGACAAGGTCTTGCTTGGTCGCCCAGGCTGGAGTGCAGCGGCGTGCTCTCGGCTCACTGCAACTTCCGCCTCCCGGGTACAAGCGATTCTCCTGCCTCAGCCTCCCGAGTAGCTGGGATTACAGGCGCCCGCCACCATGCCCGGCTAAATTTTGTGTTTTTAGTAGGCACGGGGTTTCACCATGTTGGCCAGGCTGGTCACAAACTGCTGACCTCAAGTGATCCGCCGCCTTGGCCTCCCGAAGTGCTGGGATTACAGGCTTGAACCAGCGTGCCTGGCGCAGGTTTTTTTTTTTTTTTTTGAGACGGAGTCTCGCTCTGTCTCCCAGGCTGGAGTGCAGTGGCACAATCTCGGCTCTCTGCAAGCTCTGCCTCCCGGGTTCATGCCATTCTCCTGCCTCAGCCTCCCGAGTAGCTGGGACTGCAGGCGCCCGCTACCACGCCCAGCTAATTTTTTGTATTTTTAGTAGAGACGGGGTTTCACCGTGTTACCCAGGATGGTCTCGATCTCCTGACCTCGTGATCCACCCGCCTTGGCCTCCCAAAGTGCTGGGATTATAGGCATGAGCCACTGCGCCGGGCCCCAAGTTTTGTATTTTTAGTAGAGACGGGGTTTCGCCATGTTGGCCAGGCTGGTCTCGAATTTCTCACCTCAAGTGATCCGCCCGCTTCGGCCTCCCAAAGTGCTGGGATTACAGGCTACCGGTGTCTGGCCTCAGTTCCTTAATTTTTAAAGTTTTATTCTTCCACCTTTTAAATGAAGTTTAATTTGGGATGCAATGACTGCAGCTCACCTCATCTGAAATAGAGTGGTTTGCAGACAATAATAGAAGAGAGTGGTTTGCAGACAGTAATAAAAGAGAGTGGTTTGCAGACATTTAAGACTTTAGGGATTGGATACTATTGCTTTTTTAAAAATTGCCTTTTTGAAAATAGAATATATTAATCTTTTATGTTTTTCTAGGGCTTCATTTTTTTTCTTATTTTTAAGACGAGGTTGTGCTCCCTCACCCATGCTGGAGTGCAGTGGTGTGATCATGGCTCACTGAAGCCTTGACCACTCAGGCTCCGGCAGTCCTCCCACCACAGCCTCCCGAGTAGCTGGGACCACAGGCGTGCACCATCATGCCCGGCTAATATTTTTTATTGTTATTGTTATTTGTAGAGAAGAGGTCTTGCTATGTTGCCCAGGCTGGTCTTGAACTCCTGAGCTTAAGCTATCTGCCCATCTCTGCCTCCCAAAGTGCTGGGAATATAGGCGTGAGCTACTGTGCCAGGCCTAGGCTTCATGTTAAAAAAAAATACTTTTAGAATTAATAAATTGTGTTTTCTTTGGGGTTAGAGAGGGTAGAATATGCCTCTGAATACCCTATTGTTCAGGAATAGCCATTCCATAACAACCTCAAGAAATGTTTGTGAAAGATATGTGAGTGATGGTGCCTGTGATTGCATGTGATAGTTTTGCAAGGCCTTTGACTAAAGCAGGAAATGCTGAATTGATCACCTGGTCTTTTGAATAGTGATTGGTTTTCTGCTAGTATGTTTAGATGTAGTCAGCCGGTTTCTCAGTATTGAAGTAGATCCTGTTGTAACTGTCATTCTCTGGTTGTATTAAAACATGATCGGAATAAAAATAACAAATACTGTATTTTCCTCCTCTCTTAGATTCATGCCCGAAACCAAAATGAAATAATTTTTGGGCTGAATGATGGATACTATGGTGCTCCATTTGAACATAAGGTAAGAAGATCCTTCTAATGTTATGAATTTTGTTTAGTGCAGGTGTGCCTTGCAGGTGTACAGGGTAGATATAATCCTGAAAACTCTGTGTAAATAGAATCATGCTTTAAATTTGTTGCTTAGTGTGGCTTAAGGTGGATGCTTTTTAATGGGAAAACTCATTCTGTAAGGCACATAACCATCCAGTCCATCTTTTCTAAATCCAGATTATATTAATTTTTCTACAGGAAATCTGGAGCTAGCTGTTTTCTCTTATTCTACATAACTCTTTGGGGGTTAAGAAAGGATGGTGAATTTTGATTAAATGCAATACAGTTTTATGAAATGTTTCAGATATCTTTTATAACTTTCAATACATTTAAGAAACTATGAATCGGTTGTTTTATAGTCAGCATTATCTCTACATCTAAAAGTTATTAGAGAAAGGAAAGGGAAGCGAATTCACATTTACCAAGTACCTACTATCTATGGTACTGTGCCAGGTGATTCTTGTCCTTTTCCTCACTTAATACTAGCCAAAACCAATGTGGTTTGTTTTGTCCTCTCCATTTTATAGTTAAGGAAAAAAGTTGTTTGAGATGAGCTTCGTAGGTTCACCCATCTAGAAAGTAGCTGAGCTGAAATTTCAGGTTGCCTGCCTCTAAAGCCTGTGCTTTTTCTATTCTACTATGGTGTTCTACCCAACAACCCTGTGCATTATTTGCTCTTAGTGATCATGTTGCTTCATAGCTCTTGGTTGTCTGAAATGCTGTTGCTTAGAGTACTTCATTTATTCAACAACATTTTATTGAGCGCCTGCTGTATGTCAGCCACTGTACTGTACTCCAAGTGCTAAGAACACAGTGGTGAGCAAATGGATAATTTCCTGCTGTTGTGGAGTATATATGCAAGAGGCAAACACTGATACAGTAATCTAACAGATAAACATGTAAACACAAATGGTGGTAAATGCTATATAAGCATATAATGAGGGCCTAACCTATTCTAAGGGCTCAAGAAAGGTCTTCTTGGGGACTTGACTTTTAAAGCTACACTCCAGATGATGAATAGAAGTGAACTGTGTAAAGGGAGTAGGGAGTAGGGGCTGAATAGAGAGAGCATTTCAGCCAGAGGAGGTTAACATGTTGGAAGGCCATGAAATAGAAGGGAACATGATGAGTTTTAGGGACTAAAGGAAGGTCAGAGTGATGAGGGGGGAGTGATACCCGATGGGGCTGGAGAGCTAGGCAGGGGCCACAGCACGCAGAACTTTTAAAGGATTTTACCCTAAGAACAGGGGTCTTTGTGAAAGGAGTTTTAGCACAGCAGTGTGATTATCAGATTTGCGTTTCAGTAATTTCATTCTGGCTGCAGTAGAGACTGATTGTAGAAGAGGCAAGAATATTTGTGGGAGACCAGTAAGGAGGATCTTACAGTATACCAGATAACAGATGTATTACTTTGAAACAGGGTGACAGTAGAATAGAGAGAAGATAGATTTAAGAAAGTTTTAGTAGATAAAATCATTAGGACTTGCTGATGATTTGAATTTAAGGCATAAGAAAAAGGAGGTGTCATGGATGACTTTTGGGTTTCTGGCTTAGATGAAGTAACTGGATGGATAAAGGTGTCAGGCACTGAGAAAACTAAGTGACACTGGAGGAAAACCAGGTTTGGTGGAGGCAGATTGTGAGTTGCGATTTGATCCTGTGGAGTTTGAGATGCCTTTGAGACATTCATGTGTAGATGGAAGTAGGCCTTTGGATCTATGAGTCTGAAGTTCAGAGGAGAGGACTAGGTTAGAAATATTTATGTGGGGCCAATGACAAACAGTCATTGGAGTCATAAGTGGTGATAAGATGGACTAGGAACAGGCAGTACTGTAGGAAGAAAGGGGGCTAGGTACCCAAGCCTGGAAGACCTCCAGTTTTTAAAGTCCACATAGGGGGCACCAGAAAAGATGACTGAAAAGAAGTGGCCCAAGGGAAAGAGAGCAAAGTTTTGTGTAGAATCTCAAAGTCCAGAGAAAGAAAGGGTTTTGTTGTTGTTGTTGTTGTTGTTATTGTTGTTTGTCTTTTTGCTTGTTTTTTTAAGAGGAGAGAGTGATCAAATAGGAGGACCAAAAATTGCCCATTGGATTTAGCAAAATGGAAGTTATTCAAGTGACTTCTTCAAAATTCAATTCAAACTCTGATAGACATTTTTCTTTCTTTATTTCAAAGCTCTCCTCTTCTAAGTTCCTATATCAACATACTATGTATACCTTTGACATAGGATATACCACTTTGCAACTAGGCTTGTCTTTCTTCCTTTCTAGCCTGTAAGCTTTTGAAGGACAGATTTCTATAAATAATATTGAATTCCCAGCACCTGCCACAGTTTTTGGGGTATGCAGTTTGCTTAGTAAAAGTGTTTGTGATTTAATGAAATAATTATGGGATTGCTACTGCTGCTGTTCATAATATCTCATGTACAGGGTTAGCTGTTCTAATACTGTTGCAACATTAAGTTCCTCCTGCAACTGGTATAACTCACCTTTTAGGACAATATCTGGCACATATAATAATAATATTAATAGCTAAAATGTATTGAGCATTACTGTATATCAAACACTGTAAGAGCTTCACATCTATTATTGTATTTAATACCCCAAGAACCTTATAGCCAAATCCTCAGAGCTGTTGAGATTTTGAGTAAGCCAATAACTAATACTCCTTTCTTCTCCTGAGTTTGGAGCAAGTTCAGATATAGGTGATAGTCTGTAATCCCAGTGGATTTTGGGAGGCTGAGCTGGGAGGATCAGCAGTTCGAGAGCTCAGCAGTTCGAGACCAGTCTGGGCAACGTAGCAAGACCTTGTCTGTACTAAAATTCAAACAAAAAATTAGCCAGGTGTGGTGACACGTGTCTGTAGTCCCACCAACTTGAGGGGCTGAGGCGGGAGGATTGCTTGAGACCAGGAGGTTGATGGTGCAGTGAACCCTGATGGCGCCACTTCACTGGGCAATGGACGAGACCCTGTCTCAGGGAGGGGAAAGAAAAAAAAAGGATAGGTGATAGATAAATGTAGATCAGAACATTGGCTTTATTACTAATAAAACTGATGGACAAATGTGATTTAAATTATGTGACTAAAAGAGTTTGCTGTGACTAAAAGGGCTTGTCGATTCCTTCTATATACTTCCTCTTGGACTGAACCTCCCCCACAAAATAACAAAACAAGTGAAACCAAGGTCTTCCTCTTATAGGAACAAAGCCTGAGCCTCCAAGCCAGAAGCAAAGTTTGTATGCGTGGTTAGACAGGTTGTTTCTGATTGGAGAGAACCTGGAAAGAATTAAGCCAGTCACACACAGGTCCATCTCTGAAGCCCAGCCATCAGATCAGTCATCTGCTGGTCCTGGAGAGGAGTGAGTGGAGGACACAGAGAAACTGCAGATGCTCCTTTCATGACCTTTTCTCCTGAGAAATGGAGTGGGGCATTTGTCTCCTGTGTGGGAACATGGGAATGCAGAGTAAGTGTTTCCCTCTAACGGGAATAATAGCTAGTATTTAGTGAGCACTTCTATGCTGGCACTATTCTAAACACTTTACACATTTTACCTTATTTAAACCTCACACTTGGCCTTTCATAGAAGAGGAAGTTGGCACAGAGAACTTAAGTAACTTTCCCCAAATTACGCAGCTCCCTGAGTAGCAGAGCTGCGATTCAAAAGCAGATGGTCAGTACATGCTTATTGAATATATGATCGTAATTAGTGGTGTACTTTCCCCTATTGTCCTTCAGTTAGTGAGCTTTGTTAATTGGATAAGTTCAGCAGATCTTGCCCCCTTTACCAGCTTTCAAATGAACACCTGACATGTAGACTGAACCTTAAAAAACCTTGTCTTTTTTAACAAAGCCGCAAGCAGAGTTTCCAGTCAAGATGACATTGTAAGTGTACACTTTGAGACCTTCCTCAGCACCAAGCAAGAAGCAAGGATTGATGAAATCGGAGAAATGTAAAAGAAATATTCCTGGCCGGGTGCTGTGACTCACGCCTGTAATCTCAGCACTTTGGGAGGCCGAGGCAGGTGGATCACAAGGTCAGGCATTCAAGACCAGCCTAGCCAACGTGGCGAAACCCCATCTCTACTAAAAACACAAAAATTAGCCAGGCATAGTGGCGGGTGCCTGTAATCCCAGCTACTCTGAGGCTGAGGCAGGAGAACTGCTTGAACCCAGGAGGTGGAGGTTGCAGTGAGCCGAGATCGCACCACTGCACCCCAGCCTGGAGGCCAGAGCAAGACTCCGTCTCAAAAAAAAAAAGAAAAAAAGAAGAATTATTCCTTCCTAAAACAAACAAGAAACCAAGGCAATAAACATCTCCCAAACAGAAGTGGAATAGAAACACAAAGAAGTGGGAAGAAGCAGAAGACTTGGGCCTTCTGGCCACTCTGCCCAGAAGTAGGCAGAAAGATGGGCTCTTCAGGGTAAAATGAGCACTAAATGAGCACGAAAAGCTGAGTGGGGCTCTCCCTATTAAAAAAAGGGCCGAGAAAAGACAGCTTAGAGAAACTGCAGAACTTTAAGAATAATCCTAAAAGGGGAAATTTGAAAAGCTACCAGCGAGAAAGGAAATATTACTCACAAATTAGGCTGACAGCAGACTTCTCATCAGCAGCAGTAGATGCCAGAAGAAATAGGTCTTCAATGCGCTGTTAATTATTAATTGTTTCTAGTAAACTTTCAGTCAAGAGTGAGGGTAATTTGAGACCAGCTAGGGTAACATAATGAAATACTATCTCTACCAAAAAAAAAAAAAAAAAAAAAAAAAAATTAGCCAGGCATGGTACATGGCTGTAGTCCAAGCTACTTGGGAGGCTGAGGTGGGAGGATTGTTTGAGCCAGGAATTTGAGGCTGCAGTGAGCTGTGATCGCACCATTGCACTCTAGCCTATGTGACAGAAAAAAAAAAAAAGCGAGGGTGAGAGAGCATTTTATTGATTGAGACAGAGTCTCACTCTGTTGCCCAGTCCCACCTCTGAGTAGCAGGGATTATAGGTGTGAACCACTGCACCTGTCAGGGATAGTTTTAAATGCATAAAGATTGAGAGTTTACTACCCACAGACCCTTTACCCATGCTGAATGATGCACATAGAAGATGATACCAAAGGGAGCATATAGTGTATAAGAAAACAGCAAGGGGTATACAAATGGTTAAAACATTAGTGAATTTAATTTCTGACTGTAAGCTAACAAACAAAAATAAATATCTGATAAACCTATGTGTTTTAAGGTGAAAGAAGCTAGGCCATTGTTATTCAAAATGTAGTCTGGACCGCTGCTTGTCTAGGAACTGTCTGTCACAATCTGTGGTGAGCAACGTGGAAAAAGTGAGGGTAAAAGTTTCAAAACTTCTATAGCAATTTGACGTTATTGTGACTCTTCATTGTATTTTACAAAAGTATCAGTTCACAATGGAATGAAGAAAAAAAAAACTCCAGCCAACTGGTCTTTCCCCACAGAGAGTGAAAAGCATTGCCCTAGACAACAATAATGAGAGTGGGTGTTCAAAGGGTTAAGACTCATTGAGATCACTGATTTGTTTGGGAGGAGGATAGAGATAGTAACCAACTTTAGAATTTGCTAGAAAAAATTTTGGTCAAGTGTACATGTTAAAAATTTAAGGATACCTAGTAAAGGCTAAAATCAGAGGGCTGAGTGTGTTGGCTCACACCTGTAATCCCAGCACTTTGGTCTCAAACCCCTGATCCCAAGTGATCCGTCCTCCTCAGCCTCCCAAAGTGTGGGGATTACAGGCTGAGGCACCCTGCCCAGACTGTATAATCCTAGCACTTTGGGAAGCTGAGGTGGGAGGATCGCTTGAAGCCAGGAGTTTGAGACCAGCCTGGGCAACAAAGTGAGACTCCCGTCTCTACCAAAAAAAAAAAAAAAAAAAAGATGGAAAGCAGAGATTATAGATTTCTAATTAGCAGAGGAAAAAAGGGAATAAAGTATAGAAAGCTTTGTCAACTTGGTAGGTAACAGAAAAGGAAACAAAAGATAAAAAGAAACATGTAGTGTGGGGGTAGCATTATGTCCAAATATATTTGTAATCACAATAATTATAAATGGATATCATATAGTTTTGAAGTATTTCGTTTAAAACTTTAAAAATGCTGAAGCAACAAGGCTTTGAGAACAGGATTAAATTTTAAGAATGAGTGTTTTATACAGAAGAGGAAAAGTTACCCTTAGGAAGCAATGACAGAGCACATTTTAAAGCAGCTTTCAATAATGCCTAAAATTTTTGTTGACCAGTTCTTTGGCATTCTTCTTTTTTACATTAGCTGTGACCAGAAACAGTTTTATTATTATTGCTGATGATTTTGTTGATGTTAATACTCCCTCTGTCTACATTATCTTAATATGTCTTCAGGCACTATGGATCTAAAAGCTGAAATTACTTATCTGTTCATAACTTTTCCCTCTTTGTTTATCTGCTTCTCCCAAAGGCTTTACATCTTTCTGTTGAGTTTTTAGGAACCAAAATCTCTTAACTATAGAATACAATGGCTAAGTAGTTCATTTTCACTTCCAGGAGTGTGTTGGACACTACCTAATACACTGAAAAATTTTTCATTAAAATAAATACTGGATTTTAATCCTTTGTTCAGTAACCTCTTCTGGCATTGTTAGGGAGTGATATATTCTGGTTAAGCGTATGTAGCAAAATGGTCTTTATTTGGCATACAAATGTGGCACTCTGTTTTTTTTTTTTTAAAGGAAAAAAAAATAGAGATGAGGTCTCACTGTGTTGCCCAGGATGGTCTTGAACTTCTGGGCTCAAATGATCCTCCTACCTTGGCCTCCCGAAGTGTTGGGATTACAGGCGTGAGCCACCACACCTGGCCAGATACTGCAATCTTAAGTATTTAATAGCAATTCAGACAAAAGAGAAGTTGAATAAGTGATGATGCAAATTTTTGTCTTAGTTGTAAAAGTGATTCATGATTTTTTTTCCTGGCAAAAAATGTCAAGCGCCTACTACAAGCCTATTATTAAACTAGGTACTGTGGGATACAAAAGTATAAGACATGGATTCAAAATTTATTTTCTTTGTTGAGGAGATAAGACAGTATATATTCCAGAAGACATGCAGTTTACAAATGAGTTTAGTTTGAAAAATTGTTTTTGGTGTCATTTGTTTGCATCTTGCAGATAATGCAGGTAAGTTATAGCAGAACCTTAAATAATTTGAAGAGCACTTCAGGAAGAGGTTTTAATGTTTGGTGACTATTGGGAAGCAAAGAGGAGCTTTGTTATACCTTGAAGTTGGTGTGGAGGTTGGTGAATAAGGCTGGGTGACCTTTAGAGATTTCTACAGGGGTTTTCTAGGTGGGTTTAACCGCTATGATGGTGATTAGGGGAGGATGATAAATAAAAAGCTGTTGAGTCAGTAAGCTGGAAATCTTTCAGATCCCTATTCAGGATTTTGCCTTTAATGTATACAGGTAAGATTATCTTTGCCTTTATTTCATTTTGGTGACCACTCGTCTTTTGTGGGACTGCTGACAGCTGCTTTTTATGAATGCACAGTCCTAGTCGTTAGGAATATGGATATTGGAGTCAGATTGATATAAGTTTAATTATAGGCACTCCTGACAACTATTACTCCAGTAAATGGAAACTTCTACTCACTAGGCTCTAAATCCTATGATAAGAGGAATTACATCTCTAATGCTTACCATTGTATTAACACTATATCTCTAGCACAGTGCCTGGTATGTAGTAGGCTCTCAGTAAAACTTTGTTAGTGAATGAAGGTGAATGCTTGCTGTGTTTAGGGCTATCACAGCAATCATTGAGAATAAAAATCTTGAGTAGATGATATTTGTTCCACCCTGGGTTACCTCCAGCCTCAACTTTTGGTATTTATTTTTATGTAACTCATATTGGCATAATTACTCCAACTTTTGTGCTATTGATAAGGTGCAAAAGCATTAGACCAGTTGTTATAAGGCTGGAGTGAAATTACTTATAGACAAATCTCTAAAGATTAAAGAGCTGTGAAGGTAAGTATATAGATACATAGAGATACAAGTAAGAATTTCATTTTTCTGACTAGAAGCTACAGCGGTAATATCTTTAGAGTCCAGTAGATGGCAATACTTTCTCACTTTAATGGAAAAAATTAGAGCAGGCATAGAATCCAAGTCAAAAGGAGCAAATCTTTGTGGATGAAAGAAACCCAAGATATTGAAATAGCAATTTGGTGATGAATTTCACAAAAATAACCATATAACTTGATCGTCTCGAGTACATAGGCTGAGATTGAAGATTTAGGTATAAAAAGTTTCAGGATCTGTTTTGAAAGCCTGAACAAATGAAAACTCCTTATTTTATATTTTTCAATTTGTTCTGGTACTGTGTTGCTTAGCAAATCACTTAACTTCTCTCAGTTTTAGGTTCCTCATCTCAAAAGTAAGAAAATCCTAATTAGCTGGATAACACCGCAGGGAATATTAGTTATCTAGCCCAACACTCTTATTTTGTAGATGGAAAAACTGACGTTCAGGGGGCTCATGATTTATTGAACTTGACATGGCAAGTTAGCTCTATGCTACAGATGATAACTTAGACATAGCTATAATTTATTTTATTTATTATTATTATTTTTGAGATGGCATCTCATTCTGTCACCCAGGCTGGAGTGCAGTGGCATGATCTCGGCTCACTGCAACCTCTGCCTCCCAGGTTCAATCGGTTACCTGCTTCAGCCTCCCGAGTAGCTGGGATTATAGGCATCCGCCACCACACCCAGCTAATTTTTGTATTTTTAGTAGAGATGGGGTTTCACCATGTTGTCCAGGCTGGTCTCGAACTCCTGACCTCAAGTGATCTGCCCACCTCGGCTTCCCAAAGTGCTGGGATTACAGGCATGAGCTACCAGCTGCTATAATTTATTTATCTCTATATATCTATATACTTACCTTCATAGCTCTTTAATTTTTTTTTTTTTTTTTTGGACAAGTCTCGTTCTGTCACCCAGGCTGGAGTGCAGTGGCGCGATCTCGGCTCACTGCAAGCTCCGCCTCCTGGGTTCAAGCAATTCTCTCTCTCAGCCTCCCGAGTGGCTGGGATTACAGGGGCCTGCCACCACGCCCGGCTAATTTTTTTGTGTTTTTAGTAGAGATGGGGTTTCAGCATCTTGTCCAGGCTGGTCTTGAACTCCTGACCTCGTGATCCACCCGCCTCGGCCTCCCAAAGTGCTGGGATTACAGGCGTGAGCCACTGCGCCTGGCCCATAGCTCTTTAATCTTTAGAGTTTTGTCTGTAATTCATTTATTCCAGCCTTATAACAACCTTAGAGGAAGGTAGGGCCAATTTATCATTATTTGCTTAAAAGAAATTGAGTCACAGAGGGGCAAAGTGACTTCCTTTCATTCCGTGACTTAATCATTTCTGTACAATGAATTGCCCCTTTCTCTTTGCTCCTGAAGCCCTTTTGACATACCTCTGTTAGTAGCTCTTGAGTTTATTGTAGTTTTTTGAATTGTCTATCTCTCTCTCTTTCTAGAAGGTACAAACTGTATTTTAACTTTGTAATACCAGGCTCAGTAGCAGGCATCTAATAGGTATATAGTAAGTACTTATGGAATAAAAATGAATGGCCAAGATGTTAGGATGAGTTGTGGCAGAACCTGGATCAGAACACATCTCTCCCTCTTTATAGACGTGCACTTTCTTCGTTATACTACGTCACCTGTGAAGAGGTGATGTGATAGAAGATTTTCATCATTTAATTTTTGTTTGAGGTTTCTTCCATCATTTAATTTCACTGTGATTATATACTGTTAGCGACATCTCCTTTAACTTATAGCGTCTTAGGGGGGCAAGTAGTAGTATTTTCATTTTCAGGATGAAGATGCTGAAACCCAGAGAAGTTAAGAGATTTCCATGTAGTTAACTTTGTAGAACTGAGAAATTAAATAGGTGGTTATTTCCTCTTGCTAGTCATACTAATGGATACTAACTTGTTTCCAAAGCACGTCCCAAACAGTACGCAAGCAGAACATCATTCAGAAGTAGGGATTAACTGTCCCAAGTAAAGCCAATATTTTAATAACAAAGAGCTGGATATGGTGTATTTCTGCCCAGGTCTTTTAGTACATTATCAAGGAAAAGTTGGAAAAAAAATCATTTAAAAAGTCCATTCCTATGCATATTCTGTTTGGTTTTCCTTTCCCCTGCCTTACAAAATAGAACAAAGAAAGACTGGGAAAATCCTCAGGGACTGTTTATAATAGCTGCTTGCTTTATTATAAAGCATCTAGAGATCTGAACCCAGATTAAATCCAGGGTAAAATTTTATTTCTGAACTATTTGAGCTGGTGTGATTGTGTACTAACAGTATTATACTAGGTAAGTATAGAGCTTTTATTTATTTTATTTTTAAATATTTCTTCCATTTCTCTTCTCAGGAATACAGAGCTTTAAAAAAACTACCATTGCCAGTTTTCATTTACTGAGTGCCTGCTATGAGACACTATGTCAGAAAGGTTATGTATTTTTATTTAATTTGTGTATAACAGCCCCATGAGGTAGTTCTCCTGCTTTTATGAGTGAAGTACCTTAGAAGAAGGCATTAAACTACTGCCCCAAGCAAGATGGCATAGGTGGTGAATAGCAGATCCATGATTCGAGCCCAGGTCTCATTCATTTGAAGGCTTGTTTTCTTAACCGCTATGCTGTATGACATCTCCACATTTCTTCCCACTTCATATAGTGTGACAGCGTACCAAGTCTCTGCCTTCACATTAACCAGCACAAAGCATAACTAGTTGTGCATTGTGGGAATCAAATGAGAGAGAACACGTGCAAACACTTTGAACAGTATCAAAGTGCTTTATTCTACAGACTTTGTGCATTTATTATTGTAGAGTGGGCATGCAATGCCCATGAGACCATCAACCCACTGAAGTCCACAAAAGTTCCACACATTAGTCACTGTATTTGGCTTCCCTCTGAGTCTTTTTTCCCCCTTTTCTCTTGGATTGAATTAGCTTTTGACAGGTGTTTGGAAAATCATCTTATCCTGTAATTCATATTTATAAACCCTGCTGCTGCAGTGTGGTCCCCATTCTCTCTCTTCATTGAAGCCAGAGAATAATCTGGGAAAATGCCACGTTTCCTGTTATGAATTTGGAGGATCTTGTCTTCTTAGCACAATTTTTGAGCTTTTGAGAACTTTTAATACTGTAAAATTCAAAGCCAAGTATGGTTCTTTATATAGATGTTTTAGATTCTTGAGAAGTAAACAGAAACAGAGTTCGACTTGTTCTCACCAGGGGATTCAGAGAGTTTAAAATTTTGTTTTGTTTAATATTTTGAAAACTTGTTTTCACCATTCTTTTTTAGATTTGTATAGAGGGCATTTTTGAGCCTCCTCACCCCATCCTGTAAGTTAATTTCTGTTTCAACTGTTGTACAAAGCTGGGAATCTTCCCTCATTCTCTTTTTTTCTCTCTCCACGAATGCTAGTTAACATGCTGTCACTGTTGCCTTCTCTTCTTTCTCTCTGCTTTCACCGTTATAGTAATTTGGCCATACATCCTTTCTTCCTATTAGGGTGTATGCTCCTTTAGGGCTGAGGTTATGCCTTACTCAGCTTTAAAGTCTCAGACTTTGCTTACTGAATATTTTTCCATGAGTGAATGAAGTCTACTAGGATCACGTTGTTCCCATCTCTGTTTTAAGGTAGACTTTTTGCTTAAGGGACGGCTACTTCAGCAGGGTTACTTTCAGTCCTCATGTCATGGAGTAGCATTGAAGGCACTTAGTCCACTTCATACTTGGAGTGTGTGCCTGTGATTGTGATTATTTTCTGAGAATATTTGAAGTATGAACAAAAACATCTTCATCTCTGTTGATTTAAATTTAAAATAATTAATTTTAATTTCAGGATCTGTATATCTTTGCTTAATGACACTATTCTTATTTCTCAGTGCTTCTCACTGTTTTAAAGGAGAGGAAAAACATCCTCTGTTGTCTCAAACACTGGGCCAAATCTGAGGGGATGTACTCATTCAGCTCAGGTTAATTGTCTAAGAAGAGGTCTCACCTTTCCTCCTTAACTACTCAGTATCTGGGCTTCGTCAGATCTCAGAGCCAGGGGTGTCTAAGGCTTGATGATGCTTAACAGAGATACGTACACAGTTTTATTCGGCTTAAACTTGGCTGATGCCTAGAAGTGTTATTAATGTCCAAATGAACATATACACCTAGGAACACAGGCTGTCTACTGATTCATTAGGTAGCTGTAGTCATACAAACAAACACTGTATTTTTAAAAAAGTATACTCATTGCATCTGAAAATGTGCTCAAGTAGTAGGATGAGCCATTGTTTTTTTTTCCCTTGCCCATCAAGATTTCTTATTTTACCTAGGTTAAGTAGAAGACGACTATTTTCAAAGCTCACTTATGGTTTTATGAATAAATATAGAACACTGGCAAGTCCTGCTGGGGAGAGATTTCCTCCCAGATAAACACCTCCAGTCTAGATTTCCATGTATCTAAACATGTGTCAAATTTGCCTGGATGTTTCAGAGATACATATGCTCTCCATAGCCCAAACTGAGCTCAGTTCCCTTCCCCTCTCACAACACTTCCTCCTGCTGTGTTTCTTAGTGAAGTGAATGGTACCACAATCCATCTACTTTCTCAAGTCAGAACATAGAGTTGTCCTGAGTCCCTTCTTCTGTGTTTCCATCACTACTGATGGTGGCTGCTACTTTTTTCCTGGTTCTTGACATTATAGTCAGATTTATTTTTCTAAAATGATCATATTCTTCCTTTATTCAAATCTTGTCAGCAGTGTTTGCCCTCAATAATTAATGACTTATGAGGTCTTGCTATTCCTTATTTCTAAACACTCCATCCTTAACACTTTCTCAGGCTAAGATTTGTTCACGTCAGTTTTAGCTAAGGCCTCATTTCTATAGGAAGGTTTTTCTGTGATATACCTCTTAAGTCCAGTGTGGATAGATCCCTTTTATATGCTTCCGTAGCACCTTGTATTACATTTCCCTCTTCACTGACCCTTATCCTATTATATTCTGATTGCCCGTTTGCTTACCTCTCTTACCTGCTACACTGTAAACTGTGTGAGGGCAAGGACAGTGTCTGTTTTCACCTGTTGATCCCTAGTGCTTAGCACTGTGTCTGGCATGTAATAATAATCCAGTACATTCTTGTCAAATGAGTGAATGAAGCTTCTGTAGCAGCAGATCATTAGAAATTCTATTGGAATACACCACTTGGTTGTCATCAGTAGTATAGCTCAGCAGTCCCCAACCTTTTTGGCACCAGGGATCGGTTTTGTGGAAGACAAGTTTTTCCAGGGACGGGAGTGGGGACGGTTTCAGGATGAAACTGTTCCACCTCAGATGATCAGGCATTAGTTAGATTTTCATAAGGAACGCACAACCTAGATCCCTTGCATGTATAGTTTACAGTAGGGTTCGAGCTCCCATGAAAATCTAATGCCCACGCTGATCTGACAGGAGGGGGAGCTCAGGTGGTGATGCTTGCCCTGGGGGTTGGGAACCCCTGATATAGCTTGTTACTCAAAATTGTAATTCTCTGTCTTAGTGGTTTCTGACATTTCTGCATAGATGCCTGCCAAATTATTATACTTTAAATGGAGCTCTTCATTTTTTCTCTCCAAGGTTGCTTTCTCTTCCAGTTTTCCATGTCTTTATTAACTATTTTTTCATTTATCCTGGCCTCAAATTTTATAGTTAAGTGTTGATTTTTTTTAATTTTATCCATTCTATTCAGTCAGCCACTAGACTCTTTTGAGTTCTTCTTTGAAGTAGTTCTGGTATCTGTGGCTACTTTTCCCTCTCCATTGACATAATCCAAGCTCAGATCAACATTCCCAAAGGGCTGGGTCACTGCAGTAGTTTCCTGGCGGACCTATAGACTCTAGTCTCTTTGTATCCACTCTGTCTTACTGCTGCCTGATTAATCTTGCTAAAGGATGCTTTCGTTTTTTATTCCTTTGCTTAAAGATTGTATGGAGTAAATTCTTATTGTCTGCTAGATGTGTCCAACTCTCTGGTCTGATTGCTTTCTCTCCATCAGCCCAAATTCAGTCAGTTGTATAGTACTTTGGGTTCTGTCTCCGCTTTTTATCTCTCTTCTTCCTTCTCCTCCTCCTCCCCACCTTCCTCCTCCTCCTCTCTCTTTTTCTGTTTCTGTTGTTTTTTATTACCATTGCCACTGATGGATTTTGAACCCTCATTATGTCTAATATGTATGGATTTTTATAGTAGCCTCCTATCGGGTAGTTGGACAGTCTTCCTCCAATTTATGAGGTTTGTTAATACCAGAGTAACCTTCCTTAAATGTAGCTCTGATTATAACCCTAAACTGTTAGAAACCTTCCATGAGTTCTTACTGCCCATAGGTTGTCTTTACATTTTAGCATGGTATTCAAGACTTGCTGTGTTCTGGCCCTCCTTACTTACTTATTCAGCTGTATCTCCCACTACTTCCCTCTCCAGGGATCCAAATAATTTCCACGTCACTGAAGCTAAACGAATTGGACTACTATTTAATTTTCTCTGAATGCAGCTTGTGTTTTCCTGCTGTCATGCTTTGGCTAAAGGTGTTCAGTCTGTGTGGGACTTTCCTTCACTGCCATTCAGCTTTTCAGTACTACTTAATCCATCCCAAATACTGCCACCCCTGCAGTCTTTGATGTTCCTGCTCTACCAGATGGAATCTTTACTGCAGCAGAACTCCTGTAGCTTTTTAAAAAGCCTTTCTTATGGCACTCTTGCATTATTTGATTCACTTGGAACCTTCACTGGGTTGTGTTCTCTATGAGGACAGTAGTAATAATTGCCTAACACCATCTATGTACTCGGTGTTCAGTAAACACTGAAAGGAATAAGTATATGTATAATGCTATTTGCTTCCTAATCAGTTATCCTACTAACTGCGTTATTTCTGTATACATTTTGTAGTTTTAATGAAGTTAAGGACAGTCTTGTGTTGTTGCAGCTAAAAACTCTCAAAATATATAGTAACATGTTTTAAAACGTGACTCATCCAATGAACTAGTACAGGGATAAGCAAACTGTAGTCCAGCACATATTTTTGTATAGCTTGCGACTAAGAATGATTTTACATTTTTAAAGAATTTTAAAGAAAAAATAAGACTATGTGACAGAAATGACATGTGGCCTGCAAAGCCTAAAACATTTACTATGTGGCCCTTTATGGAAAAAGTTTGCTGACCACTCATC